>NC_000001.11:112281107-112584138 GCF_000001405.40 Homo sapiens | reverse complement strand
CTTTCTTCATAGCTGTGCCACTGCATATGTTCTACTGGCTGAGGAAGAAGCAACAACTATTGTAGATGCTGAAAGGTTATTTAAACAGGCACTCAAGGCAGGAGAAACAATTTATAGGCAGTCACAGCAGTGCCAGCACCAAAGTCCTCAGCATGAAGCTCAACTGAGTAAGCAAGTTTGAACTGGTTATTACTGTCTTTTAGCATCTGTAATTTGCTTGTGTCTTAACACAAACAACAATAATAAAAAACTTAATACTTACAGGTTAGTTAATTTTCACTGGAAATAACTAATCTATTCACAATACCTACAAGCCAGCAAGACAGAAATGTGTATTAGCCAGAGAATGCTTGTGGAAGGGAATAGATCTGCTCAGGTTATTGAGAGAAGATGTGCTGCTCTGAGACTTAACAGTAATTTATTTCATGTGAGAATTGGGCTGGTCATTGTAAAAACATAACTCAAAAACTTTCAGCATTCAGGAGAGCCTTCTAGTGATGATAAGCAGCTGTTATCTTTATCCTCACCCTTACTCTAAGCAACAGTAGAGGTACATTATTTGGTTGGTTCTTCAGACTGTGTATCTGCATATAGTGCTAGGGAGTGGCCCCTTTCACACCATCTGATTCTTAGCCCAAAATCCAACCTCATACTTGGCATTGATTCTTTCTTTGGTTGATTTTTCTCCATGATGTGCTTGAGATCAGATGAGCCATAGCAACAGAAGTCCTTTCTGTTCTTAGATATGCTCTACCAGTTATGATTGAGATTTTTTTTTACCAAAGATGTTAGAATCAGCAATGATGCTGCTTCCTGCTATTTTTATGGCCAGAGGGTTTTAGTTTCATGATTTTGGCAAATAGTGGGTAATAAATTGAAATATGTTTATATAATGCATTATCTACTGGCAGCTAAGTTCTAAATCTTTTTTTATGTGTAAATTAAAATTTGGATAATGTTTTTCTCCCTAAGCTAAATACAGATATATATGGTATGTTTCATTAATGCACAGTTTTTATAACACAAATCTGTGGGAATATATAATTTTGTAGCCTGGAACTAATGAAACTACATCTTTAAAAATGTCATGCCATTTGTCTTTGAATAATCTCAAATACGGTTATGAGCTAGTTACAGAAATATTTGTTAGCTCTTTCTAGAAGTAGTTTTATAGTTTGTCAACTACTCACTGTTAAGAAAAGTTTACATTAGCCATGGAAATTTTGTTTTGGACATTTTTTGTTTTTCATTTAAAACAATAGAGAGTATCAGAATAGTAGATCATTTATGCACAAACTTAAATACTAGGTTAATGTTATATCTTACTATAATGTATGTATTTCTTTTTTGCTAATGGTAAAATAAACTTGTCAATCATACACGAATTATATATACTGTACTTAAGTTACTATTAGAGGCAAAAATAATTAAATGTGTATTTTAAGTTTTAATACAGAAAACTTGAAACATGCGCAAAAATAGAGAACACTCCTGTTCAATATTTATCATCCAAATGTAGACATCATTAATATTCTTCCATTCTGACACAATTTAATTTTAATTGACTCTTCCAAGGGAAGCAAATAAAATTAATGGATATGTTAATGAAATAGCAGCCCACAATACAAAAGTGATAGTTGTATCATTTTTTTGTTTTTCTAAATAGGGAGAGATACCAATGTACTGGTATATATTAAAAGAAGATTGGCAATGTGTGCAAGAAAATTAGGAAGAATAAGAGAAGCAGTAAAAATAATGAGAGATGTAAGTAAATTGATGATGGGACTATTACATTTATTCCTCCAGAAACTAAAAATTTAGTTAAGTTGCCAGTTATTTTAATGCAGAATCATTGTATTTTAATTGGTAGTTTTTAGAACAAGGTATTTATTTAATATACGTACCTTTCTTAAGGGTTAGGTCTTCTTCACAGCTATGGTAAGAAACAAGAATTTCTACTTAATGAATCTGGCTCAGCTCTATTGAGTTCCTTTGTTATGATTTTAATCTTTCTTTTCCTTTTAATATACAGTTGATGAAAGAATTTCCTCCTCTTACCATGTTGAACATCCATGAAAATCTCTTAGAATCACTTTTAGAATTACAGGCCTATCCAGATGTTCAGGCAGTCCTAGCAAAATATGATGGTGAGTCATATTCCCTTAGTTGATAGCATGGTTATTCTTTTCCAATTATGTAATTATAAATGTGGTTATATTCTAGTATTTAATTTTCTCTTTCTGTTCTTACCAGTCAGTATTTAGCACTCAGAGGTTGCTATTTAGTATCTTCTTTATCAGGACTTTCATTAGCAAAAGTCTGCAAGGAAGAACTTTTCTTCTGTCAAGATTTACTTGTTTGTTTATTGAGTGCTTGTTTCTAATATGAGTGAGTCATTCAGAATATGACAGTGAACAAGACAACATGGGAGGCTGGGCATGGTGGCTCACACCTGTAATCCCAGCATTTTGTTTTGGAGACTGAGGTGGGAGGATCACTTGAGCCCAGGAGTTGGAGACCAGCATGGGCAACATGGCAAGACCCTGTCTCTACAAAAAAATTTTTTAAAAAAATTAGCTGGGTTTGGTGGTGTGTACCTGTAGTCCCAGCTACTTGGGAGGCTAAGGTGGGAGGATCACTTGAACCTGGGAGGTTCAGGCTGTAGTGAGCTGTGACTGCACCACTGTAGTCCAGCCTAGGCGACAGAGGGAGACCCTGTCTCAAAAAAAAAAAAAAAAAAGACGGGGAGCCCTCATAGGATTTACAGTTTATTTACAGTTTAGTGGAGCATACAGACAAATGAGCAGCAGTTACATTGAAGACAGCATGTTTGGGAGATAATTGGAGAAGTATGGGTGCTGTGCACATAGTAGGGGTACCTTATTTGTTTTGGAGTGTCAAGCAAGCCTAACAGAGAAGTTGCTTAGCAGTATATACTATAAGAGCAATTCAGAATAACATTTTTACAATGCTTTTTAGTTACAAAGTTCAATGATAATATGATCGTTATAATAGTCTTATGATGTTGTGGGACAAGTATTTTTACTGTCTCCAATTAACTGAATAAGGGAACTGGAATTTAAGAAGGTTAAAGTATTGGAGTAAGGTCTCCCAGCCAGTAAAAGGCAAATCCAGGTGTTTGATTTCTTAGTTCATTAGTCTTTCCATGGTAACAATTCAATATATATTGGTTATTTTTATTTTTTTATTGGAGACAGAGTCTCACTCTGTCGCCTGGGCGGGAGTGCAGTGGTGCAATCTCGGCTCACTGCAAGCTCCGCTTCCCAGGTTCACGCCATTCTCCTGCCTCAGCCTCCCGAGTAGCTGGGTCTACAGGTGCCTGCCACCATGTCTGGCTAATTTTTTTGTATTTTTTTTAGTAGAGATGAGGTTTCACCATGTTGGCCAGGATGGTCTCGATCTCCTGACCTCATGATCTGCCTGGCTCGGCCTCCCAAAGTGCTGGGATTACAGGCGTGAGCCACCGCACCTGGCAGTTATTTTTATTATTATGTTATAACAATACCAGTTTACCACACATGAAGTTTGGAGAATTTTAAAGACATAAAGCCTCCCTTCTTATCCTGAGAGAGGCATCAGCTTTTAACCTCAAGCTGAAAATTTGGGGTTACTATGCTTCTGGTGGTATCTTTCACTATACGAGAACACATGTAAGTCACATTGAAGGCTGGACACAGTGGCTCATGCCTGTAATTCCAACCCTTTGGGAAGCTGAAGCGGGTGGATTGCTTGAGCTCAGAAGTTGAAGACCAGCTTGAGCAACATGGTGAAAACCCATTTCTAAAAAAAATATTTTAAAAATTTAGCTGGGTGTGGTGGCATGCGCCTGTAGTCCCAGCTGCTCGGGAAGCTGAGGTGTGAGGATCTCTTGAGCCTGGGAGGTAGAGGTTGCAGTGAACCAAGATTGCACCACTGTATTCCAGCCTGGGTGACAGAGTGAGACCCTATCTCACAAAAAAAACAAAGAAAAAGGTCGTTTATTCACATTTGTCCTGTTATAGGTTCCTACCCATTTGCTTGGGAATCCCCATGACTTGGGAAGTTTGAAATGTGTTATACTTGGAAAGAGAAGTTTACTTCTTTTAAACATCTGGAATTCTTAAGCAATGCTTCAGAATAGTGTAGGCTCATGGAGAAATTTGTGAGAAATTCTTTCCATATGTAACTTACTGGATACATGGCCTGCTTATAATACTTATGATGAGCAAGCTTAGGGACTGAATGTAACAAACTGGAATAGGACCTGATTCATTAAAAATAAAATAAAACTAAAACTAATAAAGCATATCTAAGTTGATATGCTTCTGTATTTTCAGTTATTTTCATGAGTCCCAGTTTTTACCATTCCAGAATCTGGAGGAAGTTGAAAGCAAATTTACTTCCTTAGTTCTCCATTTGCTAGTATGATTCTGGGATCAGAAACATCTTCTGATAGCATTATTTTGGATATTCTTTTGAGAATGATTGATATAATTAATTTACCTACAGTTCCAGATGAAATTTTTATTTTCTAAAAAATAATAATTTAAGAAAAATAAATCTAGGAAGAAGAAAAATATCACCCTCGGTTGAATCAACCTGGATTTAACTACTGTTAAATATTTTAATTTTTTTCTAATATTAGTTTTTCTCTATGAATAGGTGAAGGTTTTACATAGTTCTAATTATACCATGCCTTTTCCCCTGAACTTACTATAAGCAGGTTTTTTTTTTATTGTTTTTTTTTTTTTTTTTTTTACAGAGTCTCGTACTGTCACCCAGGTTGGAGTGCACTGGCACAATCTCGGCTCACTGCAACCTCGGCCTTCCAGGTTCAAGTGATTCTCCTGCCTCAGCCTCCTGAGTAGCTGGGATTACAGGCACCTGCCATCACACCCGGCTAATTTTTTGTATTTTTAGTAGAGACAGGGTTTCACTATGTTGGCCAGGTTGGTCTCGAACTCCTGACCTCGTGATCCACCCACCTCAGCCTCCCAAAGTGCTGGGATTACAGGCATGAGCCACCACGCCCGTCCATAAGCAGGTTATTGTAGACATTGGTTGAACGCATTTCACCGTTGTGCAGACGGCTTTCATAGACATAATTTCATCTCGGTCAGAAAATATCATTATTTTGAGAGGTGAAAACTGAGGTCAAACAAGTTGCTACTAGCTCAAAGATGCTTAGCTGGTAAATAGTAAGATAAAGATTCAGATTCAGCTTTTTCAACTTCATATACGGGTTTTTCCTACTATATTATAGATTTTTCAACATCACGTCCAGGTTTTTCCTATATAACTATTGAATTTGCATTGCATTGTGAATTATTCTTTTTTTTGTTTTGTTTTGTTTTGTTTTTTTTGGAGACGGAGTTTCACTCTTGTTGCCCAGGCTGGAGCGCAATGGCGCAATCTTGGCTCACTGCAACCTCCGCCTCCTAGGTTCAAGCGATTCTCCTGCCTCAGCCTCCTGAGTAGCTGGGATTACAGGCATGCGCCACCATGCCTGGCAAATTTTTGTATTTTTAATAGAGACGGGGTTTCTCCATTTTGGTCAGGCCGGTCTTGAACTCCTGACCTCATGATCCACCCGCCTCAGCCTCCCTAAGTGCTGGGATTATAGGCATGAGCCACCATGCCTGGCCGTGAATTATTCTTATTAAAAAATTGTCTCAATACCTTTTTTGTAATTCCTACCTAAATTGAAAATTATCGTTACAGATATAAGCCTTCCAAAGTCAGCAGCAATCTGTTACACAGCAGCACTGTTGAAGACAAGGACTGTTTCAGAAAAGTACGTGTTATAAAAACTACAATGATTTGGAAAGACTGCTAAACTCAGTATTATGCTTGTCCTCTACTGACTTTAAACAATGCTGTTTTCCACTCTACTTCCTTCTGAATAGCCCTGGATCTTCTTGGGCTTTTAGGCTTCTTGCTGTGTGTAGTGGAAAGAGCAAAGTTTTTAGAGCTAACCTGAGCTCAAATTCAAACTCTACCACATTTTAGCTATAGGACTGTAGGCAAGTTAATCATTTTGAGTCTCTCCTTCATCTGTAAAATGAGACTAATATTGCAGGAGGGTTGTAGGAGGATTATGTGTGGTAAGTGCCTAAAGCAATATCTAGAAAGAAAGTACACACACCAAATAGTAACTATGATGATGATGATAAAGTGTGTAGTAGGGAAATAGGCTTATGTTATCTCTTCTTAGAGTATAATTCTGAGTTCTTCTGCTTTTCTTGTATTTTTGGCTACTCTTAGTGAATTCTCTTTATTGTGCAGGTAAGATACTCAGAAACCAACCAAATAGTGGCCATTTTCTTTCACCTTAGATTTTTATGCTTTGATATGAATTAGAATGGAATTTTCCATTTGTGTCCTCTCAAATAAGAATTTGATAAGAATGTACTGCTATTTCATGAGATTCTCTGGATATCACTGTGTTGCATTTATTACTTTATTACCTTTCCTAAAGTGTACCTTCAGTGGACTTCTCCTGAAGGCCTTCTTTACCTAAGTTTGAAGACTTTCATTCCTTATGCTGCTTTGTTTTTTCTATGTTGAACCCACAAGACTATACTTTTTTTTTTTTTTTTTTTTTTTTTGAGACAGAGTTTCACTCTTGTTGCCCAGGCTGGAGTGCAATGGCACAATCTTGGCTCACTGCAACCTCTGCCTCCCGGGTACAAGTGATTCTCCTGCCTCAGCCTCCCATGTGTGCCTGGGACTACAGGCACACACCACCACACCCAGCTAATTTTGTATTTGTAGTAGAGACGGGGTTTCTCCATGTTGGTCAGGCTGGTCTCTAACTCCTGAGCTCAGGTGATCCACCTATCTCAGCCTCCCAAAGTGCTGGGATTACAAGCATGAGCCACTGCGCCCGGCCAGCTTTAATTTTTTTTTTTTTTTTGTTAGTCCTCTGGCTTTGTTTTTGGCCATCTCCAGAAACTTCTTTTGATTCAAGGGGCTGTATTATTATCTAAATTCATACTTTTTTTCTTTTTTTTAGCATATTTATTTTTTCATTTTGTGGTTTTCTTGTAGATTCTCTCCAGAAACAGCCTCCAGAAGAGGATTAAGCACAGCAGAAATTAATGCCGTGGAAGCAATTCATAGAGCTGTGGAATTTAATCCTCATGTTCCAAAAGTGAGAAATTTTATGATAAAAATACTACCTTTATTTAAGTTTATCAAATTGATGACAGTTCGTAGACCAGAGTCTGGGTCACCATAATTTGGTGCAGAATTGTTTTAATCTGCTATATTTTGATGCTTATTATTCACCTTACAGGGGACGTTGAAACATTTAGGCATTTAGAAAGGTAGATAGGAGCAATAGTTAGCTATATGCTTTGTAATTACTATCAAAATATAATTTGAACTGTGTTCACTTAGCTGTTCTTTTAGTATAGTTGTAGAAAATAAATAATGGGTTGGTCTTAATAAAAGATTATTCATATTTCTTATCACTAAATCAAATTTCCTGTTACTGTGAAAGCTTTTTCTAGACAGATGCCTGGGTTTTGAACTAGGGTTGGGTAGACAAAAACTGAAGACAAACAGATTAAAATAATCAATGATAGGAGGCAGATGTGGAAATTCCCAGAAAAACTGGCTGATGCTTATTTCGTCCCCAATGAGTCTATATACTTGCTTTGTCTTTATATTGTACACCTTGCAGTTATACAAATTATTGCTTAATCTTTGTGTGTTACAACACAAAATTAAATTTTGGGGTTTGGGCTGGGCACAGTGGCTCATGCCTATAATCTCAACACTTTGGGAGGCCGAGGTGGGAGGATTACTTGAGCCCAGGAGTTTGGGACTAGCGGCTGGGCAATGTGGTGAGACCTCATCTCTGCAAAAAATATAAAAATTATCTGAGTGTGGTGATGCTTCCTGTTGTCTCAGCTACTTGGGAGACCAAGGGGAGAAGATTGCTTGAGTCCAGGAGGTCGAGACTGTAGTGAGCTGCAATCACGCCACTGCACTGAAGCCTTGGGTGACAGAGTGAAACCCCATCTCAAAAAAAAAATTGGGGTTCTACAAACAATGCCCCATGTTAGGAAGTATAGACAATTCAAGAATAGATGCCCTTACTACGGAAAGTAATTATAGCTATTGATTCCAGTGAAAGGGTGTTAATAGAGCTTGGAAGCTAAAGAGCTACAGTAAAGAGATTAATTGCTAAAAGATAATTTCCAAGAAAAGGATGTTGTAAGCCTGTTAGAGTAAGTAAAGATATGGTTAAGAAAAGTACTTAAATCCAAGAAAGAGAGTCAACAAATATTTATACCATTCTCTCATTAAGTGACACTGGTTCCATAAATTTAAAGACAGCGGTTCACCCATATCTATGGTTTTGCATTCCATGGTTTCAGTTACCACAGTCAGCCTCTGTCTGAAAATATTACATGGAAAATTCCAGAAATAAACAATTCATAAGTTTTAAGTTGCATGCCGTTCTGAGTAGCTTGATGAAATCTTACACCATCCCCCTCCATCCAGGCTAGTACATGACTCATCCCCTTGTCCAGCATATCCAACACTGTCTATGCTACCCGCCCATTAGTCACTTAGTAGCCAACTCGGTTATCAGATCGACTGTCATGGTATCATAGTGCTTGTGTTCAGGTAACCTTTATCTTACTTAATAGTGACCCCAAATGCAAGATTGACATATTGTTATAACTGTTCTATTTTATCATTAGTTATTGTTATTAGTCTCTTACTGTGCCTAAATTATAAATTAAATTCTATCATGGGCATATATTTAGAGGAAAAAACATGGTGTACGTAGGGTTTGGTACTATTTGTGGTTTCAGATATCCACTGGGAGTCTTAAAACATATGTACTGAGGATAAGGAGTGAGTACTGTAAACTTTTATTTTTCTTTAGACAGAGTTTTGCTTTCGCCCAAGCTGGAGTACAGTGGCAGAATCTTGGCTCACTGCAACCTCCGCCTCCAGAGTTCAAGCGATTCTTCTGCCTCAGCCTCCCAAGTAGCTGGGACTACAGGTGCGCGCCACCACGCCCAGCTAATTATTTTGTATTTTTAGTAGAGACGAGGTTTCACCATGTTAGCTAGTATGGTCTCGATCTCCTGACCTTGTGATCCGCCCGCCTCAGCCTCCCAAAGTGCTGGGATTACAGGCATAAGCCACCGCGCCCAGCCTTGTAAACTTTTTATTATGAGTTCTACTACACATGCAGCAAAGTGTATGAGACAAAAATGTGCATCTTAATGATTTATTACAAAGTAAATGCTTGAAAACTATCGAGATCAAGAAACAGAACATTATCAACCCACAGACGCCTACCTGACTGCCCTTTCCCATTACAACCTCCCTTCCTACCTAAAGGTAACCACTATTCTTATTCATTTGTATTCTTATTTATTAATTATGTTTATTTCCTCCCTTTATGTTTTTTATCTGTACTTTTTATTTATGGATTTTTTTTCTTTTTTTTTTGAGACGGAGTCTTGTTCTGTCGCCCAGGCTGGAGTGCAGTGGCGTGATCTAGGCTCACTGCAAGCTCTGCCTCCCGGGTTTATGCCATTCTCCTGCCTCAGCCTCCCAAGTAGCTGAGACTGCAGGCGCCCGCCACCACGCCTGGCTAATTTTTTGTATTTTTAGTAGAGACGAGGTTTCACAGTGTTAGCCAGGATGGTCTCGATCTCCTGACCTTGTGATCCGCCCGCCTTGGCCTCCCAAAGTGCTGGGATTACAGGCGTGAGCCAGTGCGTCTGGCTTTTTTTTTCTTTTTAAGACAGACTCTTCAGCTATTCGAGAGGCTGAGGCAGGAGAATTGCTTGAACTCAGGAGGCAGAGGTTGCAGTGAGCCGAGATAGTGCCATTACACCGCAGCCTGGGTGACAGAGTGAGACTCTGTCTCATTAAAAAAAAAAAAAAAGTCCGGGCGCAGTGGCTCACACCTGTAATCCCAGCACTTTGGGAGGCCGAGGTGGGTGGATCGCCTAAGCTCAAGAGTTCAAGACCACCCAGGGCAGCATGGTGAAACCCTGTCTCTACTAAAAATACAAAAAAATTAACCGGGTGTGGTGGGGTGCGCCTGTAGTCCCAGCTACTTGGGGGGCTGAGGCAGGAGAATCACTTGAGTCCTAGAGATGAAGGTTGCAGTGAGCCGAGATCGCACCACTGCACTCCAGCTTGGGCTACAGAGTGAGACTCCGTCTCAAAAAAAAAAAAAAAAAAAAAACAGGAAAAGAAAAAACGAAGACAGGGTCTTGCTCTCATGCCCAGGCTGGAGTGCAGTGGTGTGATCTTGGCCCACTGCAACCTCCACCTCCTGGGCTCAAGCGATCTGCCCGCCTCAGCCTCCCAAAGTGCTGGGATTACAGGTGTGAGCAAACATATGCCTGGCCCTGGATTTATAAATGAGTTAAAGAGTGGTCCCTGTTTATTTATTCTGTGGAATAATTTGTATAAAATTAGAATTATTTCTGCCCTAAATGATTAGTAAATTTGTTATTAAAGCCATCTGATTCTTCAGTTTTCTTTGTGAGAAGACTTTGAGTTACAAATTTCATTTCTTTAATAGTTTAATTACAAATTCAATTTCTAAGCATATCATAACTATTGAAATTTTTTGTTTCTTCTTATGTTTTTGTTAAGTTGTATTTTTCTAAAAATTTATTTCATCAAAATTCTCAAATGTATTGACATAAGGTATTCATAAAATCCTTTTATTGCCATATTAGTATTTGCAGCATTAGTTGTAATACTCAATTTTTAATTCTTTTTTTTTTTTTTTTTTTTTTGAGAGGGAGTTTTGCTCTTGCTGCCCGGGCTGGAGTGCAATGGCGCGATCTCGGCTCACTGCAACCTCCACCTCCCGGGTTCAGGTGATTCTCCTGCCTCAGCCTCCTGAGTAGCTGGGATTACAGGCATGCGCCACCATACCCAGCTAATTTTGTATTTTCGGTTGAGATGGGGTTTCTCCATATTGGTCAGGTTGGTGTCAAACTCCCAACCTCAGATGATCAGCCCGCCTCGGCCTCCCAAAGTGCTGAGATTACAGGCATAAGCTACTGCACCTGGCCCCACTTTTTAATTCCTAACCTTGGCTAGTTTTATTTTTCTTGATCAGGTTCTTTAGGGATTTGCCAATCTTACTTGTTTTTGCCAAGAACTTGGCTCTGGCTTTGTTGGGTTTTTTCTACTATTTATTTTCTGGTTCATTCATTTCTGCTCTTTATTGCCTTCCTTCAACTTAATTTGAGTTTATTTTATTTTAATTTCCTGTGTCTTCTCACATAGGTACTTAACTCTGTAATTTTCGTCTTTCTTCTGATATACCCAGTTAAATCTAGAAACTTCTCTCAACACAATTTTAACTGCATACTATAGCAACATTTTTTACATAATTTAGTTCAAAATATTTTCTTTAAAAAAAAATAGAGACAGGATCTCCACATGTTGCCCAGACTGGTCTTGAACTCCTGGCCTCAAGCATCCTCCCTCCTCAGCCTCCCAAAGTGCTGGGATTACAGGTGTGAGCCACCTCCCTTGGCCCAAAATATTTTCTAATCTGTTTATAATTTCATCTTTGATTTAGAGTTATATTTATTCCATGAAGGTAGATATAATAAACAAAAGATTTTCTTCAAATTTTTTTTCTTCTTTTTCTTTTTTCTGCTTTGCTCATGTTGAGAAACAACAGATTTCCAAAGTAGATGAAACAGCCTTCTATTGGAAGAAGATGCCAACTAAGACTTTCATAGCTAGAGAGGAGAAGTTGTTCCTGGCTTCAAAGCTTCAGAGGACAAGCTGACTCTCTTCTTAGGGGCTAATGCAGCTGGTGACTTTAAGTTGAAGCCAGTGCTTACTTACCATTCCAAAAATCCTAGGGTCTTTAAGAATTATGCTAAATCTTCTCTGCCTGTGCTCTATAAATGGAACAACAAAGCCTGGATGACAGCACATCTGTTTATAGCATGGTTTAAACACTATTTTAGGCCCACTGTTGAGACCTACTGCTGAGACATGATTCTTTTTAAAATATTACTGCTCATTGACAATGTACCTAGTCACCCAAGAGCTCTGTTGGAGATGTACAAGGAGATTAATGTTTCCACACCTGCTAACACAACAGCCATTCTGCAGCCCACAGATCAAGAAGTCATTTTGACTTGGAAGTCCTATTATTTCAGAAATACATTTAGTAAGGCCGTAGGTCCCATATATAGTGATTCCTCTGGTGGATCTGGGCAAAGTAAATTTTATATGTCATGGGAAACCAAAAAATTTGTGTGACTTGCTTTATTTTGATATTTGCTTTATTGCAGTGGTCTGGAAGTGAACTTGCAATATGTCCAAGATATGTCTATAGTTACAAACATGAATTTTGGGATATATAAAGTATGCTTCATTAAAACTATATAGGCTGGGCGTGGTGGCTCACACCTGTAATCCCAGCCCTTTGGGAGGCCGAAGCGGGTGGATCACCTGAGGTCAGGAGTTCGAGACCAGCCTGACCAACATGGAGAAACCCCATCTCTACTAAAAATACAAAATTAGCCAGGCCTGGTGGCACATGCCTGTAACCCCAGCTACTCAGGAGGCTGAGGCAGGAGAATCACTTGAACCTGGGAGGTGGAGGTTGCAGTGAGCCAAGATCATGCCATTGTACTCTGCCTGGGCAACAAGAGCGAAACTCTGTCTCAAATAAATAAATAAAACTATATAGATATATAGATAGATAGATATACATACACACATATACACTTTAACATTTTAATGTCATTTTTATTTATAGGTAGAAATTTACCCATTTTCCCCTCAACTAAATATCAAAGCAGTTGACAATTCAGCTATTTCAAAATATCCAGCTAAGTGAGTGATGCTATAAACTTATATTATTGTTTGTAGATAGACCCTTTAAGCCGAGTGTTATGAAACACAATAATTATTAAGGTTTTTTTGAAGAATTTGGTTTTTTTGAGACAGTCTCGCTCTGTCATCCAGGCTGGAGTGCAGTGGGCTGATCTCGGCTCACTGCAACCTTCACCTCCCGGGTTCAAGCGATTCTCCTGCCTCAGCCTCCTAAGTGGCTGGGACCGCAGGCATGCGCCACCACGTGCAGCTAATTTTTGTATTTTTAGTAGAGATGGGGTTTCACCATGTTGGCCAGGCTGGTCTCGAACTCCTGACCTCAAGTGGCCCACCTGCCTCGGCCCCGCTAAGTGCTGGGATTACAGGCGTGAGCCACCACTTTTGGAGAAGATTTGTGAGCCAAAACTTTTGGAGAAGTTTTAAACTTCACCAACCTGAATAATATCTCACTTAAATAACATTGATGTTATATGAACTGGGAGAGCTCTGGAATTTGTGACTGGCTGTTTTTGCTAGGGTTTTACAATTGATGAAGTATGTACAGACCCTCTTTTTCTCCTGTTATGGTCTCTATTCCTGACTGTCAGCTGGAAGCAAGCAAACATAAAGGGATTTAGGGGTTTTCTTCTTCACACTTCAATTGTGAGTCACAATAACTTATTCAACCTAAGGAACAGTGACATTTCAAATATATGTGTGTGTGTATATATATATATATATATATATATACATCTTTTATTCTCACAAATTTATTATACAAATGGTTGTATGCATCTTAGCAGTAAAATGACAAAGGATAAAGCTGTTTTAGCGGGAAATATTTTTGGCAACTTTCCACATAACTACAACAGAAATGGCTGTAGGTCTAGAGCTGTGCAATTTGTTAAAGCTGGAAACTATTAGAAGTGCAATAGAGAAAGATCATATAAATTTCTTCAAGCAATGAATTTGCTTTTAGGTATTTCATTAATATTGATAGCTTCTATAGCTTTTTTATTCTACTAAATGAATTTCAGTGTATAGTAACTGATAGTACCACAGTAAAAAAAATAGAACAGCATGTGTTCATGGTTTTTGACTTATTCTTCATTATTTAGCTATGGCTTTGATTCAGTGAACTTTTTTTTTAGTTGCCAAACACAAAAACGGTCGTTTATCTTTCAGCTACTATATGAATTGTCAGTTTTATTTTCAGTAGAAATTGTTTCATATATTCTAAATATTCCACTGCATTCTGTTTCATTCATTCTGGTATCATACTTTTCTTATCCAACCATCAAATGGTTTCATAGTTTTTTTGTTTTTTTTTTTTTTTTTGAGACAGAATCTTCCTCTGTCATCCAGGCTGGAATGCAGTGGTGCTATCTCGGCTCACTGCAACTTCCACCTCCCGGTTTCAAGCGATTTTCTTGCCTCAGCCTCCTGAGTAGCTGGGACTACAGGTGCGTGCCACTACGCCCGGGTAATTTTTGTAATGTTTAGTAGAGATGGGGTTTCACCATGTTAGCCAGGGTGGTCTTGATCTCCTGACCTCGTGATCCACCCGCCTCGGCCTCCCATAGTCATGGGATTACAGGCGTAAGCCACTGCGCCCAGCTGATACTGTCTTTCTTATTGAGATAATTTACATACTATAAAATTCACTTTTAAAGGATATAATTCAGTGGTTTTTAGTATATTCACAAGGTTGTAAAATCATTACCACTATTTAATTCTGGAAAGAAGTACCTGTTAGTAGTCACCCCCCAGTCCCTCACAACCACTAATCTACTTTCTGTCTTTATGCATTTGCCTATTCTGGACTTTTCATATGAATTGAATCGTATAATAGTGGCCTTTTGTGTCTGACTTCTTTCACTTAGCATAATGTAGCATATGTCAGTACTTCCTTCATTTTATGGCTGAATACTATTCCATTGTACCACATTTTGTTTATACATTCAACTGATGGACATTTGGGTTGGTTTCACTTTTTGACTAGCATGAATAATGCTGTTATGAACATTCATGTACAAGTTTTTGTGTGAACATAAATTTTTCAATTCTCTCAAGTATACACCTAGAAGTGGAACTGGTAGATCGCAAGTAATTCTGTTTAATTTTTTGAGAGACTGCCAAACTGTTTTGCAGAGTAACTGCATTATTTTACATTCCCTCAGCAATGTGTGAGTTCCAGTTCCTCTACATTTGTCTCAACACTTATTATTATCTGTCTTTTTTATTATAGTTATCCCAATGGGTATGAAGTGATATTTCATTGTAGTTTTGTTTTGTATTTCCCTAATGACTAATGATATTAAGCATCACTTTAATATGTTTATTGGCTGTTTGTGTTTTTTCTTTGGACAGATATATGTTCAAGTTGCATATTTTTAAATTTTTGTTTTATATATATATATATATATATATATATTTATATTTATATTTATAAAAAACAGGGTCTCCCTATGTTGCCCGGGCTCGTCTCAAACTCCTGGGCTCCAGGGATCCTCCTGCCTCAGCTTCCCGAAGTGCTAGGATTACAGGCTTGAGTCACTGTGCCTGGCCTAAATTTGTTTTTTTGTTGTTGTTTTTTTGTTTTTTAAATTAAAGGTATTCTATTTATCTTTTTATTATAAGGTATTCTTTAACATTATTATTGGCCAGGCGCAGTGGCTCATGCCTGTAATCCCAGCACTTTGGGAGGCTGAGGCGGGCGAATCACAAGGTCAGGAGATCGAGACCATCCTGGCTAACACGGTGAAACTCCGTCTCTACTAAAAATACAAAAATTAGCCAGGCATGGTGGTGGGCGCCTGTAGTCCCAGCTACTTGGGAGGCTGAGGCAGGAGAATGGCATGAACCTGGGAGGCAGAGCTTGCAGTGAGCCGAGATCATGCCACTGCACTCCAGCCTGGGCGACAAAGCAAGACTCCGTCTCACAAAAAAAAAAAAAAAAAAAAAATATTATTACAGTAGACCATTGACACTCTTGATTAATGTGATCCAGAACCATTGTGAATATCCACATTTGAAAATGCCACTATTACATGTATTTTCACCTATGAAATGTAAACATGAGAATGGGTCACAAACCTTGCTGAGATACAGATGCTAAAGAGCCTGCTAGATGTATTCATTAGGTACATCATTCACATGCGTGCACAAGCCTCAAAGCATGTTATTCAAATTTGTGCCTTAGCAAAATGATGCCTGCTATACATCATGGGTATTTGGAGCTCCCACAAAGAGTAGAAATTGTAAACGTTAGATCCCTGAATGTCAGTGATCTACTATAAATGTAACTATTGTTGGTATGACACTTCACACATCAGTTAGAATAATATCGCCCAACTTTAAGATCTAACAATGGCTTGCTGTAATATTTTATTGATGATTTTTAAAGTAAGCATACTATAGCTGAATTCTTCTAAATTTTATTTTATATTCAAATATAAAATAATTACTATAAAAAACAAAATCACAGAATGGATCCACATATATACTGTCATATATGTGACAAAACATTCACATATATACTGTCAATTGATTTTTGACAAAAGCACCAATGCAATTCAATGGGGAAATGGAACTTCAACAAATGGTACTAGAACATCTGGATATCTAAATGTGGTGGGAGGGAATCATGAATTTTTTTCACATAGCATACACAAAAATTAATTTGAAATGTGTCATTGATCTAAATATAAAAACCAAAACTATACAACATCTAGACCAAAACATCTAAGACTATCTTTGAAAGCTGGGGGTAAAGAAAGATTTCCTAGGACATAGAAGGCAATTATAAGAGAAGACAATTACAAATTGAACTTTATCAAAATTTTAAAAGTCTGCTCATGTTAGTGTTAAGACAAAAAGGCAAGCCATGGACAGGAAAAAATATTTGTAATATGTTTATCTGACAAAGGACTCGTATCCAAAATATATACATATAAAAAAACACAATATTAAAAAATGGGCAAAAGCCTTGAACAGATACTACAAAAGAAAATATTGGAATGTCCAATAACACATAAAGAGATGTTCATATGAAGGTAAAATGAAGCAGGCAAAAAAAGAAAAGATGTTCAACATCATTAGTTATGAGAGAAATGCAATATAAAGTCATGAAGTAATACTTTCACATCTATCAGAATGACTAAAATTTAAAAGACTGATAAAATGTCAATAAGAATGTGAAAGTCAGAACTTTCATACACTGCTGCTAAGATTACAAAATGGTACAACCACTTTGGAAAACTGGCAATTTCTGATACAATTAAATATATCCTTCAACCTGTGATCCAGCAATCCTACTCCAAGGTATATACCCAAGAGAAATGAAATCATATGTCCACAAGAAGAGTTGAACATGAATATCATAGCAGTTCTATTTATAATAGCCCCAAACTAGAAACAATCCCAATGTCCTTCAATAGGTAAATAGATAAGTAAGTTACAATACAGTGGTATTCAGCAATAAAAAGACCTACTGATACAAGCAAAACATGAATGAAACCAAAAATATGACATATAAACAAGTACTTACTGAATGATTCCATTTATGTGAAGTTCAAGAAAAGGCAAAAAGTGATCTGTGGTGGTAGAAATGAAAACACTGTTTGCCTCAGGTGGTCAGGTGAAACATTCATTAACTAGAAAGGAGAACTTCCTGGAGTGAAAGAAGATACGTTTTGATGGCCAGGCGCAGTGGCTCATGCCTGTAATCCCAACACTTTGGGAGGCTGAGGAGGGCGGATCACGAGGTCAGGAGTTCGAGACCAGCCTGGCCAGCATGGTGAAACCCCATCTCGACTAAAAATACAAAAAATTAGCTGGACATGGTGGCACACACCTGTAGTCCCAGCTACTTGGGAGGCTGAGGCAGGAGAATCACTTGAACCCAGGAGGTGGAGGTTGCAGTGAGCCTATATCACGCCACTGCACTCCAGCCTAGATGACAGAGCAAGACTCTGTCTCAAAAAAAAAAAAAAAAAAGAAGAAGAAGAAAAAGAAATAAAAGAAAATATGTCTTGATTTGGGCATTACTTGTCTACATTTGTCAAAACTCATCAAGCCGCATATTTAGGATCTATGTATTTAAAATTATACCTCAATAAAGAAAAAAGAATTTGACTTAGCATGGAAAGCATTGTAAAAGTATCATGCCTTCTGATGAAATTAGATAATGTATGTGAAGTGCTTAACACAGTGTCTGAGTGTCAGGCTATTATTGATTATCATGGTGGTTGTCACTTTATTTCTGTACCTTTTTTTTTTTTCTTGAGACAGAGTTTTGTTCTGTCATCCAGGCTGGAGTGCAGTGGCATGATCATGACTCACTGCAGCCTCAGCCTGGTGGGCTCAAGTGATCCTCCCACCTAAGCCTTCCTAGTAGCTGGGACTACAGGTGCATGCCACGGAGCTAATTTTTGTATTTTTTGTAGAGATGGGGTTTTGCCATTTGTCCAGGCTGGTCTTGAACTCCTGGGCTCAAGCAGTCCGCCCACCTTGGCCTCCCAAAGTGCTGGGATTACAGGCATGAGCCACTGTGCCTGGCCCATCTTCTTTGAGTTGTTCAGTGTTTGTTTCTTTGTGGATGTTATTTTAGTGTTTGTAGCCTTAGAATGTATAAGGTTTGGGGGATTCCTTTGTTGAGATGAGGTAGTGGTGAAGATTTTGAAAACAGTTAGGAATTAACTAATTTGAATTAGCTAATAACGTAATAATAGTTAGGTAATAACTAATTTGAATTAGTTACAATACCCTGAAAACAGTTTGTGTCTTACAGAAGAAGCCCTTAGGGCAAGAGTAAAGTAGAGCAGTAAGAAACAAAACAATAACAAAAGTGTGTTTAGTAAATCCTTATAACTGGAGTACATATTTAGAAATTCGCTATCTGTAGCATTTAAAAGTTACTATTTTGGCTGGGCGTGGTGGCTCACGCCTGCAATCCCAGCACTTTGGGAGGCCGAGATGGGTTGGATCATCTGAGGTTAGGCGTTTGAGACCAGCCTGGCCGACATGGTGAAACCCTGTCTCTACTGAAAATACAAAAAAAAAAAAAAAAAAAAAAAAAAAAAATTAGCCGAACATGGTGGTGGGCGCCTGTAATCCCAGCTACTTGGGAGGCTGAGGCAGGAGAATCGCTTGAACCTGGACGGCAGAGGTTGCAGTGAGCCGAGATCGCGCCATTGCACTCCAGCCTGGGCAACAAGAGCAAAGCTCCATCTCAAATAATAATAATAATAAATAAAAATTACTATTTCTTATTTTACAATAAAACTGCTTTTAGTGTTATGCTGCCAAGAAAGTAGACTATACCTGGAGACTTTTAAGTGCAGAGGAAGTTTTAAAAATAAATTGATACATAGAAAGTAAAATCTGTTCTGGTTGATCAGAAATGGAAGCCCGTAGAATGTTACAAGTCTTATCCACCCTAGAAGATAGTAGCTCTTTTTTTTTTTTTTTTTTTTTTGAGATGCAGTTTTGCTCTTGTTGCCCAGGCTGGAGTGCAATGGCACAGTCTCGGCTCACTGCAACCTCCGCCTCCTGGGTTCAAGCAATTCTCCTGCCTCAGCCTCCCAAGTAGCTGGGATTATAGGCACCCGCCACCACACCTGGGCAATTTTTGTATTTTTAGTAGAGGCAGGGTTTCACCATGTTGGCCAGGCTGGTCTTGAACTCCTGACCTCAGGTGAGCCACCTGCCTTGGCCTCCCAAAGTGCTGAGCCACTGCTCCCAGCTGATAGTAGCTCTTTAGCAGCAGACTTGCATTTCACTGGCTAAACTACTTATATCATAGCACCGGCATATATAAAAGATAAAAGGGAAACAGGTGCTCAGTTGACATTCCGAGTGGCATAGCAGGGGTAAAGAGAGCAAAGGAGAAGTGTTGAAGTCTGTGACCCAAACTTAGAGCACAATGAAACCTTTGCCTTTCCCTTATGTTGTACTGTGGCCTAAGTAGAAGAGTTGAGATATGAAATGCTTATATCTTGAGGTGTGGCTCTGTAGGATGATGTGGAAAGGAGTTTTCTTGTAGCAATGCCCTCTCCAGCCTCCTTTCCTTTTCCCTTCAGTATAAGTCACTTTATTTGGCTCCTGAAATTGTTAGGTAGTATTATGTTTTCTTTCAGTTTATTCACATAGCAGTTCTGTTTATTTTCTATCTGGGAACTGTCTTTAGTCTCCCCCAATACATACCAATGTGGACTCTGCATTCGCCCTGCCTGTCCAATCTCATAGAATGTGCACTGAGAAAACTAATTGCAGAGATAAGTTGGTTCTTTGTGTGCATGACTGATCAAGAGCAAAGTACCTTAATTTCAGATGCCTTCAGAGAGATTTTTCTTTAACCTCTGCTTTTAAGAGGAAGATTATAAAGCATTATCATTACTTCAGGTCAGAATTATATTGCTTTTGGTCAAAAGCTGTTGTAAGATTTACAAAGTAATAGAAAAAAGTAATCTAAAGATAAATTATAAAGATCAAAGCAGTTCAAAATTAAAGTAAATTTGAGTGTAAGCATACATAGGGCTTTAGAGTTGTAAAAGAAACCACTAGACCATACATCATTATGTCTTTTTAACCATAGCTTCCAAAGGAGCCTTAATAATTATATTTTTAGTGAAAAGCAACAGGCTAAATTCTCTTGTTTTACTCATTTGAATGTATTGTTCATAGTTGAATGCTAGTTAAAATTGTCCCAAGCAGTTTCTCATTACAGACACAATAGGCTGAGTCAGAGGTAATATGGAAGGTCTGATAGCACATATTAGGTCCTAGCTTTGGTTTGTGTCCTCAGCTATGTTTTATTTGTTGATAATTTCCAAATCTGTGTCTTTTATCTCTGGCTTCTTTCTTTGTCTGTAGACTTAGCATTTCCATCTGGTTGTGGAAATCACATGTTAAGTACCTCAAACACTTTAATGTGTCTCAAACAGAATTTTTAAAATTTGTTAAGTCCTTTCTTCAAACTGCCAAACTGCCTCTCATTTATTTCTATATTTTGATTTATGGCTTCATTATCCTCTCATTAACCCTTACCTCTGCCATTTCCAAATTGCCAACTCATATTATAACCTTTGAAATGTTTTTCAGATCTAGCCATCTATCTCATCCCCACTGTCACTGACTCTTGTTTGCCTTCATTACCTGTACTTTAAAAAATATATTATTATTATTATTATTATTATAACAAAAGTAATAGGTACTTTTTAAAAATTCAGACTCTTCAGACTTTTACAAAGTAGAAATCTCCTGTTCTCTCCCTCCCAATTCTACTTCTCTGAAGTAACCACCTGTTACTGTTTGGTATATATATTGGCCCACATTTTCTACGCATTTCTAAACACATAGAGATAGACATAGAAAGAATCTCAAATACTTTACCGTGTCTTGTGTGGACTATTAAAACAGATTCCTCACTCATCTTTCTGCCATCAGCCCTTCTCCATTCCAGCTATTGCCAGAGTTATCTACCTAAATAGCAAGTCTTAAAAGACCTCTGCTTGTTCCCGATTGCCTACAGGATAAGGACCAACCTTTTAGTATTACACCTATAAAAGCCCTTCATATTCTGGGCCAGTATCTGTCTCCAGCCTTACTCTTTGCCAGTTCTGCTTTGCTCATTATGTTCATTGTCACTGTTCCCTGGATTGGTCATGCCTCATCATACCTCACCGCCATTGTCTTCTCTACCTGGCAAATTTCTACTCATTCTTTAAGACCCTGCTCATCTGTTGTCTCCTTTATAAGGAGTTTTTTCTAGTTTTCCCAAGAAGAGATAACGGCTTTCTCTTCTCTGTTCCTTCAGTATCTCAATCATATCTTTTTTTTTAATTGGTCTGTTTGTATGTTTCTCCCATAGTTCCCTCTGAACAAAAGCAGGGCACTTGTCTTACTTATCATTTAATGTCCAACACTCTTCCTAGCTTATATAGACAATCAGTAAACACTGGGAAACAGACATATCTGTAGTTTGGAACTGCATTGCTTTAAAAGTCTATCTAAGTTAAAGAAAGTAGATTGGGCACAGTGGCTCACACCTGTAATCCCAGCACTTCAAGAGGCCAAGGTGAGAGGATCACTTGAGCCCAGGAGTTAGAAACCAGCCTGGGCAACACAGTGAAACCCTATCTCTACAAAAAAAATTAAAAAGCTAGCCAAATGTGGTAGTTGCACCTACAGTCCCAGCTACTAAGGAGGTTGAGGCAGGAGGATTGCTTGAGCCCAGGAGGTCGAGGCTGCAGTGAGCTATGATCATACCACTGCACTCCAGCCTGAGTGACAGAGTGAGTCCCTGTCTCAAAAAAAAAAAAAAAAGTAAAGTTTTAGAAGCATCATTTCTTCAAATTTTTAAGCTAGTTTACGTAACTGTTTTTACAAGTTTTGCTTAATAATACCATTTTTTTACCTTTTAAAGATGACAGTGTGATTTTACCATGACTGTATTTACTATATTATGAAATAACTCAGCTTTAAATATGATATCATACAACAATTAAAAATGTTAGATTGGCCGGGCAACGCATGCCTGTAATCCCAGCACTTTGGGAGGCCAAGGCAGATAGATCACCTGAGGTCAGTAGTTTGAGATCAGCCTGACCAACATGGTGAAACCCCATCTCTACTAAAAATACAAAATTAGCCAGGTGTGGTGGTGCACGCCTGTAATCCCAGCTACTCAGGAGGCTGAGGCAGGAGAATCGCTTGAACCCAGGAGGCAGAAGTTGCACTGAGCCGAGATCACGCCATTGCACTCCAGTCTGGACAACAAAAGCAAAATTCCATCTCCAAAAAAAAAAGTTAGATCTGTATAGAGACAGGAAGGGAGGCGCAAAATGTATTATGCATAGAAAAAGAAATCCAGACAAACATAAATCAGATTATTGTCTTTTTTTTTTTTTTTTTTTGAGGCAGGGAGCTCAAACTTCTGAGGTCCAGCTATCCTCCTGCCTTAGCCTCCTGAGTAGCTGGGACTACAGGCATGTACCACCATGCCCTGTCTTTAGTTTATTTTTTTATTCTTCAAACATATTATTTTCTACTACTTAGCTCTGTTATGTTTCCATTTCTGTACACTGAGCATATACTTTACTAAGCAGAAAAAAAAAGACTGAAAAAAATCATCGGTCAGTTTTTAATCTTTTATATTCTTCTTAGAAAATTAAAGTCTGGGTAGCAGAGTTTTTGTATTTGGTTTTAGTTTTCCCAGAGAGTTAAAATATATCTTTGGTAAAAACTAAAATATAAATATGAATTTGAAGACATTTCAGCTGTATTTATCAGATTAACTCAGTTAATAAGTTTTTTTTTTTTTTTTTCTTTAAGATGTAGTTTTGCTGTTGTCGCCCAGGCTGGAGTGCAATGGCACGATCTCGGCTTACTGCAACCCCTGCCTCCCGGGTTCAAGCAATTCTCCTGCCTCAGCCTCCCAAGTAGCTGGGATTACAGGCACCCACCACCATGCCTGGCTAATTTTTTGTGTCTTTAGTAGAGATGGGGTTTTACCATGTTGGCCAGGCTGGTCTCAAATTCCTGACCTCAGGTGATCTGCCCGTCTCAGCCTCCCAAAGTGCTGGGATTACAGGTGTGAGCCACCGCGCCTGGCCAATAAGTATTTTAATACTTGCTTTTAGTGTAATATGCTAGGCATGGTAGTAGAATTTTAAGGATATGGTTTTTATAGTGTAATAAGTTACAGCCTATGCTGGGTAGTGGAAATTCCTGAGTAGCAGTTTGTGAAGGAGATAAAATAAATAATCTTATAATTTGTATACATTTTCCTTAAATTGAAATTTTTCTCTTATATTTTGGGGATCAACTTTTATTTTACTGTCTAATCAGGAATTGAAAAATTGCTTTTTTGTTTTTGTTTTTTGGTTTTTGGGTTTTTTTGAGACAGAGTCTCGCTCTGTCATCCAGGCTGGAGTGCAGTGGCGCGATCTTGGCTCACTGCAAACTCCGCCTCCCGGGCTCACGCCATTCTCCTGTCTCAGCCTCCCGAATAGCTGGGACTACAGGCGCCCGCCACCACGCCCAGCTAATTTTTTGTATTTTTAGTAGAGACGGGGTTTCACCGTGTTAGCCAAGATGGTCTGGATCTCCTAACCTCGTGATCCTCCCGCCTCGGCCTCCCAAAGTGCTGGGATTACAGGCGTGAACCACTGCGCCTGGCCCGAAAAATTGCTTTGTTTTAAAGTCAAATTGGAAAGGATATTTGCTGGTGGGTAGGACCACCAATAATAATCGATAACAAATAATTATTTTAAATAAAAAATAAGCTAGCATAAGGAAGATTTTTTTTTCTTTTTGAAATGGAGTCTTGCTCTGTTGCCCAGGCTGGAGTGCAGTGGCACGATCTCGGCTCACTGCAACTGCCACCGCCCGGCTTCAAGCAGTTATCTGCCTCAGCCTCCCGAGTAGCTGGGATTACAGGTGCCCGCCACCACGCCTGGCTAATTTTTGTATAGTTAGTAGAGACGGGGTTTCACCATCTTGGCCAGGCTGGTCTTGAACTCCTGACCTCGTGATCCACCTGCCTTGGCATCTCAAAGTACTGGGATTACAGGTGTAAGCCACTGCGCCCAGCCAAGGAAGATTTTTAAAATGATTAAATAGAAAATATTTTTAATATAAAATCTTGAAGTATAATTTCTTAATAAGTGTGCCATGTGTGTTTACCACCTGAATTATCACTCAGATTATTAAACAGTAAAAATTTAGGTATATAGTTGCTGTTTAAAAAAGTATTTTTTTTTGCCAGGCGTGGTGGCTCATGCCTGTAATCCCAGCACTTTGGGAAGCCGAGGCTGGTGGATCACGAGGTCAGGAGTTCGAGACCAGCCTGGCCAACATAGTGAAACCCCGTTTCTACTAAAAATACAAAAATTAGCCTGGCATCATGGTGCATGCCTGTAGTCCCAGCTACTCGGGAGGCTGAGGCAGGAGAATCATTGGAACCTGGGAGGCAGAGGTTCTGGTGAGCCACTGCACTCCAGCCTGGACAACAGAGCAAGACACCGTCTAAAAAATAAATAAATAAAAGTATTTTTTGACACATCAAATTGATATTTTTTGTAATATAAGCTTTACTTAATAATTGTTAACTGAATATCTTTGCTTACATTTGCTAAATGGTTACGAATATACTAAATACTTAACATGTTGGGGTTTAAGGCTTCGGAGTTCTAAAATTCACTGAAAATGATTTGGGATATTTTGTCTCTTGTCTGTGAAATGAAACAGAATTTTAATAGAAAGAACTTGGTTTAAATATTATGCAGTTTTCTTCTGAAAACTCAGTATTCTTTTTATTATGACAATTCCACTGTGATTGCCACATTTTCTTTGCTTCCTACTGAAGAAGCTCTTAGTGCGCTTGCAAAGAACATAAGGAGTCATGTCAGAGGTCAGCTATTTGAGTCCATTTTCCCACAGCCGCCTGGTGCGAGTGATCTTTTACTGTGTTTTAAAAAAAATGGGCAAGGATTAGAGGGGATTAGAAAGAATATTACCCTCCTGAATATAGGCCCAAAGCACTAAGGGGAGAGAACCCAACCAGGCATCAAATGGGCTTTGCTTGACCAGGACACAACCTCTACTGCATTCCTTTAAGAAACTGAATGGGAAATGTTAAGTCCCCAAACTGGATTAGTAAATAATCTCATAGTTTGTGACATCTGGTAAAATAAATTGATGAGCAGACTATATTCTTACACTTTGAGAACAGAGCCAAAGACATCAAGAGTAAGAGTAATTAAAGATGGGCATTAAACTTAGTAATTGTTGGAAAGGTACATTTCATAAATCGAAAAATTATTTTAGATATAATATGAGGAGTACATGTATATTGATTAAATAAAGTAAGGCTTAAATTTTGAAACCACTACAGCTTTTTGTTTTTAAGAGTCTTCCTAGAGTCTTATTGCTTGTAGCAGTTTTACAAAGTGTTTCACAAATTCAGCTCTTTAATTTCTGTTGTCCCGTTAGTTTGTATAACAACCTGAGGAACTAGAATTTGAAATCTGAGAGTGTATCTTTTGAGACACCTCTGGAATGTTTCTCTTTTTATATTTTATAAGAGAAGTTAACATAATTTGTATCTTATGACACATAATTTGATATCAAATTGTTTGGAACCAAAGAGGTAATTTCAAACCTATTCTAGAAGGGCAAGTGCATTCTGGTCTCAGTCTTTGGAGATAGTATTTAGCTAACTAAGTAAGTTTTTAAAGGTTTTAAGTTGACTAATAGTAAAGATGCTGTACAGATAGTTAACTTTGTATCTTTCTACATATAACAAGTACATTTGATTGCTATAGTAACTGTGATTACACTGCTTTTGTTATAAATGATAATATTAGTACAAGTATTTTCATTAGGAGTTTAAGATAAAATTTAGGTTCATATCTGAAGAAGAATTGAGAGAAAACTATAACTTCTTTAACAGGCACATTAAATGTATCCTGCAGTATGCTCTCTTGGTTCAGTGCCTTTATTCAAGATGGCCCTGTGCTTTGTTTATGTCCTCCTGCTGTTCTCCTCACTCCCCAGTCCACTCATCCACATTCTACCTATCTGTAAATATCAAGTCAAATCCCATCAAGTGGTTTATTTCTAGCCTCTAAATCATAATACTTCCTAAACATAGAGTTATCATATGACTCAGCAGTTCTACTCCATGGTACTTACTCAAGAGAAACAAAAACATATGTTCATTCTGAAACTTATACACAAGTGTTTATAACAACATTATTCATAATAGCCGAAAGCTAAAAACAACCAAATATCTGTCAGTTGATGAATGGATAAACAGAACATATATACCATATGTACAATGCAGTATTATTCAGCCATAAGAAGAAATGAGGCACAAGTACCCATGCATGCTACAAACTGGGTGAACCTTGAAAACATTATGCTAAGTGAAAGAAACCAGTCACAAAATGATTCCATTTGTATGAAATATCCAGAATAGGCAAATCTATAGAGATATAAGATAGGTTAGTAGTTGCTTAAGGGGGTTGGGGGACTAGGGGAGAAGTGAGTTGTAACTAAAGGGTACAGGATTTTCTTTTGAAGTGATGAAAATGTTCTAAAATTGACTTTGGCAATAGTTGCACATATCTCTGAATATATTAAAAATCCTCGAATTGTATACTTTAATGGGTGAATTCTAAGGTATGTGAATTATATCTCAATAAAGGCTGTTATTTAAAAACTAAATTAAAAAAATTAATACCTCTATCTGTATTCCTATGTATTGCACCTTTTTTTTTCTTTTCTTTGTGTTTTTTTTTTTTTGTTTTTTTTTTTTTTTTTTGAGACAGAGTCTCGCTCTGTCGCCAGGCTGGAGTGCAGTGGCGCAATCTCGGCTCACTGCAACCTCCGCCTCCCGGGTTCAAGTGATTTTCCTGCCTCAGCCTCTTGAGTAGCTGGCACTACAGGCATGCACCACCAGGCCCAGCTAATTTTTGTATTTTTAGTAGAGATGGGGTTTCACCATGTTGGTCAGGATGATCTCGATTTCCTGACCTCACGATTTTGGCCTCTCAAAGTGTTGGGATTACAGGTGTGAGCCAGCGCACTCGGCCTTGTACATTGTGTATACCTCTAATAAAGTACTCACCGTAGTCTTGTTATAATTATTCACTTAAGAAATCTGTCTTTTCCATTGCATTATGTAGCTCCACAGAACAGGCAAAGCGTTCTTTGGTATTCCCTAACAACCACAGTGCTTTGAACTTAGTAAATAGGAATTTAATTGAACTTTTCCACAATTAAGTTCTTTCACCTATAAAATGTAAGTAAGAGAAAAAAGAATTGCACAAATATTGTTCCAAAATTGGATTTCATAATTTTTATATTTAATTCTTCCTTTCAGTAGGAAATGGCTTAATTAAAAATTTAAAATAAATGAATTTTAAAAATAAAAAATGTGTAATTTTTACATTTAATTCCTTTTTGGAAAAATAAATATCTACTCTCACATCTTCTCAGCTCGAGTTTCCATTTTGTATTTAGCCAGGCCACACATATGCCATTTATCACCTTATTTTTACCTATAGAAATATTCTGGTTTTCATAATTTGCGTATATAAGCATTTTATACATGTTATCAGTATCTTCATGTCATTTCAGTTAGTTTTTTAAAAATCAGTTTAACTTTCTAACACTTTGAATCTACATTTTTGTGGGTGTTTGAATTTAACACAATTTAATTTTTCTTTTTTCTGTTGTGTGTATATGTGTCTGTGTGTTACTCTTTCAGTATTTATTAGAGATGAAAAGTTTAATTTTACCTCCAGAACACATTCTGAAACGGGGTGATAGTGAAGCAATTGCCTATGCTTTCTTTCATCTTCAGCACTGGAAACGAATAGAAGGTGCTCTTAATCTGTTACAGTGTACATGGGAAGGCAGTAAGTATTCTTTTCCAAAAGTAACACTAATCTCTCTAACTATTCATTGAATTCACAGGCAGTCTTTTTAAATGAGATTGTCTGGGTTTCCATAAGGATTTGTCGTTCAGATTGGTTTCAAATGGAAATTAGTGATGAGATATTTGGTTTATTGGTAGAAATGCATAATGTTATATTGATCCCACAAAAGCAGAATGAGAAATTGTTATGGTATTCTGCCATATGTTAATTTAAGTTACATATTTGTAAGGAAAGAAAATGAAAACTTGGCCCTTTGACTTACAACTTTTTTTGTTTTTTTTTGAGACGGAGTCTCACTCTGTCCCCCAGGCTGGAGTGCAGTGGCGCAATCTCTGCTCACCACAAGCTCTGCCTCCTGGGTTCATGCCGTTCTCCTGCCTCAGCCTCCCAAGTAGCTGGGACTACAGGCGCCTGCCACCATGCCCGGCTAATTTTTTGTATATTTAGTAGAGATGGGGTTTCCTCGTGTTAGCCAGGATGGTCTCGATCTCCTGATCTCGTGATCCGCCCACCTCTGCCTCCCAAAGTGCTGGGATTACGGGCATGAGCCACCGCACCTGGCCTGACTTACAACTTTTTTAATGTGGTTGAGCTATTCTAATATTTTAAAAATTGGTCTTTTTGTTTTGTTTTGTTTTCCGATGTATACAATATGAAACTATTTTCTTCATAACTAATATCAACCTATTCTTTATTGTAAAATATATACAACATAAAATTTAGTTTTAACTATTTTAAGTATATAGTTCAGTGGCATTATGTACATTCATAGTGTTGTACGAACATCACCATCATCCATCTACAGAACTTTTTCATTATCCCAAACTGAAATTCTATACCCATTAAATAATAACTCCCCAGTCTTGCCTCCCTCTAGCCCTTGGCAGCCACCATTCTACTTTGTCTCTATGAGTTTGACTACTCTAGGTACCTCATATAAGTGGAATTACGTAATTTTTGTTCTGTTTTGTCTGGCCTTTTTCACTTAGTATAATATCTTCAAAATTCATTTATATTGGTAATATGCATCAGAATTTCATTTTTAAGCCTGAATAATTCATTGTATGTATATATCACATTTTTTTTATCCATTCATCTGTTAATGAACAGATACCCATTTAACTTGGGTTGTTTTTACCTTTTGGCTATTGTGAATAATGCTGCTACAAATATTGGTGTACAAATATCTATTTGAGTTCCTGCTTTCAGTTCTTTTGGGTATATGCCCAGAAAGGGAATTGCTGGATCATAAAATTCTATGTTTAATTTTTTAAGGAAGCTCAGTAGTGTTTTTTTCCATAGCAGCTGCACCATTTTACATTCCCACCAGCAAGGCACAAAAGTTCCAATTTCTTCACATCCTTGTCAACACTTGTTATTTTCTGGGATTTTTCTTTATGTAAATAATAGCCATCCTAATGGATGTGAAGTGGAATCTCATTGTGGTGGTGTTTTGCATTTCTCTGATGATTAGTGATGTTGAACATCTTTTCATGTGTTTATTGGCCATTTATATATCTTCTTTGGAGAATAAATTGGACTGTTTTAAACTAACTACCCGATCTCTTTAATTGTTGCTTCTTATAACCACCAAGAAAGTAAAGAAGCTTAATTAAAACATTTTACCATAGGATTCACATAATTCTTTTGAAAAGTACACCACAGCTATCAGTAAAAATTCAAAAATAAATTCAATGCTTATTCACTAAAATTGGTTAACCCGCCTCAGTTCCCAAACTACTCTGAGGCACCTTGGATATTGCAGCAATTCACAAGAGTGCTGTAGAACATTTTTAATTTTCAATGGAAACACAATACAATATTCAAGGCTAGGTATGGTGGCTCATGCCTGTAATTTCAGCACTTTGGGAGGCTGAGGCCTCCCAAAAGGTCAAGGCTTTAGTGAGCCGAGATGGCACTACTATATTCCAGCTTGGGTGACAGAGTAAGACCTTGTCTCAAAAATAATAATAAGAATAATTCAACATCTGTCAGATATCACTTAAACTATTAGCTCCAGACAGTTCACAGTTTCAACATTAGATCATTCTCCATTCCTTTCAATATCATTATATCTTTGCAAAGCTGGAGTTTTGTTAGTTGCTCTGATTAAAAGAAGTACCACACAAAAATCAATGTGATATAGGAAATGAGAATGGTAGTGTCCAATGTGATTCCAAGTTTTGAGAAGTTGTACAGTGTCTAATAGGCTCATACCTATATCTCATTAGTAAGAAATTATGGTCATTTAAAAATGAAATAAGAAAATTGATTTATTGATTCTTTAAATTTATGTGCATTTTTTTCCAAATTGCTGCTAAATTATCAGAACATAAATTTTTTAAGTTGTTTGGACTCACTATTAACAAGTGAAATTATCTTGAACCAATTTTGGAACCTCTGCATTAACCATTTGCTAAAAGCCAGACACTGTGGCTTGACAATGACAATGTAAATAAAATTGATGAGCCAAGTGTTGTGACTCACACCTGTAGTTCCAGCCACTAGGGAGGCTGAGGCAGGAGGATCACTTGAGGCCAGAAATTTGAGACCACCCTGGGCAACATAGCAAGATTCTCTCTAATATGTGTGTGTGTGTGTGTGTGTGTGTGTTTAAAGAAAAGATTGATAAAACTGGGATTATGTGCTTGAGAAACCAAATGTCTTTGAGTAATTCAACTTACTTTTGCTTTTTCTCCAGTAGTCCATAAGCTCCTCAAAAGCAGATATTGTTTTTTGTTTTGTTTTGTTTTTTTTAAGTCTATACTCAATGAATATCTTTTCTTTTTTTCAAAAGCAGATATTCTGTCTCACTCATTTTGTGCATGTCTTCACTGCCTGACATTCTGCTTGGCAAATAGGTTTTCAATAAGTGTATGATTTTATTTTCTTTTATTACTTTTTATGTAGTGATGAGGTCTTGCTATGTTGCCCAGGCTGGTCTTGAACTCCTGGCCTCAGGCAATCCTTCCACCTTGGCCTCCCAAAGGAGCTGAGATTACAGGCATGAGCCATCATGCCCAACCACCTATGATTTATACTGTATTTCATGAATCATGATCAATGATTTATTAGTGTTATCACTAATTTACTCTATGACTTTGGACAAATAACTACTTCTTATTGTGGTAAAATAAAGTCTAGGCTGGGCATGGTGGTTCACGCCTGTAATCCCAGAACTTTGGGAGGCTGAGGTGGGCGGATCACCTGAGGTTGGGAGTTCGAAACCAGCCTGACCAACATGGAGAAACCCCGTCTCTACTAAAAATACAAAATTAGCCGGGCATAGTGGCGCATGCCTGTAATCCCAGCTACTTGGGAGGCTGAGGCAGGAGAATCACTTGAACCTGGGAGGCGGAGATTGTGGTGAGCCGAGATCGCACCATTGTACTCCAGCCTGGGCAACAAGAGCAAAACTCTGTCTCAATAAATAAATAAATAAATAAAGTCTAAATTGCGACAAAAGTTTATAGAGCCAAACACGAAAGGAAAAACAAAAACCTTATCGCAATTTTGATGACTACAGCAGGCCCTTAAATAATGTTGTTTCATTCAACATTATTTCATTATAATGTTGATCGGGGGGAAAAAAAACAGATTTCCAGCCAGGGCCATTGTCTTTGTGAAGTTTGCAAGATATTCCCATGCCTTTGTGGGTTTCCCCTTACATCCCAAAGATGTGCACATTAGGTTAATTGGTGTATCTAAATTGTCTCAGTATGAGTGAGTGTGGGGGTGTGTGTGAGTGGTATACTGGAATGGTGTCCTGTCCAGGGTGGGTTCCTGCCTTGCACCCTGGGCTGCCAGGATAGGCTCTGGCCGTGCTTGACCCTGAACTAAAATAATTGGGTAAATAATGATCCTGTTTTTATGAATCTTTCTTAAACGTATGTATAGCTCACATTTATTTCAATGTTTAATATAAGAAGTGTTTTGGATCTTTATTTAGAAGTTTGGTGATGTTTTGTGACCAAGGAACTTAACTCTTGTTTATATCAGTTAGCCTATGGTAAAATTGGTTTTATTATATGACATTTCATTTAAAGTCACAGTTTCCAAGAACCTATTGACAACGTTAAAGATTTATGTACTTAGCTAATGGAATAGATCAATAAAGATTTCTTCTTTAATAAATCCACAGGAGTTGGTGACAATCTAGATCGGGGTGGACAAACTTTTCCTGCAAGGGACTAAATAGTAAATATTTTAGATTTTGTGGGCCATACAGTTTTTTTCACAGCTACTCGATTCTTGTAACATGAAAACAGCCTTAGCCAATATGTAAATGAATGGCATAACTATGTTCCGATAAAGTTTTATTTATAAAATCATAGTGGGCCAGACCTGGCCAAAGGGCCATACTTTGGTGACCCCTGATCTAGATTAAGATCTGCTCATAGGCCGGGCGCGGTGGCTCACACCTGTAATCCCAGCACTTTGGGAGGCCGAGGTGGGTGGATCACAAGGTCAGGAGATCGAGACCATCCTGGCTAACACGGTGAAACCCCGCCTCTACTAAAAATACAAAAAATTAGCCAGGTGTGGTGGCGGGCACCTGTAGTCCCAGCTACTCAGGAGGCTGAGGCAGGAGAATGGCGTGAACCCAGGAGGCAGAGCTTGTAGTGAGCCAAGATCACGCCACTGCACTCCAGCCTGGGCAACAGAGCAAGACTCTGTCTCAAAAAAAAAAAAAAAAAAAAAAAAAAAAGATCTGCTCATAGAAAGCTTTGGTGAAACTCACATGTGAAGTTAGGAACCATTGAAAACTATTTTAGGTTGCCAATAGTAATGGCCACAACAGTTATATACATCCCAGTTATATGAAGATTTCTGTAAGGGGCAGAATTATCAATTCTGCTTTGGAATTATCAATTGTGTTTGTAATGAGGAGACTGAATGAAGCAAAGAAGGACCCAGCCAGTCTCATCTATCACTCCCTATAGTTTTACTCCAGCCAGACTAGACCATTCACTATTATCTAAATAAATCTTATCCTTCCCCTTATTTATTATTTTGCTTACTTTGTTTCTCGTATCTAAATGTCTCACTAAAAAAAGAAAATAGTATGTGAAATTTCTATATAAATTTGTCTCCAAATATAGGATGGTAAATGAGACAGAATTGAGTATCAACACATGCTTTTTTTTCCTCAGCTTTTAGAATGATTCCATACCCGTTAGAGAAAGGACATCTATTTTACCCTTATCCCAGCTGCACAGAGACGGCTGATAGAGAGCTATTACCTAGTAAGTAAATATTTTAGTTTTCTTAAACTTAAAAGTAGTAAGTTTAGATTGTTTGTCATAGTATTCTCCATTTTAAAAATGCCTTTGGTTTAAATTCAGGACACTGTTTAAATACTATTTTAGCCACTTCTGGGATGTAGTTGTATAATTCAATTTATTTCCTAATAATTATTGAGCAAAACTCTGTGCTAGATGCAACAAAGGACACCAAGATTAAAGATATTAACAAGAACTGTCATCTTATAAACTTTTAGAAAAGAAATAGTGCCAATCCTTCACAAACTCAGAAAATAAATGAGGAAGGAATACTCCCCAAATCATTTGATGAGAGCAGTATTTTCCTGATACCAAACCAAAGATATGATATAAAAATACTATAAAACAACAGCCCTTATGAATATAGACACAAACATCTTCAACAAAATATTAGGAAACTGAATCCAGCAACATATAGAAAGGCTTATATACCATGACCAAGTGGGATTTACCTCACAAATGCAAGTTTGGTTTAACATCTGAAAATGTAATGTACCATAGTTAATAGAATAAAGCACAGTAGATGCAGAAAAAGCATTTGACAAAATCTGGCTCTCATTCAAGATAAAAAGAAAAAATCTCAGTAAACTACAAATTGAAGGGTACTTCCTCAACCTGATTTAAAAAAAATCCCTGAAAAACCCACAATTAACATTATATTTAATGGAGAAAGACTGAATGCTTTCCCCCTAAGATCGGGAATAAGACAAGGATATCTGTTGTCACCACTTCTATTTAATATTGTACTAGAGGTTCTAGCTGGTGTTACCAGGCAACAAAAAGCAATAAGAGGCACTCGTTATTGGCAAGGAGGAAGTAAAACTCTCTTTATTCAAAGGTGACATGATCTTCTATGTAGGAAATCCTAAGAAATCCATAAAAATACTCTTAGAACTAATAAATGAGTTCAACAGGGTTGTAGAATATAAGATCAATATACTAAAATTAATTATATATCTATATACTAGTAATGAACAATCTGAAAATTGAATTTAGAAAACAATAGCAATCATAGTAGCAACAAAAACTACTTAGGAATAAATTTAACGAAAGAAATTTAAGACATGTACACTAAAATATAGCTGAGAGAAATTAAAGAAAAACTAAATAAATGGAGAGACATTCCATGTTGATGGATTGGAAGACCCAATTTTATTTACTTATTTATTTATTTGAGACCAATTCTCACTCTCACCCAGGCTGGAGTGCAGTGGCGCAATCTCAGCTCACTACAACCTCCGCCTCCTGGGTTCAGGCGATTCTTGTGCCTCAGCCTCCTGAGTAGCTGAGATTACAGGTGCATGCCACCATGCCCGGCTAATTTTTGTATTTTTGGTAGAAACAGGGTTTCGCCATGTTGCCCAGGCTGGTTGCAAACTCCTGGGGTCAAGCAATCCACCTGCCTCAGCCTCCTAAAGTGCTGGGCCTACAGGCGTGAACCACCATGGCTGGCCCCAATATTATTTAGATGACGATTCTCTCCAAATTGATCTATAGATTCAATACAATCGCTATCAAAATCCCAGGAGGGATTTTTCACACACACACACACACACACACACACAAAGTAACAAGCTTATTCTAAAATGTATATGGAAAGGCAAAGGACCCAAACAATCTTTATGAAGAAGAACGAATTGAAAAAGAGCAGTCAAAGAACTAGAAGGAGAACCGGAAATATGTAGGATTATGATTGCTGGTAGTGTTTCAGTCTAGTTCCTGCCTTTAGGAAGCCAGACTTCTCAAAAGAACAGTCTACACTTTGTGTCTCAGCTGCCTTATCATCTGTTCTTTCCTCTGTAAACTAGTAAATTTCTGTTTAACTTCTCTTTTTATGATTTAGCTGAGAAGCAACCATGCCGAAGGCTATAAACACTAGGACCATGTTTTCTTATGTGATATAAACCTGTGCTACAGTTTTTACAATACTGAGCCATTAAAACTGAAGTCTAGGAAGGAAAATTGCAGGTTTACAACTATCAAACTTAACTAGTTGATAAGTTTAAACTGATAAATGAAAATTTAGGAGAGATTATGGCAAATTGAGTATGCTGGTGTTTTTCTCCTAATGTTTTTTATTTTCCTTTATCTGCTAAGTGATCTCTTCCTACTCTGAATTCTCAAAGTGCTTTGTGTACTTCTTAATCTCCCCTTTTAGATTGTAAACTCCTTGAAGGCCAGGATTCTCTTCTTTTTTTGTTTTTTGAGATGGAGTTTCCGTCCTTGTTGCCCTGACTGGAGTGCAATGGTCTGATCTCGGCTCACTGCAACCTCTGCTTCCCAGGTTCAAGTGATTCTCCTGCCTCAACCTCCAGAGTAGCTGGGATTACAGGCACCCACCATCACGCCCAGCTAATTTTTTTTGTATTTTTAGTACAGACAGGGTTTCACCATGGTGGCCAGGCTGGTCTTGAACCCCTGGCCTCAAGTGATCCACCCGCCTTGGCCTCCCAAAGTGCTAGGATTACAAGTGTGAGCCACTACACCTGGCCATTGTTCCTGTATCTCTTATAATGGTTACCATAAAAATTGGTATTCAATAAATATTGGTTGAATTAATCAAATTCATTAATTTATTCTTATAAACATGGCTGGCACATTGTAAGTACTTAACTAAAATGCTAAATATTAGTGCCTTCTCCCTCTCACCCTATTCTGAACTCCTAGGCTGCTAACAAGGTTGATAAAAAGATGATGGACAGGCCAGGAACGATGGCTCACGTTTGTAATCCCAGCACTTTGGGAGGCTGAAGCGAGCGGATCACCTGAGGTCAGGAGTCCGAGACCAGCCTGGCCAACATGGAGAAACCCCATTTCTACTAAAACTACAAAAAATTAGCCCGGCATGGTGGCACATGCCAGTAATCTCAGCTACTTGGAAGGCTGAGGCAGGAGAATCGCTTGAACCTGGGAGGCGGAGGTTGCAGTGAGCTGAGACTGCACTCCAGCCTGGGCAACAGAGTAAGACTCTGTCTCCAAAAAAAAAAAAAAAAAAAAAAAAAAGATGACAAAGATGACAGACAATGTGTTAAGTGCTACATGTATGGAATACATTATAAGAAAGCTTGAGAAGGGCCAGACATGGGGCTCACGCCTGTAATCCCAGAACTTTGGGAGGCTGAGCTGGGCGGATCACTTGAGGTCAGGAGTTCAAGACCAGCCTGGCCAACATGGCAAAACCCCATCTCTACTAAAAATACAAAAGTTAGCCAGGTGTGGTGGCTTGCGCCTGTAATCCCAGCTACTCAGGAGGCTGAGGTAGGAGAATTGCTTGAACCCAGGAGGTGGAGGTTGCAGTGAGCCGAGATCGTGCCACTGCACTCCAGCCTGGGTGACAAAGCAAGACTCTGTCTCAAAAAAAAAAAAAAAAAGAAAGAAAGAAAGCTCTAGAAGGGAGGGCCTAGCTATCTAGGAGGTCAAGAATGATTCTCAATTTTCTGACTTCGGTGACTTGGAGAATGGTAAATCTATCCTATATCAGGAGGAGCCAATTTGGGAATAGGGGTTAGGGAAATAAATAAGTTCAAGCTTTGACTATGTTGCCTGTGTAACATCTCATCCATATATACATACATACCTGTATATGTGTATATATATATGTACATATATAGAGATTTATATGCTTAAATATTTTCTTGTATAATCTACTTAACACATATACATACAAGTCTATATTTTCCTCTCTCTAAATAATATATAGGTATAGATATATTTTTAAGTTATGTATATAATGTATATTATGAAGTATACATATAATATTTATAATTAGTGAATGTTGTAGGCATAAGTAATAGAGAGCAACTTCAAACTAGCTTAAATATAAATAGTAATTTGTTGGAAGAACACTGGGTTATCAGAGAACTCAATAGCAACAATTATATTTGGACTTCATAAGGGACTAGAACTGGGGACTAGAAAGCCATTAGGATTTCCAGGAATCAGTTATTTGTATATCTCTCTGTCCCTGGCTGCTTTTTTCAGTCTTTCCTATTCTTACTTTCCTTTCCTTCATCCCCAGCCCCATTTTCTCCTTCTGTGTTCTGTCGTTTCTGTTTCTCTCAGTGTATCCACTTCATTCTTACATCTTTCTCTTTACAGTTTGGCTTTCCCTTCATAGACAACCATGTGGCCAAACTTGAGGCCCCTACAGCCCTCTATTTACATGTCATGAGTTCAGGCAGACAATACAGAATGAATAATATCTCAATCCCACTTTTTCTTTTCTCTCTTTTTTTTTTTTTTTTTTTTGAGTTAGGATTTCACTGTCACTCAGGCTGGAATGCAGTGGTGCAGTCACGGCTCACTGCAGCTTCGACTTCTCAGGCTCAAAATATCCTCCCCACTCTGCCTCCTGAGTAGTTGGGACCACAGGCATGTGCCACCATGCCTGGCTAATTTTTGTATTTTTGGTAGAGGTGAGGTTTCACCATGTTGCCCAGCTTGGCCTTGAACTCCTGAGCTCAAGTGATCTGCCTGCCTCAACAGGTGTTGGGAATACAGGTGTGAGCCACTGCACCCAGCCTCAATCCCACTTCTAAAACTTCTGGGAGAGAGAATCAGATTTATCCAGGTGTTTATTCCTTGTCCAGTCAGCTGTAGCCTAAAGACAGGATTAGGTTGTGTAAATAAAATTGCCAGCGGTCCTCATATATCTTCCTCTGTACATCTCAAAAAACAGAATTGGGAGTCATTATTTTCTAGGTAGCAAAAGAAGTCGTAGGCATAAATGAAATCACTAAGGAAAACTGTATACAGTGAGAATTGAACTGAGGGTGGAACCATGGATGCACAGAAATGTCTAAGCAATGAGTGGCAGAATGACAGTTGAAGATTCAGTGAAGAGGTTGTCAGAGAGACAGGACAAGAACTAAAACTAAATATGCTAGAACTAAAAGGAAGAAGAAATTTCCAAGTGAGGAGTAATATCCAAGATAATAGGTAAGGTAAATACTAAGAAGAATCCATTGACTTTAGCAATTAAGATGTCATTAATGAGAGAAATTTTATTTTCCTTTCTAAAGAGGTGGTGGTGGTAGTTCTTGTTGTCTTTCCATTTTAACAGGAACAAATATATTTAAGGCAAAAGAATGGACCTTAAATTATGGAACATCAATATGCAAGAGTATATTATATTAAGCTAATACATTTAGCCTAAAATAATGCCCTCCTTTGTAAATTATTGCAAAGGTTGTCTAATATAAGGCCAATTTTACATAGTAATATGAATAAAATCAGGGTTATTATGTTGTCAAAGCTGTAAGCTATAAGACCAGACAGTTTATTCTTGGCAAGCCTTTATTCTAACTTGGTGCAAACTCCAGAAGGTAGGAGAGGGGGAATATGCTGGGGGGTTTTGTTTGATTATATTTTATGTTCTTAGAGTATTTTTTTCTGTCTCTGACTGTGGAAGAATGAACAAATTGTTAACAATAAGGAGTTTTAATACCCAGGAGTACTTAATGTTTTTTGTTTTTAATTTTCCTTCAACTTTGATATGACTTACCGCATTCTGGAATTTGCTTATGGACCTCATAAGTTCAGAGTTGAACTATTCCCCTAGTTCACATAGCTATTTAGTCGTCTTTTATGCCTTCTGATAAATTTTTCTCTACAAGCCAGTGATGAAATTTGAACTTTCGTTCCAAGGGAGTGTTTCTGTAATAGTCATCCATTATTTTGATGTATTAGCCAAACATTGACTGACAAATGAATCTACAGAAAGCAATCCAGGAAGAAATAATTAGGTCTCTCTTACAGTATAAAAATCTCATATTTTAGGAAATTTCCTCACTAAAGCTATGCAGTTTTCTACCTTATAAAGTGAGAATACTACTATCTCTTAGGGTTACTGAAAAGAATTAAATGAGCTAATATAAATTAAAGTTCTTTATAAACCATAAAATGCTATATAGGTTAGGTAATATTACTAACTTTGCTGTCTTGTATGTGTTTCCCACCTTCTTGAATAGCAGGGTTTGTTTCTCTTGATTTGAAGTTGGGAAGAAGAAGAAGTTGGCCTCTCATGGCTGAGGGACAGGGCAAAGGGGATTGCTGACTGGTTCTTTGGGTGCTGAAAGCACAATGTTCTCTACAGTTTCTAATGTTTCTAACTTTTAAAACTTCCATTTTGATGTGCTTTTACTTTAATCATGGCTCAAGGTTCTGGACATTTTCTGGATTTTTAATGGGTTTGTGTTTTGGTATATACTTTCTGAATATAGTAAAATAAAAATTAAAATATAGCTGTTGAAGGAAGCTTAGGTGTAATCTCTGTGAATCATTATGTTTTAAAAGTGAAATTTATAGCTGACCTTGGTTCAGCACAAAATTAGTCATCCCTTACTAATGCAGGATATTACATCAGAAATTCCTGGGTTAGTATCCAGCCCTAAGCGGTCAACTTCCTGGCCTAATGAAGTCCCAGAATAGCTCTCAGTTTAGCAGACATTTATTGAGCACCTACTGCATGTTAAGTACTCTAATAGGCTCATCTCAGTATTGTTATTCAAGTATTTTCAAATTTCAAATAAAATATAAATACTTGAGTATAATTGATAACGAAATATCCAATCACTAGAAAAATAATAGCTGAGTAAATATGTAAATATGGTAAAATAAGACAAGGGACTTTATTTATGGTCAGAATCCTAGGCCTTCAGTTTGCTAGTTTAGGTTTTTTTTTTTTTTTTTTTTTTTGAGATAGAGTCTCACTCTGTTGCCCAGGCTAGAGTGCAGTGGCATGATCTTGGCTCACTGCAACCTCTGCCTCTCAGGTTCTAGCGATCCTCCTGCCTCAGCCTCCCAAGTAGCTGTGACTATAGGTGCACGTCACCATGCCTGGCTAATCTTTCTATTTTTAGTAGAGATGGGGTTTCACTATGTTGGCCAAGCTGATCTCAAACCCCTGAACTCAAATGATTCACCTGCCTCGGCCTCCCAAAGTGCTGGGATTACAGACATGAGCAACCACACCTGGCCTACCTACTTTATTTATTAATTAATTTACATATTTATTTTTGAGACAGAGTCTTGCTCTGTTGCCAGGCTGGAGTGCAGTGGCACAATCCCAGCTCACTGCACCCTCCGCCTCCCGGGTTCAAGCGATTTTCCTGCTCAGCCTTCCTGAGTAGCTGGGACTATAGGCGCGTGTCACCACGCCCACCTAATTTTTATATTTTTAGTAGAGACGGGGTTTCACCATGTTGGCCAGGATGGTCTCGATCTCCTGACCTCGTGATCCACCCGACTTAGCCTCCCAAGGTGCTGGGATTACAGGCGTGAGCCACTGCTCCCGTCTTACCTACTTTAGTTTTACAGTGCCTAATGAAATGCCACATATATAAACACATTAATAACTGGGTAAAATTATTAACTGATGGTCCTAGGAAATCACCAATGACATGTCTGCCTCTTTCTCCATACTAGTCTTTGAGCTCCCAAAGAACAATAATTAATAACAACTCAATGCCAGGTGTGGTGGCTTATACCTGTAATCCCAGCGCTTTGGGAGGCCGAGGTGGACGGATCACTTTAGGCCAGGAGTTTGAGACCAGCCTGGCCAACATGGCAAAACCCCTCTCTACTAAAAATACAAAAAAGTAGCTGGGCGTAGTGGCCTGTGCATGTAATCCCAGCTACTTGGGAGGCTAAGGCACAAGAGTCACTTGAACCTGGGTGGCAGAGGTTGCAGTGAGCCGAGATCATGTCACTGCACTCCAGCCTAGGCAACAGAGCGAGACTCTTCTTCTTCAAAAAAAAAAGTAGCAACTCAAATGTATTTATTTATTTATTTATTTATTTATTTATTTATTTATTTAGAGACAGGTCTGTCACCCAGGCTGGAGTGCAGTGGAATGATCATAGCTCACTGCAGCCTCAAACTCCTGGGTTCCAGTGATTTTCCCATCTCATCCTCCAGAGTAGCTGGACCTACAGGCACACACCACCATGCTGGGCTAATTTTTAAAATTTTTAAAAATTTTTAAGCACGATTTTGCTTAGGTTAGTGTCGCATGCCTGGCTTTAAGCGATCCTCCTCTTTGGCCCCCCAAAGCGCTGGGATTACAGACGTGAACCACCACCTGTGGCTGCAACTCACATTAAGCACTTAAAATGTTCATCATTACAACTCTCCATAGCAACTTCTAGAGGGTTTAGCAACTTATTCAAGATCACATAGCTAATAAGTGACAAAGCTTTTTTTCAAAATCACCTCAGCATGATTTTGTAATCAATATTCTTTCCCATGACGCCATCCTGTTCCCACACCCAGCACAGTTGTCTGGCTATTTAGATATGCTGTTGATGCTGGGATAAATAATGGATAACTGTCTTCTACCTTGCTTAGCCAGAGACTTTCCTTTTTAAATTTTTTTTCTTTTTAATTTTTAAAAACAGATTTCATTTGAAAAGATTAAGACTTGTTTACATGTTATTCTGAAATAAAATTGATTCTTACCTATTCTCCATTGCAGCCTTTCATCATGTTTCTGTTTACCCAAAAAAGGAGCTTCCTTTGTTCATCCATTTCACAGCAGGATTTTGCTCTTCTACAGCAATGATAGCCATTCTCACTCACCAGTTTCCTGAAATCATGGGTATTTTTGCTAAAGCTGTAAGTATGATCTCAAGGACTTGTGTAGATTATTTGTAAAACACACAAGAAACCATCTCTGATCTGCCTGTGCTAACCCAGCTGAACAATGGAAGATATTTGTTGTAAATTAAAGGAATTGATTTGTATATAGTTGCTGCCATAAATACATCAAACATAAATTTTTGGTGATTTGAGCTACTTCTGTTGCTTAAAAGTTTAAAGAATACAATATAAGATTGTAACAATATAACATTATAAAGTTTGCTCTTATAGATCACTTTTGGTGATAAACAGCATTTGTTACTATCTTTGGTATTTTTAAAAATACCCTATTTTGTAAACAAACCCTTTGATTTTTTTCATTTAAATGAAATCATTAGTTCTCAGGATTTGTTGAACTTTAAACTCAAGAGCACAACTAGGATGGATAATAAGTACATAAGGCGGGGGAACAGATGGGACATTTGTCCCTAGGTACAGAATGTGCCTATGTCTCAAAGGTTCTCCAAGTTATTGTGTCTGCTTGTTCTTACTTCCCCAGACTTGGATATAGAACCATGTGTAGTTCTATATTTTCATTTTTACCCTTTAGTTTTGAACTACTTCCCCATTTCCTGAACCAGTTAACACTTGAGGACTGATACTAGAGTGGGTATCCCATCACTATTTACTTTTTTTTTTTTTTCTGAGACAAGGTCTCGCTGTGACCCAGGCTGGAGTGCAGTGGTACGATCTCAGCTCACTGCAGCCTCCGCCTCCTGGGTTCAACAGTCCTCCCGCCTCAGCCCCCCGAGTAGCTGGGACTATAGGCACATGCCACCATGCCCAGCTAATGTTTGTATTTTTTGTAGAGGCAGGGTTTTGCCATGTTGCCCAGGCTGGTCTTGAACTCCTGGGCTCAAGTGATCTGCCCGCCTCAGCCTCCCAAAGTGCTGGGATTACAGGCATGAGCCGCCATGCCCAGCAACTATTTACTTTTCTATATGAACTTATTAATGTCACTGGCTCAAAGTAAAATTAGCAAAGATAATTGCCTTTAAGTCTCCAAGCCTTTTTAAAAATGCATCTTTCTTGTACATCTTTGCATTTCTACCAGGTAGTAGGAGTTAAAACCCAAAAAGAAAATGCTGATTAATTATATTCCCAAAAATGAAAACACTGAGAACCATGGAAAAACTAGTCCTTACTTGGTAATGTATTTTCTGTATTTTTCTCTATATGCCTCCATTCTAACTTGTTTCCTCACAGTTTCTTTTTCTGCCTTAAGAATAGTTTATTTTGTGCCTTAAAGATTAGTTGGCTTTTTTCTGGCACCAGTGGTAAGAGCAGTGGTTTCCCTTTTTCCCTGAAGGTCAACCATATAATGTGTTAAGTTGCCACTGGCTGTAGGCCTAGGAGTCTGAGTCTGCACTTGATTCTGGGTCAAACTTCAAGAAGAATGACTTTCCACTGTTGTTCAGGGAGTATAGCTATTTGGTTTGGAAACTGACTATTCTATTTCTTTTCAGTGTAAAATGAACACTTAGTGATCATACTCATAACTGTTATTTGCAGTAGTGCTAATAGTTGAGTGAGTGCATCTCAAACTGAAATGACCTTACTATGTAATCTGGCATCGAATAAAAATGGCCTAGAAAGAGAATTCCATCCATTTAATAGCTGGAAAGAAAATGTGCAACTGTGTATGTGAGATCACAGGCAAGCAATGGGAGAGATGATTCTTGGATTTGTCTCAGGCAAGTGGAGTGGGAAGGAAGTGAAATAGAGCAAGGAGGGAGATCTAGAATCTGGAATAGATCTATACCAACTGTTAGTAGTATATTTCCATGGGGTGCAAGCTACAATTAATGTTTATAGTGTCTGCCTTTACCTAGGCAGTCACTAATGGCACCAGAAGAATCTTTACGATTACATAGCATAAGTTCCTTAGCACTCCTCTAGTAGAGACTGAGAATGAATAATTACATATTTTAAATGGAAGCTTCTTTTTCAGACCAAAAGTTATTGATATACTGCTTTTCTAGTTGATGGATAATAAACAAGCATTTATTTTGGTATCTGTATAGGTGATGGTATATAGTGTTAAGAATGTGCCTAATGGTAAACTTTTACAGCCACATTTTTATCCCTGTGGCCTTTACATGTACATTTTAAAACCCTAAAAGCTAAGTATTTACTGAAAGTTCCTGCAAACCAATATTTGTGCAGGATTTCCAAAGGCAGGTTCCATTTAAGAGTTAATGGGAAATGACTGTGGTATGGGCAGTTTCCAGCTTTCTTTTCTTTTTCTTTTTCTTTTTTTTTTTTTTTTTTGAAACAGAGTCTCGCTCTGTCACCCAGACTAGAGTGCAATGGCGTGATCTCAGCTCACTGCAACCTCCGCCTTCTAGGTTCAAGCAGTTTTCCTGCCTCAGCCTCCCACATAGCTGGGACTACAGGCACGTGCCACAACGCCCAGCTAACTTTTGTATTTTTAGTAGAGATGGGGTTTTGCCATGTTGGCCAGGCTGGTCTCGAACTTCTGACCTCAAGTGATCAACCCACCTTGGCCTCCCAAAGTGCTGGGACTACAGGCGTGAGCCACCGCACCCGGCCAGTTTCCAGCTTATAAACACAATGTGTAGATGCCTTTATAGACAGACAAACAGCAAGGGAACTAAAGGCTTAAATTACACTTCTTCACCACTTCACAGTGTTTGCTCTATGCAGTAGGAGCATCACCATCACCCAGGAGCTCATGAAAAATGCATAACTTCAGGCACCATTCCAGACCTTCTGAATCAGAATCTACATTTTAACAAGATCCCCAGGTGATCCTATATATACATTTAAAGCTTGGAGAAACTTGCTGTACTCTACCCCCAATAAGAGGAATTTAGAACAGCTCGATAGTGCTGCCTTGTCAAGGTGGAAAAGAGGCAGCATTGCAGAGTCATTATGAAATAGATTCTGGAGGCAGGCTGCTTTGCTTTGAATTCTAGCCCTGAAACAATGCTGTACAACCTCGGGTTAGTTACTTAACCTTTTCTACCCTTAGTTGTAAAATGAGAATAATACTACCTCTCATGGGTTTTGGTGAGCGTTAAATGACTTTAAAATATGCAAGTGTTAGGACTATGTCTACCCACAGTAAAAACTAGGTGAGTGTTAGCTGTTGTTGCTACCTTTATTGTCATCATCATCACCAAAGTGCAATAGTGGGAAACCCTACCCCCTTCTTGTTTAAAGGAGATATGTCCTAACAGTCAGCTCAAAATGCATTTTTCCATAGAAACTGTAGTATAAATGGTGATTGGGTATAATTTTTAAAACACTATTAGTAGGCCAGGTGCAATGGCTCTCGTGCTTGTAATCCCAGCACTTTGGGAGGCCAAGGCAGGCGGATCACTTGAGCTCAGGAGTTCATGACCAGCCCGGGTAACATGGTGAAACCCCATCTCTTCCAAATATACAAAAAAATTAGCCAGGCGTGGTGGTGTGCACCTGTGGTCCCAGCTATTCAGGGGGCTAAAATGGGAGGATCGCTTGAGCCTGGGAGGTGGAGGCTGCAGTGAGCCATGATTTCACTATTGCACTCCAGCCTGGGCAACAGAGCAAGACCCTGTCTCAAAAAAAATACTGTAATACTATGCTTCTGGCACATTATGTGTATATGAATGTAGAAGGTGAAGAAATGTTTCAGGTTCTAGGCACTGGCAAACTACCTTGTAGAACAGAACCTGTTGGTAAGCTGCAAACTGTCTGTGTTAGCATTTCCAGTTAATTCAGATATTTGATGGCCAAATAAAGTAGAAATTGGTGAAGAATCTTTGAGACATACTTGTTCTACTTCAGAAGACAGACTTTTTAAAAATTTCCTAAATTTCTTTATTGTTACCATTGTCTCTTTCTCATCTAATATCTTTTCATAATAGCTCACATGCCAGAGCAAATTGAGTTTGAATTTCTTAAAATGCATTTGTTAAAAAAATTGTGTTATGGTGAGGCCAGGCACTGGACACTGATTTTAAATAATTCTCACTGTACATCAGATTTAGAGAAATGAAAGGGAATGAACTAGAATGGCTAATGGTTTTAGTGCCTCTTCTTTTGCATGGTATACGGCTATGTGGAATAGACTTCATTTTTAGCAAGTTAGGACTTTTTTCCCCTGATTTTTCTCCTGGCTGAGATGAAAACCTAGTCTGACATTAGACACAGAGCAATGAAAAAGTGTTGCATAAATCCCTGGAGATGTGGAATGTGCTTATATCAGAGCTGATATTCTCTAAGGCCAGAATTCCTGAAAAAGGAAAAATTGCTTTTAAGTGGTAGGTCATTTTCTCACCTGCTTTGAAGCCTGCTGGATTAAATATGAGAGTTCAAAGTAAGGGTAGCCAGCAAACCAACTGAACTGGAATCTGATTCTGCTTATCTGAAAGGAGCTTCTTTATTTAACAACAGCACTGCCCTCTCCTTAGAGAACCAATCTTCTACTCTGGCCCCTTTAATTTCTCTTGCAAGAAAAGTGTTCTTCTTAGCAAGGCTTGGGAAGGTATTATCACAACAGTGAAAAGACTTAAAGATGGTCTTGGGGGTTTCACTAACTTACTGACAAACTCAGACTTGTGGTATGTGACTTTAGTGTTTTGAATTCAGAAGTGTGTTTAAATATTAAAGTCTCTAATTGGGGCCAGTCATGGTGGCTCACGCCTGTAATCTCAGCACTTTGGAAGGCTGAGGCCTGCGGATCACTTGAGGTCAGGAGTTAGAGACCAGCCTGGCCAACATGGTGAAACCCCGTCTCTACTAAAAATACAAAAAAAATTAGCTGGGCGTGGTGGTACTTGCCTGTAATCCCAGCTACTTGGGAGGCTGAGGCAGGAGAACTGCTTGAACCTAGAAGGCGGAAGTTGCAGTGAGCCGAGATCGCGTCGCTGCACTCCAGCCTGGGTAACAGAGTGAGACTCCATCTCAAAAAAAAAAAAAGTCCCTAGTTGGGTTTTAACTAAACAGGGTAGTCTTTGCAATTTTGGCAGAAAAGGGTGTTACAGGTAAAGGTAGGAATCAGAGATTCCCAAATAAATTGTCTGTTTTAGTACAGCAAAACTTTGTTGAAGTTTGTTTTACTGAACGCATATTGTAGCTGTGCTGCGGTGGGAATGGGCTTTGTTTCCACATATTTCTACTAATCTTTATGTGGGAAAATGTGGTTGGACATGCCAATGATGAATTTCTGAGCAACTCATAATTGGCTGGCTCCACTGTAACTAGGGCCTTACAATCTGCTTGATTAATTCTTTAAGGACTACATTAGCCAAGTTGCATGATTTCCAAAGATATAGAAGGTCAGATGTTACACTAACAAAGAACCTCTCTACAGAATGTCTCACTGGGGTTTCTTTAGTCCCTTCTCAAAAATAATTAAAATTTTTCTTCCCAAATTACATTTTTAAAAGAATAAGCAGATATAAATGCCAAGTGTCTTTTACTGAAAAGTGAACAAAACTTTTGGGAAGATTTGTCCACTATTCTTACCATTTTTTTCAGGGAAAAGATTGATCTTCAGAACCGGGGGAGTTAATAAACAATTATAACTATATATTAATGTATACCAATTGAAAAATATATGTTTTTTTAAAGGTTCTGAGTTTTCCATTATTATAACCTGTGACATGATAGTTGTATACTTCTTTATTAAATTCCTAGGGCCACATTCAGAAATTAAATTAATGATTAAAATAAATTTCTTCACTTTGTTTGAAAATGGATTACTTTCAAAGCTATGAGACTTTTTTAGTTCGTAAGAACTGATACAGTTTTAAAAACATTTTGAAATGTAACTAAACTTACATTTCTGTAAAATATTCTATAACCATGCTATTTCCACAGTTATAAATCTGAGTTGTTTCCCAGAGATAATACAGATAATAAAATAAACCTATTGTGTGACAGGTCAAAATTTTTAAATGTTTACATATTTGTTCCATTGTTGGTGCATCTAAAGTCTTTATTTGGGCAGTCTCGCATATTCAATTTTAATTTTCTTTACTAACTGGGATTTTGGATCAAGAGAAAAGACGTTCTCTACCTCCTAGAAGGGTATTTCTCATGTTTCATCCTTGTTTTTCTGCTTCAAAAAGAACCAAACTAAGAAATTTGTGAAATTGCTGGTATTATTATTCATCCAGATTTTCTAAGCACTGAGCTCTTCTAAGGGGGAAAGAAAATAATAAAAGTTAGGAAAATGTACTTTTTTTTTTTTTTGAGACAGAGTCTCACTCTCTCACCCAGGCAGGAGTGCAGTGGTGCCATCTCGGCTCACTGCAACCTGGGCTCAAGTGATCCTCCCACCTCAGCCTCCCGAGTAGCTGGGACTACAAGTATGTGCCTCCATGCTAGGCTAATTTTTAAAAATTTGTTATAGAGATGGGGTCTCACTTTGTTGCCCAGGCTGGTCTCCAACTCCTGAGCTCAAGCAATCTGTCCACACCGGCCTACCAAAATGCTGGGATTACAGGCTTGAGCCACCGTGCCCAGCCATGTCAATGTACTTCTTCTTCTTCATCTTCTTCTTCTTCTTCTTCTTCTTCTTATTATTATTAGTATTATTATTTGGAGACAGAGTCTGCCTCTGTTGCCCAGGATGGAGTGCAGTGGCACCATCTGGGCTCACTGCAATCTCCACCTTCCTGGCTCAAACCATATGCCCACCTCAGCCTCCCAAGTAGTTGGGACTACAATATGTACCACCATGCCTGGCTAATTTTTGTATTTTTGGTAGAGACAGGGTTTCACCATGTTGGCCAGGCTAGTCTTGAACTCCTGAACTCAAGTGATCCACCCACCTGGGCCTCCCAAAGTGCTGGGATTACAGGTGTGAGCCACTGCGCCCAGCCAACAATATACCGTTTAACGCATGTGTATATCCCTTCCCCAGGGTTTAATTCAGTTTTAAAGTTGGTAGAAAGTATCCTTTTTTCCCATTAACATGTGCCTGTCAAGTATGAGGTTCACAGAAGCTCTCCCAGAATTTGTTTCACATATGTTTAATCATCTTTTTTCCCCCTCAAAGTGAAAATCTCATTGCTAAAATTTAGGACATCATGTCACTAACTGCTACTGATATATTTATTGCTTAATCATTAGCGCTTGGGACACATGGAGTGCTTAGCAGTTTTTAGAAGAGCTGTGCTTAGATAGTGATATAAATCACTCATTCGAAACCCATTCTCCTAGTGATATTATAATTCACAATAGGAAACACTGATCTTTGTTTTAGAAAACATCTCTATCTTGCAGACCCAGCATAGTCCTCTAAATTGGGAGAATCATGGGGTACAGAAGAAAATTATAATATTGAGGAATAGTTTTTAGCTTTTATCTTGGTGGAGTTTGGCTCCCTTCCCCTACCAATCAAATGAACTAAATTAGTGAGACTACATAATATATTACAATTCTAAACCAAGAGTAACTCAGACTTCAGTTAGTGCTTCATTTTTTAAAAGAGATTATACTTATATCCTCATTTATTCTTACTGGAGCCATTGGAACATAGACTTACCGAAACCATGGGAACATTATAGATGTAAAGTTTGAGTCATCAAAGTTAAGTGATGTGCCTAAAATTACACAATTGATAAGATAGCTTATTACTTTTAGTCATGATACATACTTTTGATTTCAATAATATATCACTTCATAACTTACACTGAAATGAGTACAAAAGAATAAATTTCATACCAGAGATAGTAATGCTGAGGGAATAGAGAATGACAGAGTGGTGATATCCAGTGGCTTGCTAGAGAAACTTTCCTAAAAGAGTTAAATTTGGAGAAGAGTTTTAAATGAAGATACTGATGTGGATTGTCAGAAAAATAAAAAGGGTGCTTAGGTTGGAGAAATGTTTACTGCAAAGACAAGTATCAGTGGGCAAATAAGCTGCCTGGGAGTACTCTTCACAGTTTAAGTCTGTTTGATGAACTCCAATGCTTTAAAATAAAGAATGAAAGCTGTGCATGGTGGCTGACACCTGTAATCCCAGCACTTTGGGAGGCTGAGGTGGGAGGATTGCTTGAGCCCAGGAGTTCGAGACCAGCCTGGGCAATTACAGTAGTAATTATAGTAGTAAGAGCTCATAAAAATGAAAAGTAAAAATAAAAACAAATTAGCCAGGCATGGTGGCGCACCCCTGTAGTTTCAGCTACTTAGAAGGCGGAGACAGGAGAATCATCTGAGCCCAGGAGTTGGAGGTTATGGTAAGCCATGATAGCAACACCACATTCCAGCCTGGGACACAGAGCAAGACCTTGTCTTAAATAAATAGGTACATACATACATATATACATAAATTAATTACTTAAAAATAAAGAACTCAGCCGGGCGTGGTGGTTCACGCCTGTAATCCCAGCACTTTGGGAGGCCAAGGCAGGTGGATCATGAGTCAAGAGATCAAGACGATCCTGGCCAACATGGTGAAACCGCGTCTCTACTAAAAATACAAAAATTGGCTGGGCGTGGTGGCGCGCCTGTAGTCCCAGCTACTTGGGAGGCTGAGGCAGGAGAATCACTTGAACCCAGGAGGCCAAGATTGCCGTGAGCCAGGATCACGCCACTGCACTCCAGCCTGGCAACAGAGCGAGACTCCATCTCAAAAAAAAAAATAAAATAAAATAACGCACATATGCTTTTCTTTCAAACTGATTCATTCCAATGTCATTCCTCTTGCTAGTTAGCTACTTAAGAAAGAATGCCGCTTGGTCATTTACATTGCATACTCAAACGTTACTGCATAGACTTCAGCCTCTCTAAGTGCTTAAAATGTACAATAATACTAAAGAAACAGTAAGCCCTGGTTTGTAATGATTCAGAGGGAATTTGACTCTCAAGTTACTTTTTTAAAGTTTTAATATGAAGTATAAATGTATACCTTATGTTTCAATATCAGTCTTCTTTCAAAATCAAAGGGCAAGTTTGTGAAGGATTGTAGGGGAAAGATAAACTGAACATAATAAACTTTTGGTCTAAAATATCATAACCTATAACTTTTTTCCCTAAAGTAGGAATTTTAGGTAGCAGAGGTACTTCTAGTAATTGTATCAATAGGTAGGAAACTTGGGTGTGTTCCTTAATGCTCATGAGGCCTCAATAAAATATTGGGTTTTAATTGGGTGTTCTATCTGAATTTGAGGAAATCATAAAATTATCTTTGTTCTGTAATAACATTAAGATTGTCTTAAGTCTGTCTTGACAGTAGCCAGCTTCAAGGAGAGAAATTATTTGGGATTCAATAATACTTAACAAAATTAAGAGTAGGATATTCAGAGAATGCAGATCACATAATCACCTTCTGACCTCACTCTGTAATTTCAAGCATTCTAGAAATAAAACTGTTCAAAGTGTAGAAAAGGGCTATGTTTCCTTTAAACATCCTTGCAGATGACCAATGTGACAGAGAAAGATGCAGCTTAGGGGACAGTTGGAGAAGGGAGCACATTCCCACACTCTTTGTTAGGAACATGCCAGCTCTCGTCTTCATTTATTCAATATGCTGCAGTCCCAGTTTCTTTCTGAAGCCAGAGCTCATGCTTTTACTCCCAGGTAGCAGCAGCTTTACAATTAAATTTTAATCCGACAGTGTTGTTAGACTCCTATCAAGAGTACAGCCACAGCTGTTCTTGGCAGGCAAATACATTGCTGGTTTTCCTTCAGTCACAGTGAGATAGAAAAATGTTCTCTGTCTAGGGTGTGGACGAAGGCACTTTACTAATCTTATGCATAATTCATCCTTGGTTGCTGGGGCACTCAAAGTTGAAACTTTGCCCTCTGATAAAATTCAGCTGGATGTTTTTTATTTATTAGACTCTGATCCCTTTAGGGGTTTAGCCCTTATTGCGAGCCCAGGGATTCTAATTTGGCTAAGCCCTAGCTGTGAAGACTTTTCTTACTAATTTGCCCTTGGTGAATTTTAGCTCTTGTAATACCACCTTTAAAAAACAAAAAACAAAAACTGCAGTAGAACATGCAGTTCAGAGAGTCCTGGATAACCTGAAAAGAGTCTTCTTTGAATGTTGGCTTATTGAATGGAAGGACTCCAATAGGGCCTGTCTTGATTTGTTTTCAAAGTTTAGATTTGTAAAGAGCCTCAGCAAATTAAAACATGGTTTTAATTGTCCTATAACATGCTAAAATATGGTAATGATTGTCCTATAACATATAACAGGTCTTTGCATTTCAAATTCATTGGGTACCTGTGAAGTATAAAATATAATCCCTGTTCATAAGTAACTCATAGTCTAGTGGTAGGGGGTTTGAGATGGGCATGAAGATGTATTAGTATAAGGTGGAAGCTATTGCCACAATAGATGAGTTCATCCTTGAATATTCATTTATTTGACTGGAAGGGAATGGTGAGTTATTTTCACACGGCTCCCGTAAGATATAGTGACCCAAAAGGTCAGTCTAGACTAATAGATTATGCTTCCTTTCAGAAGAATTTATTCGGTTAGGTCAAGCAAGAACATATAGAAAGAGATATCTTTATTCTTTTCCAAATATGTGATGTGGAGTACTTTCATCTTTATACTCAGCAGCTGGAATTCATCTTTTTGTAAGCAGTGTTATTTATTATAATGTTTATATGAATATAATTTATCAAAAAATGGAGAGCTCCACAATTCAAAATTTAAGAAATGTCTCACCTCAGATTCACAGAGTAATTGCCTTAGACAAAAGCTCTACACTCATACATTTTATATACCTCTTTTATATCCTCTCATTCCTAATAATGACAGATTAATAAGAACTAATAGCCATCCTGGTTTTCAGTATGAAACAATGTGATTTCATGTGAAGAAGAATAGAATAGTAAGAGTTAGGACCAAAATTACTTAGTTCTTTGGGCATGTGAGAGAATAGGAAAGAGCTACCCAGAATTTTCCAGAGCTCACTTGATAATGTCAAGAGCTGCAGCTGGCAGTCACTGATTCTGAAAATAGGCACACATCATGTTAATCAAAAAACTAAATAAAAGGATATTGGGATAAGGCACTAAAATAAAGTTCCTTTTGCCCTTTCTTTATAGCTGGGTTTTGCTGATCAATTCTGCATTTTTTGGCAATTCTACCTCTTTACAGGGAGAACCACCAGTATTATTTTCTCTTTAAGTAACTGAAAAAATATTTCCTATCTTTATTGAGCTGTCTCATTAAAGTAACAGACTAGCTGGATCACTGGGGATATGACTTTGGGATATATGTTTTAAAATAGGCACAGAGGCTGGGTGCGGTGGCTCACTCCTGTAATCCCAACACTTTGGGAGGCCGAGGTGGGTAGATCATCTGAGGTCAGGAGTTTGAGACCAGCCTGGCCAACATGGTGAAACCTTGTCTCTACTAAAAACACAAAAATTAGCCTGATGTGGTGGCAGGCGCCTGTAATCCCAGCTACTCAGGAGGCTGAGGCAGGAGAATTGCTTGAACCTGGGAGGCGAAGGTTGCAGTGAGCCAAGATCACGCCACTGCACTCCAGCCCTAGTGACAGAGCGAGAATCCATCTCAAAAAACAAACAAAAAGGCACAGAACCTCTCCTTGAGTTTATACAAATTAGGCATGTAATCAGTAAATATGGTAAAATATGGTAAAATGTAATCAGTAAATATGGTAAAATGGTAGAAGAGCAGGCCCAAGGCTAAATTCTAAACTACTCATGCAAATATTATAATAATACTAGAGAGTTGTAGAATGTACTGATTAAACTAGTGTTGCAGTAGAAGAAAGGAAGATAAACTATTTGAACAACAACTTGGAGGCAGAAAACTGGGGATTCGGCTTTGGAATTTACTTTATTGGTAATTATTACTTCTCTAGCTTGTCGCTCACTTCTCTGAGCTTGTCACACCTACTGGAATAAGCAGAAATTGTTATTCTTTGCCTAGGTTAACAAAATACACATCTCCAGATAGTAAGTTAGTTGCATGATGGCATCTTCTAATTCAGAGGTCTGATTTGTAGCATATTGGTAAGGAGGCACATTCATATTTCTGGGTGGTAGGGAGCCCACTTTCATCCATTCATCTGCATTCCTGTTCAAACTAGCAACTGTGTCTGCTAACATTAGGTTCCCAGAAAAAAGATGTAAGTAAACCCCAGTTCCACTGAGCTCCTGTGAAGGTACCACCTCCATAGAACTTGGTTGAAAATAATGAGCATAGTTACCTTTTTTTTTTTTTTTTTTTTTAACTTTTATCTTTTGGATGGCATTGAGAGTAACCTTCTGTTTTTTTGGCCTCAAGTTCCATATTGAATTTTTTAAAATTGCATTTTGAGCAATAACATTTCCCTGGTTGCTTAACCAGTTATACAAGTTGAGACTTCTGTCTCTATGCCTATCTTATAATAGCTTCTCTGGGAGAACAGATGAAAAATAAGCCAGTTAGATATTTTATGAGTATTGAAATCCTTTCCATTCAGAAATGTAAATAAAACAACCAGCATGAGCAATCAGCTTATGTCAGATTCCATGGGTTTGTATTACATAGGGAAATTACAGTGCAACCTGAAACATGCTTCTTAATGAATTCATAGTGCTGTCACAGTTGAATGTAAACCCTTGAGCTTTTCTTTTGTGAAGGGTTTCAGAAATCACCCTTTATAAACTACCTAGGGGAGGGAAGAGAACTAAGATGATACTAACAAATGCTATCACTGGTTTTGTGGCTGCCTCCCTTACAGCACCAAATTTTGCCAGTTAAGTAAAGCAGAAACCTAGAATATGGCACACGTTTTGGCTTATTCAGTGTACACACACACACAAACACACAAACACACACACACTCAGTGCCACACTGGGTCAGACCCATAGTTCAATACTCTGTTTCTGAAAGTGGCACCAGGGAACTGCTTTGGAAGAATAAGATTGCCCTTATGGTTTTTATCCTCAGAAGTTAGGGAAGTTTGGTTAAGAAGTATGACAAAAGCCCCATAAGTAGCGATTTTTACCTTTAGCAAATGCAGGAAAATAGACACCTAACTAGAGATCATGAAGTTAGAATTTGTCTCCTTCTTTGGCTGCTACTTCAGCCCCTGGTAGTAAATTAGAATAAAGTTCCTCATTTATTAGTGAGCTGGTTTTGCAGTCTCTAAAGCTCTTTTGCAGCTCTTCTATTCACTATGGCCTCAGATACGATAAATCTGCTAGCTGCAAAAATTCAATATACCAAGTAGAATATGTAGGACCAGTCAAGTTTTAAGTTTGGGAGTGAGGAAAAGCAGCATGTATTTTCTATTTTAAATTATTTTCTTTTCACATTCTAATTTCTTAAGGGTTTGGCTTGATTTATGCCAGGTTCTGGGCCTGTAAGCCTACATTAATGTATCACAGTACTGGATAGGATATTTGATATCTCTTACTTAGCCCAGAATCTCAAATGATAAGGAGCTGTAGTTAATGATATGTAGCATTTTGTTGAACTTTACAGTGTAGATCTCTGTTAGTCCCTGGGTCTGTAACAAATGGACTCATCCTTGTGCTTTTCCATAGGTGCCCTGATGTTTACTGACATAAATCAAGATACTATGTGGCTCTATAGGGGATGCTGAACCATTTGACAGTCTAGGTGCACACAGTCACCTCACATTATTTAAGCCCTGATCTCAGCATTCTAATTTCTCTGTATTCCCCAGTGTATATAATGTGTACTTGCTTGAAATTCCTTATATATTGCTTGTACATTCCTGCTTCTAAGTTTCAGCACATACCAGTTCCCTCTATTTAGAATGCCTTCTTCTGACTGCCCTCAGTCAGTTCATAAAACACATAAAGCTATCTTTTAAAAATTCAACTCAAAAGTCACCTCCTGTGGAATGCCATCTCTGCTTAATCTCATTAACCTAATTCCTTTATTCTCAGACTTCTGCTTCCTAGTCCATTAAACTGTTTCATTTTATTGTAATTGTTGCTTCTGTATATTGTCACCCAGTAAGCATAATTATTCTAGGAATGATCATCTTCCTCCAGCCTCTTGTGTCTACTTATTACACACAAATATTTTGAAGGCCTATTGATGACCTTTTCAGTTTCCCCAGAGTTCCAGTTCACCTTCCTTACTGTTTCCTTTTACTTCATAGTTACATTCCTAAAGAAGCAGCGCATGTGTTCAGGGTTGGCCTCCACCTCAGCATGTGTGTGGCAGCCTGCTGAATAGATCCCTACAATTGGGAAGGAGTTAACCCTCTAGCTTGACAATCTCTGCATTCTACTTAGACACCTTCAAGAAGTAGATGTGAGACCAGGAGTAGACCTGAAAATGGGAGTAGGTAAATTTCCACGGAAAGCCAAGTTAGCTTTTTCCTTCCTTTATACACAAGACCTATGAAGCTGCTGTCATCAGCAGCTCATTCAACACTCTCCTGCTCTGCCTCTTTTCCAGGAGTCAGGGTTAGTTTAAGAAAAAGCCTCTTGCAAGAAGCCATGACCTCGTACTTTTATCCCCTCCATCTGGTGTGTGGCCTCATGGGGCTGTGCTGCTATGCAGGAGGTGAGCAATGGAATTCTTTAGATGATGACTTCTGAGCCCACATGCAGAGGCAGTTGGGGGTGGGAAGCAGGGAGAACAGTGAGAGCCAAGATCGATGGACCAAAAAATAAAGTCTGCCTTGGGGAAGTCCTGACTATAGGTAGACTGTTTTCATGAGGTGTTCTTCTCCTAGCTCAAGTAGGGGCCCAGGTCAGGGAGCTGCAGCATCCCAGAGCTATGATTGATGAACATTGTACTTTTCCCTTCTGTCTTAACAGTTGGGGTGCAGGATTAGGATAGGTAGCCTATGCTGTCTCTAACAGAAAACATTACAGGATTGAACAGAAGAGTTCCCCTTGCATACGTCATCTTTTGGAGCTGCTCTTACTCACTGTCTTGCGCCTAAACAGAGGTCCAGATTTTGGATGGGAAAACAAAGAGGGGTTGAGAGCAGCAAGTGTTTGATCAAGTGAAAATCTGCTGTCTGCCTCATCTCATGGGTTTCTCTGCAGGATTGAGACCCCTTGCCTTGGTGTACACAAATTGCTTGCATCAGCTTGAGATCCCAGGACCTTTGCCAGGCCACGGGTAGGCATCTGTCTGGCTTGGGATGGGAGTTTCTTAGGACACTTATTCCCTCATCTTGCTTTCCTAACCCAGGAGTTGACGTCATTTTTAAAAGGAGTGAAATCTCAAAGAAAATTCTAATACATACCTTCTTTTTTTTTTTTTTTGTGACGGAGTCTCGCTCTGTCTCCCAGGCTGGAGTGCAGTGGTGCATCTTGGCTCACTGCAAGCTCTGCCTCCTGGGTTCACGCCATTCTCCTGCCTCAGCCTCCCCAGTAGCTGGGACTACAGGCGCCCGCCACCAGGCCCGGCTAATTTTTTTGTATTTTTAGTAGAGACAGGGTTTCACCGTGTTAGCCAGGATGGTCTCAATCTCCTGACCTCGTGATCTGCCCCACCTCGGCCTCCCAAAGTGCTGGGATTACAGGCATGAGCCACTGCACCCGGCCTCTGATACATATTTTCAAAGCCTTAATAATTTTCTGTCATGACTACTTCTACTGTGTCTATACATTTAGCATAATTTCAAAAGGACTAGATAAAATTTTTAATGTTAATCTGAAGGGGAAAAAAGGAGTAGAATTAGGAGCCAGAGTTGTTTAAATGTGGAATATGTTGTATAGTGGTCACATGGTACTGGTGGTAATAGTGGCAGAAATGGCAAAAGAGCCATTGGTTGATAAGGTTCAGGAGGGCCTAGGCTGTTCCTTTGTAAACTGTGCTCAGATATACTCTCTTGGCTGTCCTGGGACTCCTACAGGGCTTGAACATTTTGTATCAATTTCTGTTTTGAAGGTGCTGGGACTCTGGTGCCCCCAACCCTGGGCATCCTCAGGCTTTGAGGAGAATACACAGGATTTGAAGTCAGAAGACCTAGGTTTGAGTTCTGGCTGAGCCACGCACTGTTCATGTGACCTTGGACAAATCACCAAATTTTTCTGAACAGCATCTGTAAAGTGACAGTAACCCCTACCTCACAGGGTTGTTGTGAGGATTACATATATGCTAAAGCATTTTGCATATGAAAAAGCTTCTTATGAATATTGTTATTCCTAGGCAAACCCCCCTTGGAAGCTGTCAAAAAGGACAACTGTAGATGAAATTGTCTTCCTTTTTTCTTCATTCAGCTTAGCCTTTCTGTTTGGCCAGGGCTACTTACAGGGGCTGTTGGGGTTGAAGTCAAGTCACCGCATTTTGGCTCCTTTGGTCAAAGAGAAAGAACTCTAATGTCCAGCTGCTCCATCGATATACTCATAGAATGGAAGTGAGCAAAGGAAAATTTTAAGCCAGGATAGTTAACCGTTAGGGGGCCAGTGGGAGAATGCTTGCCTTGCATTTGCACATCCAGAATGACTAAAACATCTTAAGTAAATGAGGAATAGCCACCGAGATGCTCAGAGATAATATAAGCCATGAGTGGGAAGTGGGAAAATGAGTTTGTCAACGCCCTCTCTTTTCTATCCCTTTACCTTTGAGGTCAGGGACAGGGCATATTACTGACACCCCACTGGCTATTGCCCTATACCTGCCAATCACCCAAAGAAAATAATAGCTTCTGAGAAAGCTCAATTCACTGTAGCAACTGTGATATATTTACCCTAATAAAGCCACCACTTGGTCTTTTCCAGTGCTTCTCTCTTATGGAGATCATCCCTGGAATCCAAAGCTCTCCAGTTTTCTAACCCAGTTAAGAGTTAAAAACAACCACAGGTCATGAGCAGTAGGCTTGGCAGTTATACCCCATGCAGTCATAGGAGACTGCTCCATCATTCTCAGCACATAGGGTGCACATCTCACTATCTCTGGCATGAACCAGCCTTGCGAACTTATACAGTCTCAGCCACTCTGCTTTGATGGTAATTCTTCACCACTGATCTCTCCTCACCATGCCCTTCCTGCATCCTTCCCCCAACCACCCACCAGAGGAGTTCTGGTCCCCAAACCAAAGAGTTGCCTGCAGGTTGGTAATGTGACTTTGTAGATATTCCTTGATTAAAGCCAGACCCTATTGGTATCCTTTTTGAAGTACTGGATCGAAATCTAATTGCTTTTTTTTTTAATTGTTGGGGAGAGGAGGATGAGCAGAACTCCTATGCAGCCTGAGAGAAGTTCTCTATGTGTCTGTATATGTACACCTCTGTGTGTGTGTGTGTAACCTCATGGTTGTGCTCAGGCTGACAGGGAGGGCAAAGAGTGAAAAGGAAGCATCTCTTTCTTGTTATCCAACATTGCTTCAAAGATGCCCAACCCCCGTAGTAGCAGGCAGTTCCCAAGTGGAGGGTCGGGGCAGAGGCCTCCACCAAGGCCATCAATAACCAGGTGTGAGCTACAGGTCTCTGTGTAATGTGAAGCTCTCCCGTATTTCATTTCTGCACCCAGGGGGCGGCTCTGCAGGATTGCTTACGGAGAACTCTGTGTCTGGCACCTCTCTCCACAAGGCCCAGGCGCCCAGGGTCCCACCGACCTGCCCAGGAATGCATCACATTGTTCTCTGGTGCTGTAATTTGGCTGCAGGAGCTAGGCTGAATGCCTCCCAGGGATGAGAAACATACTCTCCCTGGCGTCCTCCCTTCGCCCCAGCTAGCTTGAGCTTCTGCCCTATGACCACTGAGTGCATTTAAATAAAAACCTCAGAAAGACTGAGGAAAAAAAAATCCTAATTATCTCTCTTCTGTTAAGCCATGTAGAGACTCGTGTCCTGAGTGGGTCTGAGAATTTGGCAAAGACTTACTGGTTGGTGTTCTTGATAAGGGAAGTGAGACAAAGGAGAAGAAATTACTCCCTGCAACAGGAGGAATAGAAATGAAGCAGTGAGTGTTCAGAAATTAGATCTACAAGAAGTTTTGCAAACAGACCCTCAGGGCCAGGCAATGTTTGTTTTTGTTTTTTGTTTTTTGTTTTTTTTTTTAATCTGAAGCCCCTGATTTTATTTTTCCAGCATCACTCTAAGGAAGAGTGTGGATTAGTGCCATTATTCAGGGCTGGTATTAATAAAAGTTAGCTTTTATCTGCAGGGCTAGGTTAAGGCTGGCATTCTTACTTTTACATTAAAAAAACTGGCTACAGGCTGCGCAGCTGAGGTACTTCAGTCATGTGCCTTCTCTAAAGGATTCTTAGATCCTTAAAATATATAGTATGTTTTAAGTTTGTATCTAAATAGCACTTACTGTAATGTATTATACCTAAATGTTTATTAAAAGTTAGAAGAAATGAGTACCAACAGGAAGGAATGGAAGAGAGGAGAGGGGCTAAGACATTGCTGATCTGAGGGACAGACCTCTATCAAATAGAAGAGGGCTGGGAGAAGGGGTGATTAGAAGCAGAGTGAGGGAACTAAATGGAGCCCTGACTGCACCAAATAAAGTTCTCATTTTGCTGCTTGTTCCAAATAAATTAGTGTCTATTTGTGTAATGCAGACTAAATGCCAGTTGTGTAAAGCCAATCAATGCAGAAGCAAGCTAAGAACTAGGAGGAAAAATTAATTGCTTGGCCATCATTCCTTTTGGGACCACATAACCTCCGTGGTGGGGCTCAAATGGACATCATTTCTCTCTTATGCACCTCTCTTTTCAAACTTCTCACTCTCTGGACAGCTTGCTCTTTTCTTAACCATTTATAGGAAATTGCAAAACTTGCATCTTTATGAGCTAGAATTTGGAGCCCAAGGAAAAGCACAGAGTAGCATGAGATGCCAGAAGAGGCCCATTTCCTTCCACAGGGATGAGAACCAAAAACCAAAGAATAGAGAGTAGGGTATAGGTAGATTTAAGTCAGGTTGACGTCCTATGGAAGGCATATGCCATTATTTATGTGGTAACCTGCATGTTCTTGTGAGAACAGGGGCTGGCCAGGACCTGAGGCTTTCCCCAGCAGCCTGGCATATAATATAAGGCAGCTTCCTTTGGTAAATTCATTCAGCCCTATTGTTGAGTTCAGACTGACCATGACCCCCTTACCTCTCCACTACCCCAAAGCTTTCCTCAAGATGTCAGCTGTTCTCTTCCCCTCCCATTTCCCCCTCCTTAATCCCACCATTGGCTCATCAGTTATCCAGTTGACTCCATTCTGAAGGAAGACATTCTCTTGGCCTGACTCACTCAGGCCCATTTCTCCACAGGCATCCCCTTACCGCAGACCACAAGGGCCCTGACTAGCTCATGTTTTGTGTTAATGGATGTGAAACCAGAGCAAATCCCCTCACCAAAAGAAAAACCACCCTAAACTCTCCCACACAGGTCTCAGCAGGTTACACAAATATTAGTCCTATCATCCAAATAAATCTGCCCCCGTGGCCCAGAGCTATGGCTCCCCCAACCTCCTGCTGCCTGTGCAGAGTGAAGCTGCTTCAAAAACATGAGGACCCCAAGGGATATTGGAGAGGAACTTTGGAAAGACAGGGGCCTGTATCCAGAATTCTTTATGCAGGCTCCTTAATCTACAGACTTTTGTTAATACTTTATAGTCCTAAAGAAGGACTGTTCCTAGAGAAGTCATGATGGGCTAGACCAGCCAGGGGCTTTGGTGAAGAGGATCTGCGGGCTGGAGTTTGGTGCATAATTAAAACTCAGCGTCTGACAGCTGGGCACAGTGGCTTGCGCTTGTACGCCCAGCACTTTGGAAGGCTGCAGTGGGAGGATTGCTTGAGACCAAGAATTCAAGACCAGCCTGGGCAACATAGTGAGCTCCATCTCTGAAAACTATGTTTAAATTAGCTGGGCATGATGGCATGGCCCTGTAGTCCCAGCTAATGGGGAGGCTGAGGTGGGAGGATTGCTTGAGCCTGGGAATTTGAGGCTGCAGTGAGCCATGATCATGCCAGTGCACTCCAGCCTGGGCAACAAAGCGAGACCCTATCTCTAAAAGAAATAAAAAGAAAGAAAAAAAAGAACAGGTACGTATCCTCATTTTACAGATGAGAAAATAGAAGCTCAGAAAATTTAGCTACCTTGCTCAAAATATCAAAGCAAATGGCACAGCTGTGATTTTTAACCCGGGTCTGTCATAACCGCAAATTTCTATACCACTCTGCTGCTTTAAGATATCAACAGGCAAAAGATAACCACTGTCCAACTCACATAAAAATAGGACATCAAGTTTTGGGGGACTTCATGTCCTACCTCCAGCTTACTAAGCCTGCTATCTCTGGAGATTCCACTACTGCAAACCTAGTTAGGCAATGGGTAATAGCATTACCCATTAAGCCAAATGTGGAGTGAACAATAATAATAATCACTAGGACTTGGAGAGTCACTAAATAAAGATTTGTTGAGTAAGTGGAGGAAGGCTGCCTTCTAAGCTGTGTATCACTTTGGCCCCAACCTGCAGTACTCCTTCCCACTGTAGCCACTGACTCCTGCTCCCAGCTTCAAAGGCTAGGATCCTCTCATAAAGAATTACCAAAGCCAGAGATCCCTACCTGCCTAATATATACTGATGCCTCATGTGGGCCCTTGAGATCAGACCTGCTTACCTGCTCTCCCACCATCCATGAGTTGCCTATCTTTCTTTTACTCCATGTCTCCCCAAACCTGGCAAACCTCCAGAATAGTGCATGGGAAGAGAAGAAAAGAAAAGAAAAAAAAAAAAAAAAAAAAGGCAACACAAGGCCTAGCCAGACTTACTACATTAATCTATCCTAGGAGTGTTCTAGGGTGTTTTAATGATTTGTTAAGCATGGGAACCACTGCATTCCACCTCAGTTTGAACAGGCAGCAAGTAAGCAAAAGAGGCAGTGCTGTCCAATACAGGTTGAGAATGGTAGAGAGAAAAAGAGAGAATGAATGTGTGTTTGTATTGTTATGATTCTTTTTCTTCTACAAAACACAGTTTATAAACATATGAGCATGTGAATGGAACCTTGTCCACTATGGCTAACATCTCAGGCTCTCAATAATAGAATGTGGTAGCCTAAGATTTTCTTTCGGGGTACCAGGTAGTTCTGCTCAAACGGACTTCAGAGAAGGGACATGCCATTCATCTTTGTCCCATCTAACTTTGGCCAGGTAGAAACAAAAAGAAGCTCTCTACAGGTACCCTTCCTCTTGCACACCAAGAAGTATCGGGAAGCTGGTGCAAAGGAAAGAAAAAAGGAGCCTCAACTACGTACTTTAGTGCAACTCATTTCACTCTAAAGACCCCCTATCTCTTCTACTCTCCCTTCAAATCTCCAGAGCGGGAAATCAGGGAGCTTGCTCAGTTTCTTATATCCCCTGACAACTCCTTCCCAGGGCTAAGGAACCAGCCAGGACACCATGGTCCCTATGGATTACTCTCTACATCCTTAAATAGAAGCGGTAGCAGCCCAGGGTGGAGGGTGGAGGAAGGTGTGCATGCAAGGATCTTGTGCTTTTGAGTTGAGAGGCTTGAATTGGAGGGATGAGTGAGGTATCTGTGTGTTCAGGTTTGGTCCAGCCACTCTGCCTTCTTGGGGGCTTTGCAAGTATGGACGTCCACAGTATTTCTGCATTCCTTGCACCGTACAGCACAGCACCAGTGGAATTTGCACTCACACTGGGTAACACGGGTGACTCGAGTTGTGTCGTACCCTCGGCCACAGCACATGATTTCACAACCGTCTGTTCCTTTTGATGTCTTGCTGCAGACACGGCCTGCAGTGCCTAGGGAACCTGGGTTGGGGAAGAGAGGGAGTGAGAACAAAGTTATCTCTTCAGCTGCCCTGGATACCCTTAACCACATTCTCAGAAGGAAGATAAAAAGAATCGCTTTTTTGGGCTGGGCACAGTGGCTCACTCATGCCTATCATCCCAGCATTTTGGAAGGCCAAGGCAGAAGGAATCCTTGAGTCCAGGAATTCAAGACCAGCCTGGGAAACATAGCAAGCCCTGTCTCTACAAAAACTTAAAAAATTAGCCAGGTGCCATGGGCATGAGCCTGTAGTCCTAGATACTCAGGAGGCTGAGGTGAAAGTAACACGAGGCTGGGAGGTCGAGGCTGCAGTGAGCCAAGATTGCACCACTGCACTCTAGCCTGGGTGACAGTGAAACTCTGTCTCCAAAAAAAAAAAAAAAAAAAAGAAGCATGGGCTCTGACATCATCTTGTCTGGATTCAAATCCCAGTTCTACCACTCTTAGTTGTGTGATTTAGTCAAAATGAAACATTAACTTAGTTTCTCATATGAAAATAAGCACAATAATAGATTGTTAGATATAATCTCTGTTCATCTGAAGAGGTGAACTGATTACCATGACTGGCTGGAGGCATATTCCTAAGGAATTCCTAAGTAATATCCCTTGCATTATTATTATTGCTATTATCCCTAAGCATTATCCCTTCCCCTTACAGTGGAAACTCTAGGATAGGGATCATGTTTTCCCCATGCATAGGGAATGCTTAGAACCTCATTCTGACTGATTTTAGCAAAAGAGATCCTGCCAACAGATCATAAAATCAATAGACTTTTGGATGAGTTGGGCCCATGAGAGCATCTACTCCAAGCTTTTCCATGGTTAATAAGAATCCAGAGATGGGAAACTGACTAGCCTAGGTTCAAAACGGAGAATAGATTAACTGATTTCTACAGAATTAGTCTCCAAATGTCACTGGGATACGGGAGGAAAATGCTAGAACTTCTATGTTTTTTATCTCATCAATTTAAAATATTTACGTTTTATAATATACATATTCATATAGTGGAACACAGGTATAAATAAATATACATATAATGGAGATATATGCTCAAATTGTTTTAATGATAGGAGTAAAGGATCCAGAATGTTAGGAGACCACTGGTCTGGAATGTGGACTGACTAGGTCTACTGTATATGTTAGTCTCCTAACTCCAAGGGCTGGGTCTTAAGTCCTCTTGGGCACCAAAAACCCCTTCTACACTGTGGAGCTGTGCTGTCCAGGGTAGCAGCCACTAGTCACATATGGTCTTTTACATCTAAATTAATGAAAATTAAACTAAAAAATTTAGCTCCTCAGTCACACTAGTTATATTCCAAGTACTCAGTAATCACATGTGGCTAGTTGCTACTGTATTGGACAACAGAGATAGGAAAACATTTCTATCATCACAGAAAGTTCAATTGGACTCTATTGCTTTGGAGGGAATTCCTGGCTCCATATTCTTTCTGGGATGACTTATATTCTTTGAATTCCAGGGCCCACTTTGGGTTTTAGGAGGCCTAATTTTATGCCTCTGAGAAAAACGAACACACATTTGACTTATCCTCCCTCCTAACTCCAAAGTTCCTTCCCTAAAGGTGTATTTTCAGTATGGTAGTATAGGTTTACACCTCAGATGTTATGGAATTATTTCTAGGTATCCAGAGAGTGACCCTCTGAATTAGACCAAGTGGGAGGAAAGTATACTTAGTGGCAGGAAATCACTAGGAAAATCAGAAGGGCTCCAAGTTTTTTTCTTCTAGCACCCTACAAAGTATACAGACTACTTTCTTCATTAATTGGGTAGAGCCCCACCCTTTTTCTGTGCCCAGTTTTACTCCAAGCCACTTGACTCTTCCAGGAATGACAGTGATGGGTGAAAACAAACAGTACCGAAGATAGCTGAGGTTTTTTGGCTCCACTTCACCCAAGTCCTGACGCTGAGCCTGTAGAAAAGAGCCTGGGAGCCCCACAGCAATAACCAGAGGAGAAGAGTTCTGCTGCATTGCATGTTCCTAGTTTAACCTATCTGAACCAGAAATGTGAGCCAGGATGGTAACTTTCATTCCCTTGGGGAAAAACCATATCAACTTCCAGCACCTCCAAGAATCCCACCACAAATACCTCGAACAGACTGAAAAACAACCATTTGCTGCTTTACCTGCCTTTGGTAGGGATCTCTTCTTCGTTTCTTTTTCAGCTGTTTCAGAATCTTCAATGGCAGCACACTGGATAAAGCCTTTCAAGGACATCTTTCTAGCTTTAATCTCCCTTAGAGAGAACCTTTACCCAGCAGATTGGTCTGTTCTCTGTCCCTGGGACAGATCATGTGCTTTCCCACCTACTACTCTCTGATAAGAAATTGCCCACTCGTCTCTCAAGCTATCCAGATACTCCCTACACTTCAAGGAGCAGCTTAAATTCTAGTTTCTTTTTTTTCCCTACATTTTCAAATAAACTTTATTGATTTCTCCATCTCTCTTTGCATTTGTCTACCCATTATGTCTCATTTCTTTAAGTAGATTGCGAAGAGCCAAAGGCTTAGGGCTGCATCTTATGTTTCTGTGCAGCCCACACATTGCTTAAAACTGAAAACAGGTAACTAAGTTAAACATACCCTGAATAATGCCTACTGTATCCCAGATGCTGGGATACAAAGGAGCGATGCATGACCTCAGGCCTCAAGGAGCTGAGTGACCTCCTCTCTACTTGGGCAGCACTGGGCCTGGTGGACTGCAACAATCTCATGACCAGGTGTTCATGTGGAGAGGAAACTGCCTCCTCCCACAGCACCCCCTTCCCTAACTCCTGAGACTGAACAGACCATGATTAACCAGGGGTGCCTGCACTAAGAACTGGGACTGCATGTCCCTGCCTGCCTTCCTTACTCACCTGCAGCCTTGTCCAAGACACAGTAATCTGGAGAGTTGTCAAAGTAGACAAGATCAGTCCGGGTGGCACGGCGATAGCCTTGGCGGGCTGCGGTGAAGTTGGCACCATCTTGGGTGGCCATCACCTGCACAGCCCCATCATAGCGTCGCCGCAGGTAATCACCTGTGCGGCGGAAATCTGAGAGTGCACGCCAGCAGGTGCGCAGAGTACAGGAACCACTCACGCCATGGCACTTACACTCCAGCTTCAGAAACCGCCGCACAGCCTGGGGGAGGGGGAAGGCAGTTAAGGGAGAAGTAGCTGGTCAGGACACATTTTAGTCATCCCTAGGTCCAAAAGGATGAGTGCTCTGAGATAGGCTGGACCTGGCCCTGGCTGGCCGATTGAGCTCTCGGTTCTCTCCCACATCAGATCCCACCCATTCTTCCTGATCAAGTTCAAGAAACTCTTTTTCCAGGAAATCTGCCTGAACCAACAGTGCTTTCCTTTTCATGACAGCCCACTGAACTGTAGAGCCACAGGATTCTGTTCACGATGACAGTGTGCTTGCACATCCTCTACTTTTCACGTTTTAGAGTGCCAGGTACCATGCCTTCTACTTTAGTGGTGTGCCATTTTCCAGCATAGTACTAGGCACATAGAAGATGTTCAAATACCAGGGAACTGACTAGAACAACCTCTTATCCTCTCAGTCTTTATGAAGGCAGTTCTTTTCCTTCTTAAAAAGTTACTTCTTTTCTCCACCTTTTCCTACTTTCCACCTATGTGAAGACTCTTCACGCACCTGATTGACCCTAGGCATTCCTAAGCTCCCTTGCATTTAGTTCTCCTGTCCCAGGATGTTGGGGCTTTTGGAAGTGACCCAGAAGCCTTCAGCTCTTCCATCTTCACATTTATTTAGTCCATGGTCACACACACTGGTCACCCCCAGCAAATATGAGTGTACTTACACAGACATGAGTACTGACCGTGCGACCACAGCGGTTATTATGTAAGTTCATGAGGGCCCGGGCATCCTTAAGCCTCTTCTCCTTGGCATCCACGAAGGCCTTGGCAAAACGGACACCGTAGTGGATGTTGTCACTGCAGCCACCCCAGTCAAAGTCCCCACGCTGGTCATGGTGTCGGCCACGGGTGTAGGGGTCACAGCTGCACACACTCAGTTCACCCTGGCTACAGGCGCGAGTAATAGCGTGGACTACCCCTGCTGATGAGATGGCATATACAAAAGCTGCCTCTCGGCTACCTAGAGAGAGAATTGTAGAGGTGTGCTTCAGGAAAGAGGCCCATGTCTGTCCCCTTCTTCAGCCCATACAACCTCTGACTCTGAAACCTCTTCCCTAATTTTCTTTCCCAGAGTCACCCCTACACCCCCTTTATTCAAGGTGCCTTTCATTTCCAAGAGCATTCCCCAGAGTATCTGACCTCTTCCCCTCAGCCCTCACTACTCTCTATCCACTTCTTTGTATATCTGACCTTTTGAGCTGACCTATACTCTTGTTTCCTGCCAAATTCCCTGTGTCCATCCATTGAAAAGTCTCCTGGTGAATCATCCCCTCCCACTGAGTGCCAGCACTGGCTCAGCTAAGCCTGCCTTAGTCCACATTCCAGGCCTTTTCAGGCCCACTCTGCTGGACAGTTCCCCCACAATGGAGACCCCAGCCCAGGGGTCAGCCTGTTTAGAGATCCATGCTACCCTCCCTTGCCTGCTTGCTCTCCCTCCCTGCTCTTGGAGACTGATGAATTATCGCCCCTGTATGCCTGACACCTCCAGATTCCCATCTTGTTCCCTTTCTCCTAGTTTACTGTCTAGCTCTATTTAGCTTTTTTGCTGAGCTGAGGCCAAGCCACTGACTCTCCAAATATTTACATATCACCTTTCTGTTTATCTTTTGTTCCCATTACTGTAGTGTTGGGAGTGTTGGGGTGACGATAGTGATGGTGGTGTTAAGAACAGAGGGCCTATCATAGACCTCAGCCTTACAGTACATGGTAGCCTCCCAAGCTGGGGATTGGGGAGGACAAGGAAAATGAGGGAGAAAGATGGAGGTTCTAGGGAATGCTTTACCTTGGTCTTGTCCCAGAGCACTAAGATTTAGAGGAGCCCCTGTCTACAAATCTAAGATGCTAAGAGTCTGTTCCCAATTATATCCTGGGCTCTGCCCACAGTTCTTTCTCTGATGATGAAACAGTGTGTGGGAGAGGAGAGGGGAGATCTTGCCTACTCTTCCCACTCACCACCCCCAGCACAGAAAGGGAAGGAGCTGACACAGGATGGAAGAGGCTCTTACTTCTGAGCATGACACGGCCAAAGACGGTGTGGTCCCGGTCCAGGGTGGTACAGTTCCAGCGGTGGTGGCGGAATTGGTGCTGACACTCTCGGATCCATTCTCGGGCACCCTCGCCCACTGAACGCATGATGTCTGGGTAACGCTGGCACAGCTGCCGCTGCCGGCTCACCAAACCAGGGATATTGTCACAGATCACTCGTGCCCCCAGTGCCCCAATGTACCTGCAAGGCAGAGATGGCCCTGTCAGAACATCCCAGACCTTTTTCTGCATTGGGAGGGAATAAGGAAGGGGTACGTTTAGCATCCAGACCTTGAAGAGATTCTGTCCCCTCTCCCTAACCCACATTCCATAAAGCTGATGAGTAGAACCATTTCCCACAGTTCTGAAGAAGTATTAATAGTTATACAGTTGCAGAGAGAGTAATTGAGTGGCCTCCCACCATCACCAGTTCCCCAGCCAAAGGCCAAAGTGACATACACTCCCAGAACACAGGCTAGGCATGTGTCACATACACAGAAGCTGTGGGCATGTCACACAAACTCATTGTCTGTTTATTTAATAAACATTAAGAGCTTCATGGAAACATAAACTAACAAAATAAGGGTCTGAGACAACACTCTTATGCTCCCATTAAGAGGGATGTCCCGCATGGCTGGTCCACGAAGATATGGTTTGACAGCAGGGGGGTGGTGACAGGGAGGGGCTCGTGGGAAGAGACATAGTGAGCAATCTGAGTAACGTTTACAGCTCTAGTCAGACCCGTGTAGCTAAAAAAAATCCTCATTCCCAATCGTGAGGTCCGGGGAGGAAGACCCCACCCTCTACTCTCCTCCTCAAACCCTTTATTTCCAGGCCCCAGGGCCTTTCTTAACTAATGAACCTTTTAAAACCATCTTCCCCAACCTGGATGGACCTGCAAGGGCTGTCTGCAGTGGGAAGCCAAAGGCCAAGATAAGTAAGAGGATGACTCTCCCCACACTGCAGTCTCCAGTCTGTCCAATATGAACAATTAAAAGAAGGTCAATTGAGATGGGCTACTAAAGAATAGGTGGGTTGCCAGAGTCATTATTGTTTCTCAAGGCAATATTTTCTCTTCACTCAGTTTTAACCCTGGATCCCACCACAAGCCTCAGGAAGAATATTTCAGAGAGAAAACAGGAGTATATCACCCTTCTTCCCCAAGAGGCCACCAAATGAGATCTGACCCATTCACCCACTTCCTCCAGCTCAACAGCCCAGCTCCACTTGTCATTCTCTTTCTCTCCCTTTAACCCCATAGCACCTTCCTTGATTTGCTGGGAACTTTTTATTCTCCTGTCCAGAACGCATCAAAGGGCTGCCCTCCCTCCCCTGTTTTGAACAGGTGGGGCCATGGAGAGCAATTGTTACTGCAGACAGAAAAGACTTGGTTTGAGCTATGAATGAGCCTGTGGTTTGGGAACGGCCCCAAAATGGGCCTAGAAGTGGGTGAGGAGAAGGGAGGGCAGCTGGTGTGGGGAGGGGAAAAGCTAGACTGCCCTGGGCTCTGTGTCCCCCCCCACCACCCCCCTGCATTCCCACAGCCGGCCCTCACCCACAGACTGGATCACCACTGGTGACACCAACTCAAACAAACACAAGGAGGGCTGATGCTTGCCTCTTCGGGAACTCAGCAGGGCTGATGGGGCCCATCTGTCCCGGGGAAGGGGTGAGAGGGCTGGCCCTCCCCTAACAAATCCCATGGAATCAGCATCCCCAGCACTGTCCATCAGGGCAACAGCTTCCAGGAACAAACAAAATAAACACCCCAGACAGGGCCAGGCCGGAAAGGCTGCCTGACGCACAGCCCAGAGTTACACCCACTGCTGTGGTGCTTTGTTTGGAGAATCAAGACCGTTGGAGTTGGAGCTTGTCCCTGTCTCACCACCGTTCAGCTTCCCTAGTTCAGCCCAAGTACTGCTCTAGGCAATGGGTGTGTTTTTTTGTTTTTTTTTAATGGGGCTTGGGTGAGGAGGGTTGGATGGGAATGAGAGACCAATAACCCAGCCCTCGTGAGACAGTCTGGAGTGGGGCAGGCCAAACTCGGGCAACAAGTCCTTCTTGTGGTCTGACTTAAATCCATTCTGCTGCAGCCCACATAGGTCCTTTTTATTACATCCTCACTGAGTGTGGGAACATCTGTTCAGTATCTAAGATGGGAAGATAATTAAATGTCTCTATTACCACCCTTACTCCACTAAGTAATGGCTTCAAGACTCCACAGAGCATGGCGCTTGCTTGCTCTCCAGTAGTCAGCCCCTTGTAGTTAGTGTAGGGAGCCTCCAATAAAGCTGAGCCTGAGGCTAACCACATCTTCCTCTCAGTTCAACACATGCCTGCAAAATGTCTACCATGTGCCAAGCACTGAGCTCAGATGTCAGGGACACAAAGATATTTAAGGCATCTCCCACCTCACGGTCTGGTAGAGTGTTAGATGCCCTGACTCTAGCTTTGTTTTTCCCTTCTGGAAGTTCTTCACTTCCTTCCCAGCTTCCTGCCCCAGAATGCTTCTCTTCACCTGCTTTTGGCCAATTCACATCCCTTCATTTGACAAAGTGAGGCATACACTACTCTAGCCCCTTGCTACTCAAAGTGTGGTCCCCAGAACAGCAGTATCTGTATCATGTGGGGATTCGTTAGAAATGCAGACATTCAGGCCCCACCCAAGGCCTACCGTAACAGAATCTGCATTTCACCATGATCCTCACATGGTTTGGATGCACCACTCCACAAAGGCAGGGATTTTTGTCGGTTTTGTTCAATTCAATATCCCCAGTACTGAGAACAGTGCCTGGCACATAGTAGGTATGCAATCACTATTTGTTGAATAAACACCTAACTGTTCTGATTTATCCCCAACTCCCTTCTCCCTCTAGCCAGCCATTAACTCCCATTTCCATTACAGCTTTACTTGTCAACAGTTGCCAGCCTATCTGCAGATGTTTTATGTTTGTATGTTAAAGACACAAACGGGCCAGGGATCTGCTTTTTTTTTTTCTTTCCTCCTTTCGTGTACAGCCCCTAGTGTACATGATTCAGCCCAGCACATATAGAACTTTGAACACAGAGATAACACTATTAGCCTCCATGAATCTGCTCTTAATGCCACAGCATCCCTCACTTTCATTTGTGAAATAAGGATGATAATAGAACCCATCTCACTGGATTATTTCAGATTGACAAAGATCATGCTCATAAGGTGTTTGGCCATAGTGCCTGAAGCTCAGTAAGGGCTTATTAAAAGCAACTGCTGTTGGTAAAAGTAGTGCTAACAATATGATACCACTTTGTGTTTCTCTCCCTTTGTGAGCCTATGAATACAATCCTGTTCTTGTGATTCCCTACATCCAACCCCCTACAGAATGCAAAATGAAACAGGAAAGCACATGCCGGAAGCTCCCTATTTCTTGGTCTGTTTAGGATAGATAGAGGGAGGGCAGTGGTTAGAGAGTAAGGGGAAGAATCTCAAGCTATGAGAAAAATCCAAATATTAACTGGTGAAAATGATGGCCTTCTGCTCCAGAGTGGAACATGGACACACCAGAGTCAACAGGCATTTCTCTTCCACGGGTTGTACAGAACATCAATCTTGCTGGTTTTTTCCTAAGAGAAAGGCTTGGGGGCTTAGCCTGCCCTTAGAAGGTAGCTTTTCACCTTATCCCACAAGTGGTGATCACTGAGGCAGGCATCTGGGCCTGTAGCTATGACAGGTGTGGAGCAAGGAGGCTGAAACAACCTCTGTACCCACTTCCCAACCTGGCCCTGTTGCAGCCTTCCTCCTTTTCACAGGGGCTGCTAAGTCACTCTGTGTCACCTCCCTCCCTCCCTCCCTCCCTAGCTCTTTCACCCAGGAATTTTTCCAGAATCTTTAATATGAACCACATCAGGGGAGGGTAGTAGAGGGAGAAAGGAAAAGGGAGAGGGAGTAGTCAAGAGTACAAAATGGGAACTAGGAAGACCCCCATTTGGGTCTTTAGGAACCACTGCCAGGATGCTGAAATTACCAGAGTGACACTTCCTCACCCAAACACCAATTGGTCCCCAAGACTATATCCCAAACTGGTAAGAAGCAATCAAGAGTCCCAAAAAGCAAACTGCTGTCTGAGCCAGATAAAGATGGGCAGCGGTTACTTCATGTTGTCTCAACAAAGACCCTGAAGATGCCAAGTCCCCAGCCAGACCAAGCTCATGAAGGCAAAAGGTAGCTTTGATCTCACTCAGAACTTTGAAAGGTTTTTCTCCTCATCCCCCTTCTCCCCTTTCCCTTTCTAAAAGAATGTTTCAAGCCAGATGTAAGATATAGGCCTCTCTGTTCCCCCAACCAGAACCCCCCCTCCTTGCCTTCCCCAACACTGCAGAGATTTAAAAAAAAAAAATTCAAAAGAGATTTTTCTGAAACAGGAAAACAGGGGGTGGGGGTTGGGATAAGGAGAGACGGCATCTTGAAATGATAGGAATCTGCAGCCCAAGCTGGCGGGCCCCTCGGCCAGCTACCCCTCACCCTTCAGCCAAGATTCCAAGTCAAGAGGAGAAAAGCCACAGGGTGCAAGGAGAGAAGAGACCACATTTCGGGGAGGGGGGCTTGCACGGGAAGAAGAACGGAGTAAGGAAAGGACGGGAGGCACTGCCTGGTGGAGAGGGGCAATAGCCTAGTCCAAGAGGCCAGTTTGATTGTGGGGTGAAGAGGAAAGACTGAGTCTTTTCTAGGTTCAACTCTCCCTGCTTTGCCCTCTCCCCATGGTGGGGAAGAAGGGAAAGCAGCTCCTTCTCCTACGGGAAGGTGATGAGTGCCATCCAAGGAGTAGGGGGCAGGGAGGATTCTAAAAAGAACAGACACGAGACATCCAGTGGATCTGTAATGCCTTTTTGCCTCATCTGCCCTCTTGTGAAGTGTCTGGAGTCTAGGGCCTGCAAGAAATCTGGGGAGGGGGTCTCTTAGTATCTTGGGACTCCGCAGCCCTCTGGCTCTTGGAGGGGAGAAATGGGAGATGGGAAAGAATAGGAAGAAGGGAGGGAGGCAAAGTTTCCTAAGTGACATCCTCAAAACGGTGGCTGAAGACAAATGCCTAGATAATGCAAACCCATGCGTTTTGTTTGTTTTAATTGTGGGAGTTAATGGGGTAAATTTTGCCTCGATTCCATTTCTAAGCCTCGGCTGGGTGCTGCTGCCTCACCAAAGCCTTCCTGTGGTATGGGTGGGCTAGACTAGCGAGCTGCCCCTTTCTCCACCTCTCAGAGGGCGACCTTAGGCGATTGGGGCCCTGGCGAAGCTATTGCGGGCCCTGGAAGGTTATTCGTTCCTTGAACTCACCCTGAGGGAAACTCGGAAGGTAGCTTCTGCCCTAAGGGGCTTGAGCTGAAATAGAGGGGGTACAGCACGTGGAGGCCTAAGGAGCCGCGACCACCGGGCATCCTTGCTCCGAATGCCCAGCGCCTTTCTCACCAGTCGTGTAAGACGCGGCGCCTCACCCTCCCGCCACCCCGCGACTTCAGATTTCAGTGACAGTCCTGCCCGAATCGTCTCCAACCCGTCGAAGCAACAGCCTGGTCCCGTGAGCAGCCAGTCCCTCCAGGCGCCTCCGGCCTCTCCTACCAAGCGCCTCACCCGCCCAGCCTGAGAGCCACACTTACCACCAGGACGTGTCTACGCGGGCCGGCAGCGTCAGCAGCAGCAGGAGCAGAAGGCAGGCAAGACCTAGGCGGGCCGAAGCCCGGGAGCCGTCGGGGGCCGCGGGCGACGGCACAGGGACCGGGGCGCTGGCGCGCCGAAGCGGGAGCTGCGCAGCTTCCTCCGCACCACCCGGTCTCAGCATAGCTCCCCGAAGACTCCCGCCGCGCAGCCCGGAGGGGCGTGGACGGGGCACCTTCTGGGGGTACTCAGGCTGCTCCTACCTCACCCCCCTGGGGGGCCATGGTGTTCGCCGGCGGCTGGGGACCTAGGATCACCTGGGGTCCAGAGCCCGGGAGGAGGATCCCCGAGAGGGGCGCAAGTTGCGATGTCCGGAAGCCGACGACGGCGTGCCGAACCCGGGGTCTGGGGCGCGCTGCCTGAGGACCGGGTGCGGTGTCAGGGGGTCTGCGGCGCTGAAGGGAGCTGCGGGCCTAGTGTGCGGACAGCCCCTTCGGCCGCGGGCTCTCATTGGACGGGACGGGGCGGGGCCGAGGCCGGGGACACGCGCGGCCCTTAGGGCGGCTCCGCCCGCGCCAAGCCCGGGGCGCTCCGCGACGCCCTAGGTGTAGCAGCCGCCTCCGCCCCTCGGGGCTCCCGCGCGCCACCGCGCTGCACCCCCACCTGCTCCCGCACGCTGCGACGGGACGCCGCGGCTCCCTCCTGCGCCCCAAGCGCCCAGTCCCTGCCGACACCGCGCCACCGGGTCCTAGCGCCCTTCACTCAGCAGCCCCACTTCTATGGGTGACGGCCAGGCTGGCGGAGCGGGAAGGGGATGCGGGCACTTCCCTCCTGTCCCCAACCTACAGTGACACCGGCGCTGAGCACGGAGGATGCACTCATTTCCTCCATCCTTGCGCTTCTGTGAAATGGGTAGAGTCCCTGCCACCGGGAGTTGGAGGTCTTAACTACCTTTTCAACACTGCCTACAGGAGCGCCGTGGGCAGTCGGCTTCTAGCAGGGGATGCTTTCAGCTAGAGCTCATCGCCCCTGCTTCTTCTGAGCCACTGCACCCCCCACCCCCAATGCATCACGTTTAGACCTGGCTCCTGCTTGCCCGGCCTGCCCGGCCCGGGTGCTTTTCTTTACGGACCGGGAATCGACTGCCGACGCTAAGGGGGCACCTGCGGACTCCCCGCCCCTTACTCCTGGGCTCAGCGGAGCTCAGTCTCTCCCCGCTCCCCCTCTGTGCCTCGGTCCTCCACCCTCTCGGGCGGGGCTGAGAGTATGAAAGAATCAGAAACAGCTGGGAGGTTTTCCCGCACCAGAGGCCAGGGTGGGGGTCCTGCCGAGAGAGTGGAAGCCCTGGAGCTTTTTCCCTCCTTCGTCTTCTCGCCCTGCCTCCTCCCCACTGCTCCTTCACCCTCCCTCCGCCCGCACAGCGCCTGGGGGCGTGGTAAATAGGGAAGGGGTGGGGAGGTGCAGTCTGCCGAAAGAGACTCTCCTCTCCCCACCACCCCAACCCTCAAACCTCCCAGGATAGCAGGTACGGGCCCTGCGGGCACTGTGGCCCTCCGTCAGAAGTAAAATTCTTTTTAAAATCCTGGGCTTAACTTCGAGAGTTCAGAGTTCACCTGGGATCTGGCTCCAGTCGCTTCTTCAGCCTCAGTTTCTCCCACCTCGCAGGTGTCTTTCCTGCCTCCTCATATGATTTTAAAGTCCTGGGGTAAACAACTTACTAGTAACTGCCGATGCCCCCAACTCCAAATTCACTGTCAGTCTTTGGTTGGGGGTGGGGGGCGGTGGTGGCGTTAGAGGTGCCTCCCGAGTGTAAGCAGATGGGGTGCAGCTGGCTGCAGACATCTCAGAGACAGAGATAGTGGAGAAGGTTTCAGAGGAACCTTTAACCTCTCTCCCCACCGCCTCCGGGTCCTAGCGCCCCTCACTCCGCAGCCCCAACTTCTGTGGGCGGGCAGAGTGGGAAGGGGCTGCAAGCACTTCCCTCCTGTCCCCAACCTACAGTGACACTCCTTTACCCCCACTTTCTGTGGTAAGGTGATGAGTGCATTCATTAATTCAACAAATACTTATTTCCTACCACATGCCAGGACTGTGCTAGGCACTAGGGACCCATTGGTGAACAGTCTATGCCCTCATGGAGTTTGCCTTCTATTGCAGGAGGATAGACCATAAACAATAAACATCAGAAGTAAAACAGAGTATGTTAAAAAGTAGTAAGTGCAGTGGTAAAGAGAGCACAGTCAAGGGGATGGTTACAGTTGCAACTAGGATGATCAGGGTAGGCCTCATTAAGGTGACATGCAAGCAGAGATTTGAAGGAGGCAAGGAATCAAGCCAGGCAGCTTCCTGGTGAAGAGCATCCTAAGCCGAGGGCAGAGCCCGTACAGGGACCCAAAGGCAGGAGTGGGCTGGTGTACGAGGGTTATCGAGAAGGCCATCCAGCTGGAGCGGAGTGCGTGGAGGAAGAGAATTCAGATGAGTCCCTGAGGTGCTCCAAGTCATGAATGGGAGGCAGTGCTCCCCACTTGGGTGGAAAGTGGGGGCTGGGCTGGAGTTGGATGGGAGTTGGAGAGGACTGAATACAGACACTTCTCAGGGCCGACTTCCTGGCACAGAAACTGGGACCATATCCTTTGTGGCCAACAGGCTAACTTATTTTCTTCCCCTTCTCTCCCTTTCTTTTTGTCGGGTGGGCTCCAGTTGGCCTGGCTATTTCCTTAGAAAGGCACAGACTCTGTGCTTAGTTTTCCTGAGAGGGGCAGGTGGGAGAGGAATGAGCCCAGGCTCCTTCTTGGCTGGGCCTCTTTCCTTGGACCACTCTTTTACCTCCTCCCAACCCAGCCCCATCCCTACACAGGGCAGTCTTGGAGCTCCAGCAGCCTCTCCCAGACTCCCCTGTGTGTTTAGACCTGGGTGTGACTCTGGCCCTGTGTTTATTTCTACACAGGGCCTGGGGTTGGTGGAAAGCGCAGGGAGGGGGAAAGTTGGCTGAAGATGATCACATCAGCCCTAACCTAGAGTGGACTCGCCCACATGGGCCCCCAAATCACTTCTGAGGCCCCTTCTTTGGCCTGAGCTGTCTTTACAGTCAAGTGGGACTGTGTCTTGGCACAACACAGATGCTCAAGTATTAAAGCATGTTTTTGAGGCCCAGGCTTGGTGGCTTACGCCTGTAATCCCAGCACATTGGGAGGCCGAGTTGGGAGGATGGCTTGAGCACAGGAGTTAGAGACTAGCCTGGTCAATACGGTGAGACCCAAAAAATTTTTTAAATTAGCCAGGTGTGGTCATGCACACCTGTGGTCCCAGCTACTTGAGAGGCTGAGGCAACAGGATTGTTTACGCCCAGGAAGTCAAGGCTGCAGTGAGGCATGAATGCACCACTGCACCCAGCCTGGGCAACAGAGTGAGACCCTGTCTCAAAATAAATAAATAGAAATAAAAAAAATTTTAAAGCATGTTTCTGAGCTGAAGGGAGGGGTGAGGGGGGTACAGCCAGAAACATCAGCAGCTCTGAGAGGGAAGGAAGTGGGTGAGGGGACTAGACTTCTCTCTAAGGTTTACAAGTCACCTCTGCCCCCAGAGTGGACAACCTAGGATGAGGCTTGGCTCCTTCTGCTTCTTTGTCCCCTCTCCTCTGAGTCCCCAGTTCCCCGGGAGGAATCCCAGGCTGCAGGAGCCAGCTGACTGCAAGAGCTGCACTCAACCACTTAACTAGAGAACAAATATGGAGCCAGAGAAGAGGTTTTCTGGGATCTGCCTCTTTGGAGCTTCAAATCTCAAAATAAACTTCCAGTCTCAAGGTCCTAGACACTACTGGAGAGCTCAGCTCCTCACGCAAAGGCTTGTTGTGGGGCTGCCAGGCAGAGGGTCAAGGCCAGAGGCTCAAGCTAGCTCCTGACCTGCATCTTCATTTTATTCCACACTCTCACTCTCAGTTCTGGGAGCCAGAGGGAGGAGTCACTGATCTCAGAGTTAAGTTCTGGTCTGTAGAACCCTGCATGGAGTCAAGTCAGCACTTACTGAGCACCTGCTGTGTGCCCAACACTGGCCAGGGTATCCTAAATAACAAGGAGCAAAAGGCATTACTCCCAAGGCATTTTCATGGAAATATAATAAAACCGTCTGTGGGTGGCACACTAGGCTCTGCTGAAGTTCAAGGGTGCATGCTGCAGACATAGTGAACAGTATCAGTAGAGACCTGAGGAAGAATCCCAGGTCCCCTGAAAGCTGCCAGATTACCTGGGGCCTCCAGCAGGACAGCTTCCACCCAGCCAGCAGAGTCAGGTCCACCCTCTTCCCCATAGTGGCACTAGAGCCTCCTCCTGTCCTCTCAAAAGTGGGTGCCCAAAGAAGAAGGGTCCACTGTCACCCTTGATGTCACCTTATGCTCTGCTCTCTGGTGGGACAGAGTTAAGATTTCTTTTCACTCTGTTCTCAGCTATGCGTGGCTGAATGATTTTGAATTTTTGCTGGCCCTTGGATGGGAGGGGAGATGAGCTAAGGGGAGCTGGGGTGTGGGTAAACAGCTCTTACCCCACCCTGCTCTATCCTCCAGAAGGCTCCCCTTCCCTGGGCCCCTTTGGCGATGACCTTCTCTTTTTCCCGGTGGGTGGGAGGTGGTGTGGATGGTAATGAGCAGAGAGAAAGGCCAAGAAGGGGCTGGGGGGAGGTTTGGATGGGAGTCAAGGAATTCCTGAGCCTGCTGCTTGCACAAGGGGCCCTGAGACGCCTTTCCTGAGATTTCTTTGCAAACCGAGGCAGGTCTTATTTGAAATAGGGCCAGGTTCACACAGGTAACTAATGCCTCACCTCTTGCCCTGCCACCCCATGCAGGTGTCTGGGGAAGTAAAGGAAGCTTGGGAAGAACCCAGGAGCTGTTAAGGGGGGAAAAGAGTGGGGATCCACGCTTTGTACACAGCCTGGCCGGCCTCTCCTTGGTATTTATGAGCTCTTAGGCGAGGCGTGGAACGTGTCTCAAAGAGGCCAGACCAAAAGGGCTTTGGAGGGAAGGAGCATCCAGCTCCAAACCAGGAAAGGGGGCTTGATGGAGGAGAACCCCTTTCCTCCCAGCTAGTGGCTAAACAGGGGCACAAACTGCTCCCCTGAGGACTAGGAAGAAAGGAAGAGAGGGATGTAAAGGAGAAGGGGAAGGAGGAGAGGAGGCGTGGGGAGGTGAGACGATGGGGGCAGGGAATGGGGGTGTCTGGAGCCTTTTGGCACTTTGGCTGTAATCAGACTGGAGCCAGGCAGTGGGCGGGCTGACGGCCATTCCGGGCGGGTGGCCCAGGTTCTGTGTGAGGCCAGTGGGTGTGCTGCTGGGATCCTGGGTGGTCAACTGACCAGCCTCTCCCCAAGGGAGGGTTCCCAGTCTGCCTGTATCACACAGGCTAAGCACTAAGCCCTCTTTCTCTCCCTACCACCTGTTCTGGGCCCTAGAATGATCTGGAAGTGAGAGTTGTTTCCAATGGACAAATATCTGCAGAGGGCATGGCCTGCCTCCCTCCCACTCTGCCTTCCTCAGTTCACGCTGCCTCTTGTTCTCATACTCTCCCCATGTCTCTTCTCTGAGTCTCCATCTCCCTGGGTCTCTCTCTGGCTCTTGTTTCTGTCATTCTCTGTCTATTTGCATCTGTCTCTTGTGTTTATCTCCCTGTCTTCATTTGTCTCTCTATGTGTCTAAGTTGGCCTGCCTCCCCCTCCCTGTCTGAATGTCTCTGTCCTTCTCTTTCTGAATCCCTGTCTCTTGCCTGTCTCCCTGTCAGATTGTGTCACTCCCTGTCTCTCCGTGTGTATCTCTCTGTATGAATCTGTATGACCGTTTGTCTTGCTCTTTCTTCACTCTCTCCATCTGTCTCTCCATGTTGTTTCTGACTCTCTGTGGCTTTCTCCGTCTCTCTGTGCATGTGGGTGTGTGCGCACCTCTATTTTCCTTGGTGTGTATGTTTGCTTCTGTCTTCGTCTCTCTCTTTCTCTTGCCCTCTCTCTGTCTCATACCTCTCCCTTGCAGCTCCTGCAACACAGTGCAGGGAGCACTGGACCAGTAAAAAGTCAGAAAACCTGAGGGTTTTTTCCCCCAACTCAGCCATGCACTATTGGCATGACTCTGTAAATCACTTTCCCACTTCAGGCCTCAGTTTCCCCACTGGTGAAACAAGTAGGGTAGAGATCTAGTTCCTTCTGTGGGACCGACCGTCTTTCTGCTTCCTAAATCTGACCCTGAAGTCAGGACTGCAGTATCCCAGGGACTCCAGTGGAGTGGGGTCTCTGGTACTGTTAGCCAGCAGGCCCCCAAAGAAAGACTCCTCACTCCTTCACATCCTTACATATCAGGGTGGACAAGGTCCCTTTCTGGGGCCATGTCTGGGATACAAACCAGATTAGCTCATCTCTCTAATCCTCTTTGTGCTGGGGCCTCTGCCAGGCAGGGACACCCACAGCGCAGAGCAATGGTGTGTGTGTGAGTGTGTGTGCAGATTCTTGGAGAAGGCAGGACACTCAAAGTTCTCCTCCCTTTGTCACTCCCTCCTGCCTGAAAAGCTCAAATCAGCAGCCCTCACTGTGTAAGAAACATCATCAGACTTGAGCCAAGTCAGGTTTTCCATAATCCCTGTCCGCAATCCCCTCTCCCCCAATTTCCTTCTCTATAGCCTCTCTAAAACTGCACCAGTCATTTCAGCCGTCCTCCTGTTCCTGAAAAACCCAGAACCCACCCCCTCCTCCTCTCCTAACCCCTGTGTTATGTGTGTGTACTCTCCTCCAGTCATCACAGGAGAAGGGTCTTTCCATGAAAAGCCGGAGGGTGAGGCTGGGGACCGTGGACACGCAGGGTCGGGGGAGGGCGGGGAAAGCAGGCTGTCCTTGGGCTTCACACCCCCAAGTCCGAGGCCTCCAGCCCTTCTCTGAGGTTTCCTTTGGAGAGGTCTCTCTTGCCTGATAAGATCAAAGCATTCCCTCTGCCAAATCATTACCTTATTTTCGAGGCAATTAGAGAACTTATTGTATCATTTAGCCGGGTCTCCAGCTTTAGCTGTTTATCGCTGCTTGTCTCTGTCTTGCAGAGGAAAGGATCTGCCCGGCGCAGCCCTCCGGGCCAGAGAGGGGAGAGCGGGGTGCAGGGCAGGGCTCTGGCGGGCCCCAGGGCCGCGGCCCGGGGAGCTGTCCGGATGCTTTCAGCAGGGACGGGCAGCTGGAGGGCACGGGGACGCGCTCCTGAGAGGAGAGCCCGGTGGCTCCTCCCGGCGTCCGCCACGGCCGCAGGATCGCTCTCTCCCGCGGGCGCAGCACCTGCGCGCCGGAGTAGCCCGGGAGAGCGAGCCGCAGAGTGAGGGGAGACCGCTCAGGCCAGGCCTGGCCAGGGCCCCAGCCCCGGAGGAGAACGCTGAGCTTTAGCCAAGATTCCGGGCGCTTTCCGACTCGCGGGTGGGCGACTCGCCCTGTGAACCGGGCGCCGCGCCGTGGCGTTCGCGGGAAAGGCATGGCAGCCTGAGCTTCGTCTTCTTGGGGATCCCCGCGTTTCTGCCCGAAGAAAACCTTAGGAGCGGGCGTGGCACGGAGAAGTGGGTGTTCCCAAGGGCAGGCGAGTGTGGCCTACTTTGCTTCTGTCCAGACCACAACTCCTACCTGCAGACGAAGCGCGCACACACACCGGGGATTCGGGTCAGCCAGAGGATCCCTAGAGCGGTGGTTCTCAAACATTTTGGTCTCAGGACCTCTTTACACTCACAAATTATCAAGGACCCCAAAGAGCTTTTGTTTATGTGGGTAATAGCTATCCATATTAAAAATTAACATAAACTCAGGAGCCAACTGAAAAGTTCCCAGTGGCCAAAGCTGGACAATTTGGGCAACAAAACAAAACAGTTTTCGATTGTAACCCAAAGCATAAAATTAAATACCCATGAGTCCATGCTGATACAAATAAATGATTGAATGAATAAATAAATGGAGGAGAAGAGACAAATTTCCTATACAGAATCCCAAATAATGTATGTGGGTATTCTGCCCTGAAGGAGGTGACATACAACTCCCTACTACTTAAGTGTGGGCTATGCATCGTGACCTTTTTCCAAGAGTATTGTACAGACAGGGAGTGTGGAGGGGAAAAGCAACTTCACAGTGGAGAAAGCTGACAAATACAACCTCACTGGGTGATCAAGGTCAACATACCAGTGTCAGGTTGATAGTATGTACTCTTGATATGATGCGATAAAACAACACTTTCCCTCTGTGGTCCTCCTCCCCATTACCCCGGTCTAATCAAGAAAAAAACACCTGGTAAATTCCACCAGGGGGACATTCTACAAAATACCTGACTAGTACTCCTTAAAACTGTCAAGGTCATGAAAAACAAGGAAAGTCTGAGCAACTGTCACAGCCAAGAGGCGCCTAAGGAGACACGACAAGTAAATGTAATATTATAACTTGGATAGGATCCTGGAAAAGGAAGAGGACACTGGGGAAAAACTGAGGCGTTCTGAACAAAGTATGGACTTTAATTAATAATAATATATTAGTATTGGTCCACTGTTGTGACAACTGTACCATACATTTGTAGTGTAAGAAAGATGTTTGTAATCGGGAAAACTGGGATATATGGGCACTTTGTACTATCTTTGCAATTTTTCTGTAAATCTAAAAACTGCTCTAAAATATAAGATTTTAATTTATTTTTATTTTTTGAGACAGGGCCTTGCTCTCTTGCCCAAGCTGGAGTGTAGTGGCACGATCATGGCTTGCCCTGAACTCCTGGGCTCAAGCCATCTTCCCTCCTCAGTCTCCCGATTAGCTGGGACTACAGGTATGCACCACCATGCCTAAATAATTAAAAAAAATTTTTTTTAGTGACGGGGTCTCACTATGTTGCCCAGGCTGGTCTTGAACTCCTGGGCTAAAGCAATCCTCCTGCCTCAACCTCCCAAAGTTCTGGGATTATAGGCATGAGCTACTGCACCTGGCCTAAAATGTATTTTATCAGATCAAAATGGAAACATTTAAAAATATTTATTTTAATTTTTTTATTATTAGCGATAATAACCCCAATACTTGTTAATATTAATACCATATTTTTATGGGAAAATACCTATAATTTCCAAAACAAAAAGCATGAAAAGAGTGGCATTATTTAACATTTTTGCAAATACTCTATCTTTAATGTCCGGCTTAATAGCAGAATTCTCTTATGTGCTTCTACATTCAGTCTGGTGTGATAATGTAGCCTCTGGAAAGCTCCATTGTACATTCATGACAGAACGAGGGAAACATGAACAAATAACAGCTTAGTATTACTATGAACCTCTTGGAGAGTCACTACCTTAGCAATCTTATCCGTTACTGTGATTTGAGATCCTCAGTTCAAAGTTCCTAACTTTGACATCACTTTTGAGTTCTCTGATTATGCCTGTCGTCATACCCTCGCTTTTTTCCCAACCATCTACCCTTTTAAGACTCCCTGGTTCATGTCAACATGACCATCGTGCCTCTGCTCATAGCAGCTTTGTGGAATTAATGATCAAGACACTGTACTCCCCACTGTGCACAATTATTTAGCAATGAGACAGTTACTCCTGTCATTTCTCCTGAACATACTGAGAAGTGTTACAACTCCTAGAATAGTGAACAATATATGATTGTTGGATGATTAGAAACAATTCTGGAGTCTGAGTTATTTTTCTTTCTGATGAAATACCTTCACCCCTGCATAGCAACCTGAGTTTCCACCATGCAATGATAACACTCTGATTTAGTAAGTTTGACATTAAATATGTTAGCTATAGGGTTTTTGTACCTGTTTTTTAATCAAATTGAGGAAGTTTACCTCTATTCCTAGTTGATGAGAGTTTAATGAATGGGTGTGGGGTTTTGTTGTATGCTTTTTCTGCATTTATTGATATGATCATGTGATTTTTCCTTTTTAGACTGTTAATGTGACAGGTTATATTAATTGATTTTCAAATGTTGAATCAGCCTTGCATATCTGGGATAAATCCCAGATGGTGCCTAATTCTTTTTATACATTATTGGACTTGATTTGCTAATATTTTGTGGATTTTTGCATCTGTGTTCATGAGAGATATTAGTCTGAGTTTTCATATAATGTCTTTGTCTGGTTTTGGTATTAGAGTAATGCTGGACTTATAGAATAAGTTAGGAAGTATGTCCTCTGCTTCTGTCTTCTGGAAGAGATTGTGGAGAATTGCATTGTTTTGGTCTTAGTGGAAGTGGCTTTTTTTTTTTTTTTTTTGAGACAGTCTTGCTCTGTCGCCCAGGCTGGAGTGCAGTGGCGTGATCTTGGCTCACTGCAACCTCCACCTCCTGGGTTCAAGCCATTCTCCTGCCTCAGCCTCCTTAGTAACTGGGATTACAGGCGCACGCCACCACGACCGGCTAATTTTTGTATTTTTAGTAGAGATGGGGTTTCACCATGTTGGTCAGGCTAGTCTCAAACTCTTCACCTCGTGATCCACCTGCCTCGGCCTCCCAAAGTGCTGGAATTACAGGCGTGAGCCACCGCGCCCAGCTGGAAGCAGCTTTGAAATTGGGTAATGGATAGAGGCTGGAACGGTTTTGAAGTGAATGATGGAAAAACTTACATTGGTGTGAATGGAGTATTAAGGGTGATTCTACTACACTAAAGGATCAGAAAAGAAGAGCTATATAGGGAAAGCTTCTCTCTTAATGATTACCTAAGTGATCATGACCAGAATGCTGGTAAAAATATGGACAGTGAAGACTATTCTGATGAGGCCTCAGATGGAAATGGGAAACAATTTCCAAACTGGAGGAAAGGCCATCTTTGTTACAAAGTGGCAAAGAACTTGACCGTGTTATGTCCATGTCCTAGAATTTAGTGGAAGGCAAAATTTAAGAGTGGTGAACTAGTGCAGCCATTAAAAAAAAAAAGAGAGAGATTGGCTGGGTGTGGTGGCTCAAGTCTGTAATCCCAGCACTTTGGGAGGCCGAGGTGGGTGGATCACCTGAGGTCAGGTGTTTGAGACCAGCCTGGCCAACATGGTGAAACCCTGTCTCTACTAAAAATACAAAAATTAGCCTGTAATCCCAGCTACTTGGGAGGCTGAGGCAGGAGAGTCACTTGAACCCAGGAGGTAGAGGTTGCAGTGAGCCAAGATGGCACCACTGCATTCCAGCCTGGGCAACAGAGTGAGACTCCGCCTCAAAACAAAACAAACTAAAAAAAAAAAGGAATGAGATCATGTCCTTTACAGGGACATGGATGCAGCTAGAAGCCACCATTCTCAGCAAACTAACACAGGAACAGAAAAACAAACACTGCATGTTCTCACTCATAAGTGGGAGTTGGACACAAGGAGGGGAACAACACACACCGGGGCCTATCGGGGGTTGGGGGGGAAAGGGGACAGAGATCGTTAGGACAAATATCTAATGCATGCGGGGCTTAAAATCTAGATGACGACGGGTTGACAGGTGCAGCAAACCACCATGGTACATGTATACCTATATAACAAACCTGCACATTCTGCACATGTATCCCGGAACTTAAAAAAAAAAAAGAGTGATGAACTAGGATATTTGGTGGAAGGAATAGCTAAGCAGCAAAGTGCTCGGGGTACTACATGGCTTCTCTTAACTGCTTATAGTAAAATGCAAGCAGAGAAACGATTTTAAGATGGAATTTCTTAATAAAAAAGAGAAGCAAAATGTAGAGATTTGGAAAATTCTCAGCCTCGTCATGTAAAGAATAAAAAAGCATGTTTAGAGAGAAAACCAAAGGTGTGGCCAAGTGACTGTTTGGTAAGGAGATTAATAAGGATAGAAGGAAGTCAGGTGGTATTCATCAAGACAATGGGAGAATGACCCAAAGACATTTTGGAGGTCTTTGTGGCTGTTGTGCCCATCACAGGCTTTGAGTGGTAGGGCCTCAGAAGCAGAATGTTATTGGGGGAGTGCCTAGGGCACCTGTGAGACCTCAGGATTTCCTGCCCAGGGCCATTTAAAATCTTTGCTATGTGGGTCTAGGTGCAGCTGGGGCTGCTGCCCCAGAAGGCACAAGCCATAAACCTTGGCAGCGTCCATGTAGTGCTAACTCTGCAGGGACGCACAGTGCAAGAGCTGTGGAGGCATGGCTACCTCCATCTAGATTTGAAAGGATGCCTCAGACAACCTCAGGGCCCGGGCAAAGACTTGCTGCAGGAACAGGGCTGCCACAGAGATCCCCACACGAAGGCAATACCTAGTGGAGTTGTGGGGGCAGGACCACCCCTGAGACCTCAGACCCGTTGAGGCATGGACTTGCAATGCCAGCCTTGGGAAAGCCACAGGTACCCTATTCCAACCCATAAGAGCTGCTGTGTAGGCTGGTTCCAGCAAAACTGTGGGAGTGGGGCTGCTCAGGGGCTTGGGGGCCCAACGCTTGTGGGAAGTGTGTCTGGAAGGCAGGACATGGAGTCAAAGAAGATTATTCTCCAGTCATAGGATTTAACGTTGTTTGCCTTGGGTTTTAGACTTACTTGGGACCTGTTACTCCTTCTTTCTGATTGCTCCAGTTTGGACTAGAAATGTAAGTCCTGGGCTGGGCACAGTGGCTCACGCCTGTAATCCAGCACTTTGGGAGGCTGAGGCGGGCAGATCACCGGAGGTCGTGAGTTCGAGACCAGCCTGACCAACATGGAGAAACCCTGTCTCTACTAAAAATACAAAAGTAGCCGGGCGTAGTGGTACATGCCTGTAATCCCAGCTACTCAGGAGGCTGAGGCAGGAGAATCACTTGAACCCGGGAGGAGGAGGTTGTGGTGAGCCAAGATCATACCATTGCGCTCCAGCCTGGGCAACAAGAGTGAAACTCCGTCTCGAAAAAAAAAAACAAAAAAGAAAAAGAAACGTCTGTCCTACACCTGTCCCACTATTACATTTTGGAAGCATGTAAGTTGTTTGGTTTCGTGGGCTCATAGCTGGAGGGAAATTTGCCTCAGGATGAATCATGCACTGAGTCTCACTCATATGTGATTTAGATGAGACTGTGGACCTTAGACTTTTGAGTTGATGCTGGAATGAGTTAAGACTTTGGGGGCTGTTGGGATGGAATGAGTATTTTGCACATGGGAAGGACATGACTTTGTGGGGGCCAGAGGCAGAATGCATCCCTTCTAAAATTTGAATGTGTACCTTCTAAAATTCATGTTGAAACTTAGCCAGGAGTGCTGGCAAATGCCTGTAGTCCTAGCTACTCGGGAGGCTAAAGCAGGATGATTCCTTGAGCCCAGGAGGTCGAGGCTTGCAGTGAGCTATGATTACATCGCTGTACTCTAACCTGGATGACAGAGGGGGACCCTGTCTCTAAGAAACAAAAACAAACACCCATCCATCCCCCATGGAATTCATGTTGAAACTTAATGGCACTATTAATGTGACACTATTGAAAGGTGGGGTCTTCGGGAAGTAATTAAGTTATGAGGGTGGAGCCCTCCTGAATGGGATTAGATGCCCTTATATAAGGGCTTCACAGAGGGAGTTTATCCTTTTTGCCCTTCTGCCATGTGAAGATCCAGCAGTCCTCCACTCTGGAGGATTCAGCATTCAAGACACCTGGCCCTCACCAGACAAGGAACCTGCCAGCACCTCGATCTTGGACTTCCCAGCCTGCAGAACTGTGAGACATAAATTTCTGTCCTTTATAAACTGCCCAATCTGTGCTATTTTATTACGGCAGCAAAACAGATGAAAATAGTGTTTTTGTTTATATTTGATTTCTTATAGACAACAGATATTGTTGGGTCTTATTGTTTGATCAGTCTGACAATCTCTGTCATCAAATTGGTGTATTCAGACCATTGTGGTTTAAAGTGATTATTGATATAGCTGGATTTTTTTTTTTTTTTTTGAGACAGAGTCTCGCTCTGTCACCCAGGCTGGAGCGCAGTGGCGCGTTCTTGGCTGGCTGCAAGCTCCGCCTTCTGGGTTCACGCCATTCTCCTGCCTCAGCCTCCCTAGTAGCTGGGACTATAGGCACTCGCCACCATGCCCAGCTAATTTTTTTTTGTTTTTTTTGTATTTTTAGTAGAGACGGGGGTTTCACCATGTTAGCCAGGATGGTCTCGATCTCCTGACCTCGTGATCTGCCCACCTCAGCCTCCCAAAGTGCTGGGATTACAGACGTGAGCCACCACGCCTGGCCTATAGCTGGATTTATATCTACCATATTTGTTACTGTTTTCTGTTGTTGCTTTTATACTTTGTACCTATTTTTGTCTTCTGCTCTTTTATCTGCCTTTTGTGGTTTTAAATAAACATTTCATATGATTCAATTTTCCCTCCTTTCTTAGCATATTAGTTATACTTATTTTTTTACATTGCTTAGTGGTCAGAATAGACATTTATAACTAACCCAAATCCACTTTCAAATAATACTATACTGCTTCATCAGTAGGGTGAGTACCTTGTAATAACAAAATAATACTAGTTCCTCCCTCTAATCCCTTGTATTATTTCTGTCATTTATTTCACTTGTACATAAGCATGTGAATATATATAAGCATACATAATCAAATATACTATTGCTATTTTTATTTTGAACAAACTGTTATCTGTTAGAACAATTAAGAATATGAAAAGTTTTTGTTTTACCTTCACTTGTTCCTTCTCTGATGTTCTTTCTTCCTTTAAGTAGATCCACGTTTCTGACCTATTATTTTGCTTCTCTCTAAAGAATTTCTTTTAACATTTCTGGCAAGGCCAGTCCAATGGCAACAAATTCTCCTATTTTTTGTTTGTCTGAGACAGTGTTTACTTCACCTTCATTTTTAAAGGATAATTTCACATGGTTCAGATTTCTAAGGTAGTGGTTTTTATATCTCAATACTTTAAATATTTTACTCCAGCCTGGGCCCTTCTCTACAAAAGAGAGACTTTGTCTCTACAAAAATAAGATAAAATAATTAGCCAGGTGTGGTGGTGTGTGCCTGTGGCTCTAGCTACTCAGAAGCTGAGGCAGGATGATTGCTGGAGCCCAGGAGGTCATGGTTGCAGTGAGCCATGATTGTGCCACTGTACTCTAGCCTGGGTGATAGAGCAAGACCGTGTCTTAAAATATATATATTTTTCTCCGCTTTCTTCTTGCTTGCATAGTTCCTGAGGAGAAGGTAGATATAATTTTTTTTTTTGAAACGGATCGTCTCTCTGTTGCCCAGGCTAGAGTGCAGTGGCACGATCTCTGTTCACTGCAACCTCCGCTTCTCGGGTTCAAACGATTCTCCCGCCTCAGCCTCCCGAGTAGCTGGGACTACAGGCGCACGCCACCAAGCATGGCTAATTTTTGTATTTTTAGTAGAGATGGGGTTTCACCATATTGGTCAGGCTGGTCTTGAACTCCTGATCTCAGGCAATCCACCCGCCTCAGCCTCCCAAAGTGCTGGGATTACAGGCATGAGCCACCGCGCCTGGCCGGTAGATGTACTTTTTATCTTTGCTTCTCTATAAGTAAGGGTTTTTTTCTCATCGCTGGCTTCTTTCAATATCGTTTTTTTTTTTTTGTCTTAGATTTTTTGCAGTTTTAAATATGATATGCCTAGGTGTAGTGTTTTTGTCGTTGTTGGTTTCGTTTTTGTCATTTAATCTGCTTGGTGTTCACTGAACTTCTTGGACCTGTGGTTTGGTGGCCAACATTAATTTGGGGGAAATTCACAGTCATTGCTTCAAATATTTCTGTTCCTTTCTCTATTTTTTCTCTTTATGGTATTCTCATTATACATGTTATACCTTTTATAGTTGTCCCGCCGTTCTTGGTTATTCTTTTTCTTCTTTCTAGTCTTTTTTCTCTTTGCTTTTCAGTTTTGGTTTCGTTTTATTTTTGAGATAGGGTCTTGCTCCGTTGCCCAGACTGGAGTGTAAGGGTGTGATCACAGCTCATTGCAGCCTCAGTCTCCCAGGCTCAAGTGATCCTCTCATCTCAGCCTCTTGAGTAGCTGGGACCACAAGCGTGCACCACCATGCCTGGCTGATTCAAAATACATTTTTTTGTAAAGGCAGGGTCTCACTATGTTGCCCAGGCTGGTCTCGAACTCCTGGGCTCAAGCAATCCTCCCAGCCTCCTGAAGTGCTGGGATTACAGGTGTGAGCCATCATGTCTAGCTGCTTTTCAGTTTTGAAAGTTTCTTTTGAGGTAGCCTTATGTGCAGAGCCTCTTTCCTCAGCTGGACCCAGTCCACTAACAAACTCATCAAAGGCATTCTTTCGTCGTAGTGCTATTGATGGAGCAGGATCTCTAGCATTTCTTGCTTCTCCTTTCTCTTTGTTAACATTGCCTGTTTTTGCATGCTGTCTACTTTACCCATTAGAGAGAGCTCTTAACATATTGATCACAGTTTTTTAAAAATTCCCAGTATGATAATTCCAATATCCCTGCCATATCTGAGTCTGGTTCTGGTGCCTGTTTTGACTTTTCAAACTGTCTTCTTTGCATTTTGGTGTGCCTTGTAGTTTTTTCTTGATAGCCAGGCATGATGTATTAGACAAAAAGAAATGCTGTAAATAGGCATTTAGTAATGTGTTAAGGTGTTAAGAAGTGAGGAAGCATTCTATAGTTCTATGCTTAGGTCTCTGTCATTTAGTGAGCCTGTGCCTCTGGACTGCGCACCTCGCAAAAGCTTCTCAATCCTTCCACTCCTTAGGTAGTATAGGATGGTTAGAGTGGGATGGAATTTAATATTCCCTTCCCCAATGTAAAGGCTACAGCGGGCTGAAACTGGATATTTTCCTTCCCCTAGTTTGGATAGACTCTGCAAAAAAAGTAATAATAAAAGCTTAGGTTCTGGCAAAATAGTTTCTCTTGAGAGAACAGGACTTGTTAAGAAGAACAGAATGCTTAGGTGTATTTAGAAATGGTTACTTTTCCTTCCCCCAGCCAGAAGCACAGGGGATATTTTTCTGATATTTACTGTGAGAACCTGGTGAGCTCTAGGAGGTAAAACTCACAATATGTGAGGTCCTCCCATGACTGGCTTCCCCTGGAGTTTTTAATTCTCAGAGTTGTCCATACTGAGTCTCCAGCAATTCATCAATTACAGCTCAGGTTTTGGTACCCTGGTACTGGTTCCTGCTCATGGGTTTCTGCTCTGGTAAGCTGTGATTCCCTGCATTTGCCTGCCTGTCTCTGCAATTTAGGAAGCAGTGGTTTGCCCTGTGGCCTCATGACTCTGGTGGATGTAAGAAGGGTGTTGATTTTTCAGTTTGTTCAGGTTTTTACTTATTGTTAGGCTGGGGCGATGACTTGCAAGCTTTTTACATGCCAGATGGGAAATTGCTAAATCTTGAGTGTCTTTTTTATATTGATTTATAATAGTTTCTTTACATATTGTGGAAAATAAGTCCTTTGTATATATTTTGAAAATGTCTTTTCCTATTCTTTTCTTTCTCTCTTAATTTTATTTACGTGACTTGTCATACATATATGTTTATGGCTTCCAGGTTACTATCTTACTTAGGAAGTTGTTCTCACTCCCATGATGATGAAACTCATATCCTAAATTTTCCCTAATACATTTATGAACATAAATAAAATTATTTTATTGGAAAAAATTTTTTGAGACAAGATCTTGCTCTGTCACCCAGGCAGGAGTACGGTGGCACAATCATGGCTCACTGCAGCCTCAAATTCCCAGGCTCAAGTGATCCTCCCACTTTAGCCTCCTGAGTAGTTAGGACCACAGGTGTGGGCCTCCATACCTAGCTAATTTTTTTATTTTAAAAATTTTCTGTAGAGATGTGGTCTATGTTGAATAGGTTGGTCTTGAACCCCTGAGCTCAAGTAATCTGCCCGCCTTGGCCTCCCAAAGTGCTGGGATTACAGGTATGAGCCACCGCACCTGGCCCTCCCTCCAATCCTTCTAACTCTTTGTGTTTATTTACCATTTTCCCTTGGCCTGAAATGCTCTTCCTGTCTTCTAATTAGCTGATTCCTGCCCTTCTTTCAAGGCCCTATTCCATGTAGTCTTTCCTGAACAGTTCAACATGTTCTTAGCCTCTTCTGAAATGCTATCTGATCTGTTGACTTATTTATTTATTTATTGAGACGGAGTCTTGCTCTGTTGCCCAGGCTGGAGTGCAGTGGTGCAATCTCAGCTCACTGCAACCTCTGCCTCCTGGGTTCAAGCAATTCTCCTGCCTCAGTCTCCCAGTAGCTGGGATTACAGGCGCCCACCACCACGCCCAGCTAATTTTTGTATTTTTGGTAGAGACGGAGTTTCACCATGTTGGCCAGGCTGGTCTCGAACTCTTGCCCTTGTGATCCACCCGCCTCAGCCTCTGAAAGTGCTGGGATTACAGGCACGAGCCACCGTGCAGGCCAATTTATTTTTTATAATTGGTTATCTGACATTTTAATTATCATGTACCTTTGCAAACACTTGTTGAACGCTGACTGTGTAGGTATGCCAGGTACTGCCGTCCTCAAGGATCCTTCAGTCTGGTCGGAAAAGAAAACACAGGCGCAATTTAACATAATAAATGCTATGGATTTTCAGCAGGAAGAGGAGTGATTTGTAGATTTATTTAGGGTAGAGCTATTGGGAATCCAGGGGGGATCTTTCCGGAAGAGGTAAATTTTGGCCTAGACCTTGATAGATGAGTAGGATTTGAAATACAAAAATGGGCATTTTAGTCTTTTCATTAAGAATATGAGTTCTTTGGCCGGGCGCGGGGGCTCACGCCTGTAATCCCAGCACTTTGGGAGGCTGAGGTGGGCAGATCACGAGGTCAGGAGATCGAGACCATCCTGGCTAACACGGTGAAAGCCTGTCTCTACTAAAAATACAAAAAATTAGCCGGGTGTGGTGATGGGCGCCGGTAGTCCCAGCTACTAGGGAGGCTGAGGCAGGAGAATGGCGTGAACCCGGGAGGCGGAGCTTGCAGTGAGCTGAGATCCTGCCTCTGCACTCCAACCTGGGAGACAGAGCGAGACTCCGTCTCAAAAAAAAAAAAAAAGAATATGAGTTCTTTGAGAAAAGTAATTTATTGTTCTCTTATCTCTCTCTCTTTGAGCCCCTTTCTCACTCACACTTGGAAGAACACCTTTGGTACAGGTTACATTGAAAACAGAATCCCTAAGAAGCCTTTCTCTCAGCTTCTCTCTCAGAACGAGGAGGTGATCCCAAGGCCGATTTTCTCTACCTGGATTGTGAATTCCCTCCTCTTCCAAGTCCCCCAGGACCTTTCTCCAACAGTTACTTGTCACTCCAGAGGTTTTTGTTGTCTTTGTACAGCACATGCAGAGAGTCGAGTTAATGCTACTGCTTAGTTCTTAACACTGATCATCATCGACCTGTGCGAGGTGTCTCTCTTGTTTGTTTCTTTATTTCCTGTATCCCATTTCCCACTCTTATTCCTTCCCCTGGTAATAGGCATCCACTCTAATGTAACTGAAATATGCACTTGGATATATATGTATTCTTTTATGTTGTTTGCATGTGTATTTCTAATTTTTAATTTTTATAAATGATATTCTGACATGAAGCTTGTATTAGACTTGCAGCAGTAAGAAAAAAATCCTAAAATTTAAAATCCTAAAAACCAGTAATTGTGGGTGGAGACTGAAGTTCTCTTCCTCCATCTTCTCACTTTAGGATCTGGGCTGAAGGAACATACTGGCGAGGGACATGCTATATTTTCTTGCAAAAGGAATAGTAAAAAAAAAATAGGCAGAATTTGTGATGTTTCTTAAAACTTCAGCTTGAATTGGCATGTGTCACATCTGCTCCCACACATGATAACTAAACTCAACAATGGGATGAGGAAATATATCCATTGCGAGTATTGGCATTGCAAGTTTTATGACAACTGGTAGAAGGGAGTGAATTGCTGGGAATAATGCAATGGACTTTAGACCTCTTTGGGTTTTTTGTTTGTTTGTTTTTGAGACAGAGTCTCCCTCTGTCACCCAGGCTGGAGTGCAATGGCGTGATCTCGGCTCACTGCAGCCTCCACCTCCTGGGTTCAAGTGATTCTCCTGCCTCAGCCTCCCGAGTAGCTGGGATTATAGGTGCCTGCTGCCATGCCCGGCTAATTTTTTTTTTGTATTTTTAGTAGAGATGGGCTTTCACCATGTTGGCCATGCTGGTCTTGAACTCCTGACCTTTTGTAATCTGCCCGCCTCGGCCTCCCAAAGTGCTGGGATTAAAGGTGTGAGCCACTGTGCCTGGCCTTTTTTTTTCTTTTTCTTTTTTTTACACTCTCATGTTAAAAAAAAATCTGTCCTTGTTACTATATAGATGTGCATAGTTCATTCCCTCAAAGTGTTGCACTGTATTCTGTAGTGATAGCCACCACAATTTGCTACCTGTTCTCCCAGTGAACATCTAAGTACCTTGAACCCATGCTATCAAAAATATCAAAAAATGCCTCCGCAAACATCTTCATACCTGACCTTTAAGAGTGCAAATTTATCTGGGATTGCTTGGTTTTAGGATGCACAGATGCTTAATTTCACTGCAATTTACACTCTCACAACAGTGAATGAGAATTCCCATTTGGGAGGCCTAGGTGGGAGGATTGCTTAAGCCCAGAAGTTGGAGACCAGCCTGGGTGACATAGGAAAATCCTGTCTCTAAAAAAACGGTAAATAAAGGGCCAGGCACAGTGGCTCATGCTTGTAATCCCAGCACCTTGGGAGGCCGAGGCAGGCAGATCACGAGGTCAGGAGATCGAGACCATCCTGGTTAACATGGTGAAAACCTGTCTTTATTAAAAATACAAAAAAAAATTAGCCGGGCATGGTGGCGAGCGCCTGTAGTCCCAGCTACTCGGGAGGCTGAGGCAGGAGAATGGTGTGAACCCGGGTGGTGGAGCTTGCAGTGAGCCAGGATCGTGACACTGCACTCCAGCATGGGCGACAGAGCGAGACTCTATCTCAAAAAAAAAAAAAAAACAGTAAGTAAATAAAGAAGGAAGGAGTCTTCCCTTCCATAGTGCAACATCACTAAACACTCTTTAGTTATTTACAGCATTTACAAAACAAGGCAGGTAAGGCAGGTAAGGAAGAAGGCCAATCTAATCAGATAAACAAAGGTTTTGACTGCCTGTCATGTGACTCAGGTGCCATAATCGTGTTCCCTTAAGGCGCAAAATATTTTAGAGTTTGTGTGTGTGTGTGTGTGTGTTTTGTTGTTGTTGTTTGTTTGTTTGAGACAGAGTCTTGCTCTGTCACCCAGGCTGCAATGCAGTGGAGCGATCTCGGCTAACTGCAAACTCTACCTCCCTAGTTCAAATAATTCTCCAGCCTCAGCCTCCCAAATAGCTGGGATTACTAGGCGTGCACCACCCTGCCCAGCTAATTTTTTTATTTTTGGTAGAGACGGAGTTCCACCATGTTGGCCAGGCTGATCTCTTCAAACTTCTGAGCTCCAGTGATTTGCCCGCCTTGGCCTCTCAAAGTGGTGGGATTATGGGCGTGAACTACTGTGCCTGGCCAGATTTTGTTTTTAAAAAATTTTTTATATGAGTCGTCTACCAACAGCTTAGATTTTTTTTTTTTTTTTTTTTTTTTTTGAGTCAGAGCCTCTCTGTGTCACCCAGGCTGGAGTGCAGTGGCGCAATCTCGGCTCATTGCAACCTCTGTCTCCTTGGTTCAAGCAATTCTTGTGCCTCAACCTCCTGACATAGCTGGGTTTACAGGCATGTGCCACCATGCCTGGCTAATTTTTGTAATTTTAGTAGAGACAGGGTTTCACCATGTTGGCCAGGCTGGTCTTGAACTCCTGACCTCAAGCAATCCACCCGCTTCAGCCTCCCAAAGTGTTGGGATTACAGGCGTGAGCTACCACACCCAGCCCAGCTTAGATTTTGAATTACTTATTTCCACAAACTACTTCAATACTTATACTGTTTTTCACTTTAGTATTCAATAAATTACATGAGATATTCAACACTTTATTATAAAATAGGGATTGTGTTAGATGATTTTGTCCAACTGTAGGCTAATGTGTTCTGAGCACATTTAAGGTAGGCTACACTAAGCAATGAGATGTTCAGCAGATTAGGTGTCTTAAATACATTTTTGACATGGTATTTTAAATTTATGATAGGTTTATTAGGAGGTAACCCTGCTATCATAAATTGAGAAGCATCTGTATATATTTCTTATTATATCACACCTTTGTAATCACATTTCTATTCTCTTTGCTCCCTCCCCCAATCCCCAGGCAACCACGAATCTTTTATTTACTGTATCTTATCTTGCATTTATAGAATTTTAAATAAACAGAATCATATAGTGTGTATTGATTTTAAATGTCTTCTTTCACTAGCATAATTGAGATTCATTCATGTAGCTGCATTCTTTTTATTGTTGAATAGTATTCCATTGTATGGATATATCACAGTTTACTTATCTATTCACTTGTTGATGGCTATTTGGGTAATTACAAGTTTTTGGCTTTGACATGTAAAACTGTTATGAACATTATTTTACAACCTTTGCATAGAATATACCCTCATTTCTTTTGAGTAAATACCTAGGCATGGGATAACTGAATCATGTGGCAGGTTAATGTATGTTTTCTAAAGAAACTATCGAAATATGTTCCAAAGTTGTTGTATCATTTATACTCCCATTTGCAGTTCTAGTTGCTCTACATTCTCGTCAACACATAATATAAAAAGTTCTTTTAATTTTAGGCTTTCTAGTAGGTATGTATTGCTATCTCATTGTGGTTTTAATTTGCATTTCCCTAATGACTAATGATCTTTTCATTTGCCTACTGTATGTCTTTTTTGAAGTTTCTAGTAAAATATTTCCCCTATTTTTATTGGGTTTTTTTTTTCTTATTAACTTTAGAAAGTTCTTCATATGTTCTGGATATAAGTCTTTTATTAAATGTGTGATTTGAAAGTATATTCTCCTAGTTAATGGCTTGTCTTTTCATTCTTTTAATAATGTTTTTGAACAGCAGAAGTTTTAAATTTTGATAAAGTCCAATTTATCAATTGGTTCTTTATGGGTAGTGCTTTTGGTATGTTCTTTTGTTTTGTTTTGTTTTTGAGACAGGGTCTGGCTCTGTTGCCCAGGATGGAGTGCAGTGGTGTGACCTTGGCTCATTGCAACCATTGCCTCTGAAGCTCAAGCCAACCTCCCACATCAGACTCCTGAATAACTGGGACTACAGGCACTTAACACCATGCCCAACTAATTAAAAATTTTTTTGTAGAGATGGGGTCTCGCTATGTTGCCCAGGCTGGCCTCAAACTGCTGAGCTCAAGGGATCCACCTGCCTTGGCCTCCCAAAGTGCTAGGATTACAGGCATGAGCCACAGCACCCAGCCTGGTGTGTGTGTGTGTGTGTGTGTGTGTTAAAAACTCATTATCTTGCCCAGGCTGGTCTTGAACTCCTGGGCTCAAGCAATCCTCCCAGCCTTCCAGTAGCTGGTGTTTTATCAAATCAAACCCAACAATATATAAAAAGATAATACATAAATGACCAATTGGGTTTATGGAAGGAATGCATAAATGGTTTAATATTTGAAAATCAATCAATGTATTTCACCATATTAACAAGTCAAAAAATCCCATATGATCATGTCAATGAATTCAGAAAAAGTAGCTGGGATTAGAGGCACATGCCACTGGGCCTGGCTGCTTTTGGTATATTAAGAGAAATCTTTACCTAACCCAAGGTTACAAAGATTTTCTGTTACATTTTCTTCTAGAAGTTTTACAGTTTTTTTAGGTTTTACATTTAGGTCGAAAATATATCTTCAGTTAATTTTTGTATATGGTGTGATGTATGGATCAAAGCTTAGTTTTTGCATATAGATATCCAGTTGTTTCAGTACCATTTATTGAAAAGATTACGCTTTCTCCATTGAATTGCATTTGCACCTTTGTCAAAAAATAAACTAAGCACATATTTGAGAGACTGTTTCTGGACTCTTCATTCTGTTTGATTGATATGGTGATATAGTTCTTTATTTCTATTCCAATAAAACGTAGTCTTCATGACCATAACCTTTTTTTTTTTTTTTTGAGACAGAGTCTCACTTTGTCGCCCAGGCTGGAGTGCAGTGGCACAATCTTGGCTCACTGCAACCTCTGCCTCCTGGGTTCAAGCAATCCTCGTGCCTCAGCCTCCTGTGTACCTGGGATTACAGGCACCTGTCACCATGCCTGGTTAATTTTTGTATTTTTAGTAGACACGGGGTTTTGACATGTTGGGCAGGCTGGTCTCAAACTCCTGACCTCAGGTGATCTGCCAGCATTGGCCTCCCAAAGTGCTGGGATTACAGGCATGAGCCATCATGCCCCCAGGCCTGACGACTATAACTTTATAAAAAGCTTTGAAGTTAGATAGTGACATTTTCTAATTTGTTTTTATTATTCAAAGTTGTTTTGGTTATGTTAGGTCCTTTGCATTTCCATACAAATTTTAGAGTTAACTTGTCAATTTCTACAAAAAAGCCTGTTGGAATTTTCACTGGGATTGCATTAAATCTATATATGAATTATTTGGAGAGCACTGAATTCATAGCCATATTGTCTTCTGATTTATAAACACAGTATATCTCTCCATTTATTTAGAACTTCAATTTGTCTTAGCAATGACTTGTAGTTTTTGTGTATAAGTCTTGCACATCTCCTGTCAGATATCTTTACATTTAGTATTTTTGATGCTATTATAAATAGTATTATTTATTAATTTCTACTTCCATTGCTAATATAAAGAAATAAACCTTTTTTTTTTTTTCAAGAGGGAGTCTTGCTCTGTCACCCAGGCTGGAGTTGCAGCCTGAACTCCTGGTCTCAAGCAATCCTCCCACCTCAGCCTTCTGAGTAGCTAGGACTACAGGCACATGCCAGGCATGGAGTTTGGTGATTTAAAAAATTTAAATTTAAATTTAAAAAATTTTGGGGGCCAGGCACAGTGGCTCACACCTGTAATCCCAGCACTTTGGGAGGCCCAGGTAGATGAATCACTTGAGTCCAGGAGTTTGAGACCAGTCTAGGCAATGTAGTGAAACCTTGTCTCTACAAAAACAAAAACAAAAAAAAAATTAGCCACTCAGGAGGCTGAGGCAGGAGGATCATTTGAGCCTGGGAAGTAGAGGTTGCAGTGAGCTGAGACTGCACCACCAACTCCAGCCTGGGTGACAAGTGAGACCCTCTTCTCTCTCTCTCTCTCTATATATATGTGTGTGTATATATATATATATATATGTGTATATATATATGTGTATATATATGTGTATATATATGTGTATATATATATGTGTATATATATATAAAATTTTTGGAGACAAAATTATATATAAAAATGATATATATAATTTATTATATAAATTATTATATAAAATTGTTAAAATTATTATATAAAATTATATATATATAATTTTTGGAGACAAAGTCTCACTATGTTGCTCAGGTTCGTCTTGAACTCCAGGGCTCAAGTGATCCTCCCACCTCAGTCTCCTGAATAGCTGAAATTATAAGCGCAAGCCACCATACCTGGCTTTTGTCTTTTTGATAATACTAATTCTAACAGGTGTGAGGTGACATTTCATTTGATTTGCATTTCTCCGATGATTTCATATACTTATTGGCCATCTGTATGCCTTCTTTTGGGAAATGTCTATTCAGGTCCTTTGCTCATTTTAAAGTAGGGTTATTTATTTATTTTTTAAATTTATTCTCTCTTTCTTTTTTTTTTTTTGTTATTCAGTTGTATGAGTTCCTTATATATTTTAAATGTTAACCTCTTATCAGATACATAGTTTGAAAATATTTTCTCCCATTCCTTAGACTGCCTTTTTTCTCTGTTGTTTCCTTTGCTGTGCAGAAGCTTTTTAGTTTGATGCAGTCTCATTTGTCTATTTTTGCTTCTGTTGCTTGTGCTTTTTGTGTCACATCAAAAAAAAAATCATTTCCCAGGCCAATATCAAGAAAATGTTCCCCTATGTTTTCTTCTAGGAGTTTTATGGTTTTAGCTTTTAAGCTTAGATCTGTAATCCTTTTTGAGTTGATTTTTGTATATAGTGTGAGACATGGATCCAATTTCATCCTTCTGCATTTGTATATCCAGTTTTTCCAACACTATCAAGGAGATGATCCTTTTCCAATTGTGTGTTATTGGCATCCTTGTTGAAGATCAGTTGACTATAGATGCATGGATTTGTTTCTGGGAGCTCTATTCTGTCCCTTTGCTCTATATATTGTTTTTATGCAAGTACCATACTGTTTTCATTACTATAATGTGTGTGTGTGTGTATATGTGTGTGTGTGTGTGTGTGTGTGTGTGTGTGTGTGTGTGTATCTATGTTGCCCAGGCTAGAGTGCAGTGGCTATTCACAGGTGCAATCATAGCACACTGCAGCCTCAAACTCCTAGGCTGAAGCATCCTCCTGCCTCAGACTCCACTCCCAGGTAGCTGGGACTACCCTGTATCTGGCTATAATACATTTCAAAATTGGGAAGTGTGATTAATCCAGCTTTGTTCTTGCTCAAGATTGCTTTGGACATTCTAGGTCTTTTGTCATCCCATGTGAATTTTAGGATTCTATTGTCTATTTCTGTAAAGAATACCATTGGGATTTTGATAGGGATGGCGTTAAATCTGTAGATCACTTTGGGTAGTATGAACATTTTACCAATATTTTTTCAATCTATGGACATGCGATATCTTTTTCATTTATCTATAATGTTATTTAATTTCCTTCAATGTTTTATAATTTTAGTGTACAAGTCTTTTTGGCTAAGTTTATTCCTCAATATTTTATTCTTTTTGTTGCTAATGGGAATGGGATTGTTTCCTTAATTTTCTTTCTGACTACTTTGCTGTTTGTGTCTAGAAATGTGACTAGGGCTGGGCATGGTGGCTCATGCCTGTAATTCCAGTGCTTTCGGAGGCTGAGGCAGGAGGATTGCTTGAGGCCAGGAGTTTGAGACTAGCCTGGGCAACATAGCAAGACCCTGTCTTTACAAAAAGATAAAATTAGTGGGGCTGGTGGCATGTGCCTGTAGTCCCAGATTATCAGTAGGCTGAGGCAGGACGATTGCTTGAGTCCAGAAGTTTAAGACTACAGTGAGCTATGATAACATCACTGCACTGCAGCCTGGGTGACAGAGCAAGGCTCTGTCTCAAAATTTTTTTATGTGATTATTATTATTATTTTTTGACACAGGGTCTTGTTCTGTCATCCAGGTTGGAGTGTAGTAGCACAATCACGACTCACTGCAGCCTTGACCTCTCGGGTTCAAACTATTCTCCCACATCAGCCTCCCAAATAGTTGGAACCACAGGCATGCACCACCGTTTAAATTAGCCTGGCTAATTTTTTTTTTTTTTTGAGATGGAGTTTTCACTCTTGTTGCCCAGGCTGGAGTGCAATGCACAATCTCAACTCACTGCAACCTCTGCCTCCCAGGTTCAAGCAATTCTCCTGCCTCAGACTCCCAAGTAGCTGGGATTACAGGCATGCACCACTGTACCAGGTTAATCTTTTGTATTTAGTAGAGATGGGGTTTCACCATGTTGGCCAGGCTGGTCTCAAACTCCTGACCTCAAGTGATCTGCCCGCCTCTGCCTCCCAAGGTGCTGGGATTACAGACGTGAGCCACCATGCCCGACTAATTTAAAAAAATTTTTGTAGATATGGGGGTCTCCTTATGTTGCCCAGGCTGGTCTTGAATCCTGGACTCAAGCAATTCTCTTGACCTGGCCTCCCAAAGTGCTAGGCTTATGGGCATGAGCCACCACGCCTGGCCTGATTAATTTTTTTATGTTGATTTTTGTACCCTGCAAATTTACTGAATTCATTTATTAGTTCTAACAGTTTTTTCATTGAGTCTTCTGTGTTTTCTATGTACATGATCACACCATCTGCAAAGAAGGATAAGTTTACTTCTTTTTTGTTTGGATGGCTTTTTCTTGTCTCATTGCTCTGGCTAGGACTTCTAGTACTATGTTGAAAAGAAGGTGAAAGTGGGCATCCTTGCCTTGTACCAGATCTTAGAAGGAAAGCTTGTAGTTTTTCCCCATTGGTTATGATATTAGCTGTGGACTTTTCATAATGGCCTTTATTATTTTAGGGTAAGTTTCTTCTGTACCTCTTTTGTTGAGAGTCATGAATAGATATTGTACTTTGCCAAACGTTTTTTCTGCATCTATTGAGATAATCACATTTTTTCTTTAGCTAATATGTTGTATCACATTGATTGATTTTCATACGTTGAACCATACTTGCATTCCAGGGATAATAAAACAAATGAACAAATAAATAAGCAAATTGCACTTGCTCAGGGTGTATAATTTTTTTTTTTTTTTGAGACGAAATTTTGCTCTTGTTGCCCAGGCTGGAGTGCAGTGGCGCGATCTCGGCTCACTGCAACCTTTGCCTCCCAGGTTCAAGCAATTCTCCTGCCTCAGCCTCCTGAGTAGCTCGGATTACAGGCACCTGCCAACATGCCCAGCTAATTTTTGTATTTTTAGTAGAGACGGGGTTTCTCCATGTTGGTCAGGCTGATCTTGATCTCCCGACCTCAGGTGATCCATCCACCTCGGCCTCCCAAAGTGCTGGGATTACAGGTGTGAGCCACCATGCCCGGCCTATGGTGTATAATTTTTATAATGTGCTGTTGAATTAGTTTTGCTAGTATTTCATTGAGGGTTTTTACATCTAAGTTAATCAGGTATATTGGCCTGAGGTTTTCTTTTCTCGGAGTATCTTTGTCTGGTTTTGGTATCAGGGTAATTTTGGCCTTGCAGAATAACTTCTGAAGTGTTCCCTTTTCTTCTATTTTTCACAAGAGTTTAAGAAAGATTAGGTGTTCATTCTTTTTAAAATGCTTGGTAGAATTCACCTATGAAGCCATCTGGTTCTGGGCTTTCTTTTTTGGGAGATTTTTTGAGTACTGATTCAGTTGCCTTATTTTTTATTGGTCTGTTCAGGCTTTCTATTTTTTGCTTCAGTTTTGGTAGGTTGTATGTTTCTAGAAATTTATCCATTTCTTCTAGGTGATCCTGTTTGTTCCTGTTTGTTGGCATGTAATTGTTCATAATAGTCCTTTATACATCTTTTTGTTTCTGTGGTATCGGTTGTACTGTCTTCTCTTTTTTTTTTTTTTTTTTGAGACGGAGTCTTACTCTGTCACCCAGGCTGAGTGCAGTGGTGTGATATTGACTGGCTGCAACTTCCACCTCCCAAGTTCACGTGATTCTCCTGCCTCAGCCTCCCAAGTAACTGGCATTATAAGTGCCTGCCACCACGCCTGGCTAATTTTTGTATTTTTAGTAGAGATAGGATTTCACCATGTTGGCAAGGCTGGTCTTGAACTCCTGACCTCAGACCTCAAGTGATCTGCCCATCTTGGCCTCCCAAAGTGCTGGGATTACAGGCATGAGCCACTGTGCCCAACCATAGGTCTTTTCTTTATGGTTAGCTTGGAGTTGTAACTTATTTTTAGTTGATAACAACTTAACTTCAGCTGGGTGCAGTGGCTCACGTCTGTAATCCCAGCACTTTGGGAGGCTGAGGCAGGCAGATCACGAGGTCAGGAGATTGAGACCATCCTGGCTAACACCGTGAAACCCCGTCTCTACTAAAAAAATACAGAAAATTAGTCGGGCATGGTAGCAGGTGCCTGTAGTCCCAGCTACTTGGGAGGCTGAGGCAGGAGAATGGTGTGAACCCAGGAGGCAGAGCTTGCAGTGAGCAGAGATGCGACACTGCGCTCCAGCCTGGGAGACAGAGCGAGACCCCGTCTCAAAAATAAAACAACAACAACAAAAAAACTTAACTTCAATTGCTTACAAAAACACTAGACTTTTACTCTCCATCCCTGCACCCCTGCACACTTTGTGATCTTGTTGGCTGCTGGCTTGTTTTTATACTGTATATCCATTAGAAAAAAAATTTTTTTTAAAATGGAGTCTCACTCTGTCTCCCAGGCTGGAGTGCAGTGGTGTGATCTTGGCTCACTGCAACTTCTGTCTCCCAGGTTCCAGCGATTCTCCTGCCTCAGCCTCCCAAGTAGCTGGGATTACAGGTGCCTGCCACCACAACCGGCTAATTTTTGTATTTTTAGTAGAGACGGGGTTTCACCATGTTGGCCAGGCTGGTCTCAAACTCCTGACCTCAGGTGATCAGCCCGTCTCGGCCTCTCAAAATGCTGAGATTATAGGCATGAGCCCCCACGCCCAGCCCCTGCAAATTTTTGTCTTATGTTTTGTTTAATCTTATTTGTAGTTTTATTTTTATTTATTTATTTATTTTGAGACAGAGTTTCACTCTTGTCACCCAGGCTGGAGTGCAATGGTGCAATTTCAGCTCACTGCAACCTCTACCTCCTTGGTTCAAGCGATTCTCCTGCCTCAGCCTCCTGAGTAGCTGGGATTACAGGCATGTACCACTACGCCCAGCTAATTTTTGTATTTTTAGTAGAGACAAGGTTTCACCATGTTGGTCTGGCTGGTCTCAAACTCCTGACCTGAGGGGATCCGCCCACCTTGGCCTCCCAACGTACTGGGATACAGGTATCAGCCACTGCGCCCAGCCCTTTAGTTTTATTTTTATAGACAGAATCTTGCTCTGTTGCCCAAGCTAGAGTGCTGTGGTGTGATCATGCCTCACTGCAACTTCAAACACCTCTGCTCAAGCAAGCCTCCTGCCTCAGCCTCCCTGGTATCTGGGACTACAGGAGTGTGTCACCACACCTGGCTAATTTTTAAATTTTTTTTGTGGAGATGAGGTTTTGCCATGTTGCCCAGGCTGGTCTCAAACTCCTAGGTTTAAGTGATCCTTCCACCTCAGCCTTCCAAAATGCTGGGGTTACAGGTGTGAGCCACCATGCCCAGCCTCTCCTTCATTTTTAAAGGAAAATTTTTCTAGGAATAGTATTCTTAAATGGCATTTTTTTTTCTTTCAGTACTTGGGTTATATCACCCTATTTTCTCCTGGTCAGCAAGTTTTCTTCTGAGAAATCTTCCAATAGTCCCATCGAGTCTCCCTTATATGTGATCAGTTACTTTTCTCTTACTGCTTTCAAAATTCTCTTTGTCCTTAACTTTTGGTAATTTGATTATAATATGCCTTGATGTAGTCTTCTTTGGGTTGATTCTATTTGGGGGCTATTTGGTATCATGAATCTGGATGTCTATATCTCTCTCAAGATTTGGGAAGTTTTTAGCCTTTATTATTTTTTTTTAATAAGCTTTCTGCCCTCTCTCCTACTTTTTCTTTTTTATTTTCTCTCTCTCTCTTTGAGACAGCATCTTGCTTTGTTGCCCAGGCTGGAGTGCAGTGGTGCAATCACAGCTCATTGCAGCCTTGACCTCCTGGGTGCAAGTGATCCTCCTAACTCAGCCTCCTGAGTTGTGGAGACCACAGGCATGCACCATCACACCCAGCTAATTTTTACATTTTTTGTACAGACCAGGTCTCACTATGTTGCCCAGGCTGGTCTTGAACTCCTGGGCTCAAGTGATCCTCCTGCCTTGGCCTCCCAATGTGCTAGGGTTACAGGCATGAGCTACAGTGCTCAGCCACTCTTCTGGTTTTGGAACTCCCAAATACATATATTGATTTCAGTGATGGTATTCCATAAATCCCATAGGCTTTCTTTACTGTTTTCCATTCTTTTTTCTCTTTTGTCTGCTGACTAGATAATTTCAAATGATGTGTCTTCAGGTTCACAGATTTTTTTTTAAAATTATTTTGCTTGATCAAGTCTGCTGTTGAAATTCTCTATTGTATTTTCAATTTCATTCATTGTATTCTTCAACTCCATAATTTGTTTGGTTATTTTAAAATGATTTCTATCTCTTTCTTGAACTTTTAATCTGTTCTTGTATTGCTTTTCTGGTTTCACTGAATTCCCAGTGTCTTCTTGTAGCCACCAAGCTTCCTTAAACAATTATTTTGAATTATTCTTTAGGTAGTTCATAGATCTCTATTTCTTTGGGGTTAATTACTGAAAAATTATTGTGTTCCTTTGGCGGTGTAATATTTCCTTGATTTTTTTATGTTTCTTTAGCCTTGTAGTGATGTCTGCATGTTTGAAGTAATAGCCACCTCTTCCAGACTGTATGGACTCATTTCAATAGGGAAAGACCATTTATAAGTGGGCATGAAGATGCTGTCTGAGTTGGGTGTGGTGGTTCTAGCTCTGGGAAGCCACAGCATCAGCTCCAACTCCATGGTGGGTACAGCAGCATACTCTCTATAAAGCTCCATCAGCTGAGATCAGCATGGCCAATGGCTCTGGAGGCCCTCAGCAGCCAAGGCTGTGGGTGTACACAGCAGCAGAAAAAGTTGCTTGGGTACTCTAAATATAAAGACATGTATAGGGTAAATTATTATTGACTACCCCACCCAAATGCAACAGCAAAGGCTGCTGGCATTTTCCTGTTCTCTTATTCCTGCTTGGGGGAACTTCACAGCTGATGGGATCCCTTTTTGTGCCAGATCCACAGTGCAGGTGTGCTCATGTTGGTAGTGGTGCTGGTATTTGATGCTTGGTTGCACACAGAACAGCCATGGCTCTATGATCTGGGGTACAGGTGTGCCCATGGCAGTGGTGGTGCCAGTGTCAGAAGTGTCCATCATACATGTAGCAGCCTTGGCTCTGGGGTCTAGAGCATACATGCAATTGTGAGACGGTGAGTTGGTAATCTTGGCCACTGGGGACACAGCAGCTTCTTCTCCAGGGGGACACAGCAGCATGGACCCTGGAAAGCTCTGTCAGTTGAGATCATCACTGGTGGAAACTGCAGGGGTCCTCAGTGGTAAAAGTGGTCAATGTTTGCATTGGTGGCAAAGGATGCTGGGGTCCTCCTGCTCTACTTTTCTCCCACAGGTGGAGGTTGTGGGTTGTGTCCAGGAGATGCCTCTTGGTGCAAAGCTGTGCTTGGACTGGGGGATGGGGTGGAGTAGGTAGGATACTTTCTGTATTTTTTAATATGGCTATCTTGGTTTGTGTGGTCCTTTGGGTTGCTGCAAGTTTTTCATTGTACTCTGCAGCTCTCCCAGAGCTATTTTGGTTGGTATGTAGTTGTTTATTCGTTGTTTTTCTCAGTGGGGGATGGGCATTACCTTCTCATCCACCATCTTGGTGATGTCATTTGAACTTCTATTTGCTTAACTGATTTTATATCTTTCTTCTTTTTTAATATAGGCATTTAGTGTTATAAATTTCTCTTTAAGTACTCAATCTGTGTCCCATAAATATTGATATGTTACATCTTCCTTTTCATTCAGTTCAAATTATTTTCTAATTTCTCCTTTAATTTCCTTTGACCCATGGGTTATTTGGTAGTGTGTTATTTTCCAAATATTTAGGGATATCCCAGAAACCCGCATTTTATTTACTCTAATTGAATTCCATTGTGGCCAGAGAACATAATTTGCATGATTTAGATCTTTTAAAATGTATTGAGACTTTTCAGTAGCCAAAAATATTGTCTATCATTGTAAATGTTCTATGTGTGCATTAAAAAATAATATGTATTCTGTTGCATTTGGGTGGGGTAGTCAATAATAATTTACCCTATACATGTCTTTATATTTATATTGGATTTCTTGTGGGCAGCATATTTTTGAGTGTTTGTCTTTAAAATACAATTGGACAATCTCTGCCTTTAATTGAGTTGTTTAGGCTATTTAAATTGTAAGCGATTATTCATATAGTTAGCTTAAATCAATAATGTTATTTTTCTACCATAGGTTCTTTGTTCTTCTTTCCTTCTTATAGATTATTTTTATGATTCTATTTTTATCTTCTTTGTTGCCTTATTAGTTTTGTTTTGCTTTTTTTCATGGTTGCTTTATGGCTCATTGTGTACATCTTTAACTTATTGTGGTCTAGCTTCATGTGATATTATGCCGATGAATTTACAGAATAAGAATCTTACTACAGTATATTTCCATTTCTCTTCCCTCAGCGTTTGTGCTATCATTGTCATACATTTTATTTCTACATATGTGAAAAAGCCCACAATACACTGTGATAACTCTTTAGAGAGATTTAAATATTTAAAGAAAAGTTATTGTTCTTTAAATCTCTTTAAAATGGGTAAGTCTTTCATATTTACCCATATGCCTACCATTTTTTGATGCTCATCATTCCTTTGTATAGATGCAGATTTGTTATTAGTTTTATTTTGCCTGAACTACTTCCTTTAGTATTTCTTGTACTGCAGTTCTGCTGATGAGGAATTCTTTCATCATGTGCATGTTTGAGAAATATCTTTATTTTGCTTTTTGTGTGTGTGGGCAAATCTCACTTTAATTGCTAATGATTTTATTTATAGCACACCCAATAATGAACCAAGAGGAGAGATGATGACTCTCACACATCAAGGAAAGCAATCTGTATTAGTTCATTCTTGTATTGCTGTACAGAAGTACCTGAGACTGGGTAATTTATAATGAAAAGAGGTTTAACTGTCTCATGGTTCTGTTGGCTGTACAGGAAGCATGATGCTAGCATCTGCTCCCTTTCTGGGGAGGCCTCAGGAAACTTAACAATTATGGTGGAAAGTGAAGGGGTAGCAGGCACATCACATGGCCAAAGCAGGAGCAAGAGAGAGAGCTGGGTGTGTGTGTGGGGGATTGCTACACACTTTTAAACAACCAGATCTCTCAAGAACTTACTCATTATCATGAGAACAGCACCAAGGGTGCTAAACTATTCATGAAGGATCCATGCTCATGATCCAATCACCTCCCACCAGACTCCACCTCCAACATTGGAGATCACAATTCGACATGAGATTTGGGTGGGGATACAGATTGAAACCATAACACGATCCTCATTTTTCTGAACGGTGTTTCACATTTTAAAAAGTGACTATCGCCATTGTTTTTGAAAGGTATTTTCACTGGGTTTAGAATTCTAGGTTGACAGTTTTTTTCCTCAGTAGTCTACCACTAACTGCTCCACTGTCTTCAGGATTGTGTCATTACTAATGAGAAATCTCATGTTCTTTTATGTTTGTTCATCTGTATGTAATAGCTTTTTTTCCTCTGGTTGTTTTAAAAGTGTTCTCTTGGCCAGGCATGGTGGCTTACGCCTGTAATCCCAGCCCTTTGGGAGGCGGAGGCAGGCAGATCACGAGGTCAGGAGATTGAGACCATCCTGGCTAACGCGGTGAAACCCCGTCTCCACTAAAAATACAAAAAAAAATCAGTCAGATGTGGTGGCTCACACCTGTAGTCCCAGCTACTTGGGAGGCTGAGGCAGGAGAATCGCTTGAACCCGGGAGGCGGAGGTTGCAGTGAGTCGAGATTGTGCCACCACACTCCAGCCTGGGCGACAGAGTGAAAATCCATCTCAAAAAATAAAAATAAAAAAGCATTCTCTTTATCATAGGTTTTAGGCTTTTTGATTATGATGTTTCTTTTTCTTTTTCTTTCTTTTTTTTTTTTTTTTTTGAGACAGAGTCTCTCTCTGTCACCCAGGCCGGAGTGCAGTGGCCCTATCTTGGCTCACTGCAAGCTCTGCCTCCTGGGTTCATGCCATTCTCCTGCCTCAGCTTCCCGAGTAGCTGGGACTACAACTGCCTGCCACCACGCCCGGCTAATTTTTTTTTTTTTTTGTATTTTTAGTAGAGATGGGGTTTCACTGTGTTAGCCAGGATAATCTCGATCTCCTGACCTCATGATCCACCCGCCTCGGCCTCCCAAAGTGCTGGGATTACAGGCATGAGCCACTATGCCCAGCCGATTATGATGTTTCTTGTTGCAGTTTCCTTCATGTTTCTTATGCTTATATTTATTGGCTTTTTTTGTATCTGTGAATTTATTATTTTCATCAAATTTGGAAAATCTTGGCTATTGTTTGTTCAAATATTTTTCTTTGGGGATGCCGATTAAACTTACATTAGGTCACCTGAATGTGACCCAAAGCTCACTGATGCTTTGTTCATTAAAAAAAATTTCTTATGCTCTGTGTTTTATTATGGATTGCTTTTATTAATATTTCTTCATATTTAATAATCATTTCTTCCACAATGTGTAATCTGTTGCTAATCTCATCCATTTTTTTTTAATCTCAGATACTGGGATTTTCATCTCTAGAAGTTTGATTTTAGTTTTTCTGCATCTTTCATGTCTCTAGTTACCAAACTCAATCTTTTCCCTATCTCCTTGAATATACAGTACAGTTATAATAGCTATTTTAATGTAATTGTCTGCTATTTCTGTCATTGTGTTATTTTGACCAGCCTGCCTTCCCTCTCTCCCTCCCTCCCTCTTTTCCTTCCTTCCTTCCTTCCTTTCCTCTCCCTCCCTCCTTCCCTCCCTCTCTCCTGTCCCTCCCGCCCTCCCTTCCTCTCTTTCTTTTCCTTCCTTCCTTCTTCTTTCTTTCTCTTTTTTCTTTCTTTTTTCCCTTCCTTCCTTCCTCCTTCCGTGTTTCTTTCTTTCTTTTTCTTCCTTTCCTTTTTCTTTCCTCTCCCTCTCCCTTTCTCCCTCCTTCCCTCTCTCTCTCTCCCCTTCCCTCCCCTCCCTCCCTCTCTCTTTCTCTTTCTCTCCTTTTTTTTTTTAGTATTGCTTTGTTGCCCAGGCTAGAGTGCAGTGGCATGATCACAACTCACGGCAGCATCAATCTCCCAAGCTCAAGTGATCCTCCCACCTCAGCCTCCTGAGTAGCTGGGACTCCTGGCACACACCACCACACCCAGCTAAATTTTGTATTTTTTGTAGAGACAAGGTTTCTCCATGTTGCCCACCCTGAAGTAATTTTCAAGGATTGAGTTTTCTTCTAATTATTTGCCATATTTTTCTACTTCTTTGTAATTTTTTATTGGATGCCAGACATTGTGATTTTTACCTTTTGACTGCTGGACATTTTTGTTTTCCTATACATATTCTTGAGCTTTATTCTGAGACATAGTTATTTAGAAACAGTTTTATCCTTTTGAGTCTTTTTTTTTTTTTTTCATTGGTTGGGGGTTGGTGGGAACAGAGCATCATTTATTCTAGGGCTTATTTTGGCCCACTATAGAGACAAAACTCTGAAGACTCTTTGAATGTGCTGCAAATTATGAGATTTTTCATTTTTCGCTAATGAGAACAGAAACTACTCCCAGTCCCATGAGATCTCTGAGTAGTTTCTTCTAATCCTTTTGGGTGGTTCTCTCATTGGTCTTGGGTAGTTTCCTCATACATTTGCTGATTAGCACTTAGTTGAAGACTCCAGGGGAGGCCTCTCACATCCTCTGGTGATCTCTCTCACTGAAGCTGTCTTACATCCAATACTCTTCCCTCCCAAGACTCCCAGCTTTACCTCCTGAACTTAAGGAGATCATGAGGCCATGCCTGGAATTCTCCTTCCTGTTGGGGGGCAATTATAAGACTCACTTTGTTTCCCATCTGTGTCCTTTGTTGTCTGATCGTCAATGTCTTTAATATATTTGGCTTAATGCTTAGTTTTTTTTTAGGTGTGAGAATAAATCCAGTTCCTGTTACTCTATTTTGAAGTCAGAAGTAGAATTCTTGAAAATAAAAAACCATATATCTATCTTTTGACTTCATACTCCTTGATTACATCTTCATATGTATGCTGCATTTATAATTATGTACACTGCATCACTGACCAGTTTCCTTGGCAAGAGATAAATTTTGTTTTGGCTAGGATTTAATAAGAAATTAATTGCCCACTTATAATTTTACACAGCTGAGAACTAGATGAATTTTCTATAGATGTGTTCTGGCTCCACATATTCCAAACTTGTTTCTCCTTTGCTTCCCACTTTACTTTTAGTGCCAGATACTACAGGGTATATTCCTAGAATACAACCTTTGGCACTGCTGCTTCATGTCATTATGTCAGGTCAGGCAGCACATGGATTGATGGGAGTATTCCTAGAAGCTATTCCTATTGGCGTGGCTAGCATAAACTCATGGAAGTGACGGCAAACCACAGAAATCTCTCAAAAAACTGAGATAGGGGTTCAAAATGGCTGACTAGAGACATTAGACACTCACTCTTTAAAGAAGGAATCAATAATTGTGAATAGATAATCATACCTCCAATAGAACATCTAGGAGAGAACACTGGAGTTCAACAGAGAAGTTATGGGAAATACCTGAGGCACAGATGGAGCAGGAAGTGAGTGGTCAACTCAGCCAAGGTTGGCGGTGAGAATCCCTCTGCTATACACATCCCTGCTGCAGACTGCTGCAGTCCTAACCATGAGAGAGCTCCTCTACCCATACAAACTCTGAGACTAGTGTGGGTGGTGGTCTGGAGGCCCTGTCAGGGCATCTCACCAGACAGGGGACTCATGCAGGGTCACATGCTTCCCCAAGACGTACGTGGCTGCAGCACAGCACCATTGTGAAAGCACAGCCACCACTGGACTGCATCCTGCCCTGGGAACCACACCCTCCTATGTCCACATTTCAGAATCCCCCACTGATGTCCCTTAGTGTCCACTCAGAGGGTTACAGTGGCACAGCACTGGCTGGACCCAAATGTGCACAGGGTCCCCAGTACCCTGGCCCACATGAACTACTACTCCTCAGGAAAAGGATGGTGCCACACACCAAGGAGGAAGCCCCTGGGACACAGTCACAGTAAGCCAGAGCAGACACTTTCCAGACCCTGTGAGAGCGACCTTGCCCCCAGCAGTGGCACAGACTCTATTCTGGGGCTCATAATCGGAAAGTGGAATTCCTTCCACCCATCCCACCGCCTCCCCTTCCTCCCCCACACCCACACAAATGCAGCAGTTGCTGCCACCAGGAGCCCAAGTGGGTGAGCCTGAGAGCTGACTGTCTGGGGCCTGGGCAGTGACCCTACCCCCACTGGTGGAGCAGCCTCAGTGCTTAGGCTCATGCATAGAGAGCGGACGCCTTTCCCCCATTTGTACACCATAGCAGCATGATTTATTATTTATTTATTTATTTAGAGACGAGTCTCACTCTGCCACCCAGGCTGGAGTGCAGTGGCGTGATCTTGACTCACTGCAACGTCTGCCTCCTGGGCTCAAGTGATCTCACACCTCAGCCTGCCAAGTAGCTGGGACTACAGGTGTGCACCATCACACCTGGCTAATTTTTATATTTTCAGCAAAAATGGGCTTTCACCATATTGGCCAGGCTGGTCTCAAACTCCCGTCCTCAGGTGATCCACCCGCCTCAGCCTCCCAAAGTGCTGGAATTACAAGGGTGAGCCATCGCACCCCGCTGAGAGTGGCATGATATATTTAAAGTGCTGAAGGAAAAAACTTTTACCCTAGAAAATTATATCTGGTGAAATTATCCTTCAAACATGAAGGAGAAATAAAGACTTTCCCAGAAAAACAAAAGCTGAGGAATTTCATCAACACCAGACCTGTCCTACAAGAAATGCTAAAAAGAGTTCTTCAATCTGAAAGAAAAGGTCATTGAGCAATCAAAAATTATCCGAAGGTACAAAACTCACTGGTAATAGGAAGTACACAGAAAAACACAGAATATCATAACACTGTAATTGTGGTGTGTAAACTACTCATATCTTGAGTAGAATGACTAAAAGATGAGCTACTCAGAAATAATAATCACAACAATTTTTGAAGACATAGTACAAGAAGATATAAATAGGCCGGGTACGGCGACTCACACCTGTAATCCCAGCACTTTGGGAGGCCAAGATAGGTAGATCACCTGAGGTTGGGAGTTTGAGACCAGCCTGGCTAACACGGTGAAACCCCATCTCTACTAAAAATACAAAAATTAGCCAGGCATGGTGGCATGTGCCTGTAATCCCAGCTACTCGGGAAGCTGAGGCAGGAGAATAGCTTGAACCTGGGAGACGGAGGTTGTAGTGAGCTGAGATCGCACACTGCACTCTAGCCTGGGTGACAGAGCTCCGTCTCAAAAAAAAAAAGGAAAGAAATCTGATTTACAATAGCTAAAAAACAAACAAACAAACAACAAAAAACCTAGGAATAAACTTAACTAAGTAGGTGAAAGATCTCTACAAGGTATACTACATAAAACTGATGAACAAAATTCAAGATGACACAAACAAATGGAAAGGCATTCCATGCTCATGGACTAGTATAATTAGTATTATTAAAATGACCATACTGCTTGCAGCAATCTACAGATTCAACGCAATCCCCATCAAAATACCAATGTCATTTTCCGCAGAATAGAAAAAAAATACTAAAATTTGTATGGAACCAAAAAAGAGCCAGAATAGCCAATGTAATCCTGAGCAAAAACAATAAAGTGGATATATCACACTATCTTCAGATGTGTCTTCAGAGTCACTTCTTGACTCACTTCAAAATGGATTACATGGCTTTAGTAACCAAATCAGGATGGTATTGGTATAAAAGCAGACACATAGACCAATGGAACAGAATTGAAAACTCAGAAATAAATCCACATATTTACAGCTAACTCATCTTCAACAAATCACCAAGGACATACAATGGGGAAAGAACACCCTCTTCAATAAATGGTGCTGGGAAAACTGAATAACCATATGCACAAGAATGCAACTGGATTCCTATCTTTCACTATATACAGAAGACAACTGAAGATGGATTAAGAATTTTAATGTAAGATGGAAAACTATAAAACTACTAGAAGAAAACATAAGAAAAACTCTTCAGGGCATTGGTCTAGGCAAAGATTTTATGGCCAAGACCTCAAAAGCACAGGCAACAAAACGAAAAATAGACAAATAGGACTGTATTAAATGGAAAAACTTCTATGTAGCAGAAGAAACAATCAACAGAGTAAAGAGACAACCTCTTGAATGGGAGAAAATATTTGCTAACTACTCATGCAACAGGTGACTAATTCCAGAATATACAAGGAACTCAAACAACTAAACAATAAATAATAATAATAATAATAATCCCATTAAAATGGGAAACTGGCATGAATAGACATTTCTCAAATGAAGACTGACAAATGGCCAATGGATACATGAAAAAATGCTCAATGTCATGAATCATTAGGGAAGTGCAAAACAAAACCAAAATGAGATATCGTCTTACCCCAGTTAGAATGGCTATTATAAAGAAGAAAAAAATAACAGAGGCTGATGAGGGCGCAGAGAACAGGGAACTCTTATACACTGATGGTGGGAATGTAAATTAGTACAACCACTATGGAAAACAATATGGAGATTTATTAAAACCTAAAAATAGAACTACCATAATCCAGGAATCCTATTACTGGGTATCTAGCTAAAGGAAAATAAATAGTATATCAAAGGGATGCCTGCGTTCAGATGTGTATTACAGCACGACTCATGACAGCAAAGATATAAACCTAAGTGTCCATCAACGGATGAATGAATAGAGAAAACTTGGTATAGATACAAAATGGAATATTATTGGTCATAAAAAAGAATGAAATCAACTCATTTGCAGCCATAAGGATGGTGCTGGAAGTCACTATGTTAAATGAAATTAGCCAGGCACAGAAAGACAAATGCTGCATGTTCTTACTCATATGTGGGAGCTAAAAAACTTGACCTCATGGCCATAGAGAATAGAATGATAGATACCAGAGTCTGGGAAGGGTGGTTGGTGGGAGGGGAATGAAGAGAAGTTGATTAATGGTTACAAACATACAGTTAGATAGAAGAAATAAGTTCTAATGTTTGATAGCAGAATAGGGTGACTATACTTGGCAACAATACTTTGTATGTTTCAAAGTAACTAGAAGAGAGGACTTGAAATGATACCAACACATAGAAATGATAAATACTCAAGGTGATGGATACCCCAAATATCCTGACTTGACCATTATACATACTACGTGTATAACAAGCTTGACCATTATACATACTACGTATATGATCATATATACCCCATAAATATGTAAAGTATTATGTATCGAGAAGAAAAGGAGAAAATTAGGTACAAGTATTAAATAAAGTAGTGCTTCATTCAACTTACTTTTAGTTGAATTCCAAAAATGCTTATGGCTACCACTCCAAGGCCATCCAACATGTGGGAAAGTGTGATATAGGAGAAAGAGTGAAAGGAGACAGCAGTGTTAACAGATTGCAGTTAAGATTTAATCTTATTTTGCAAATTTTACAACCACATTGCTTGGGCTCTTCAGGGTTTGGAAGGGGCCATGCCAGTGATGGGCCTCGAAGCTTAAACCTCATTAGCTTCTTGGTAAATGTGCCTGTGCTCATGATGCTCCTCAATTCAGGCTTCCAGTGGCCCACCAAATAAGGGCACAAATTCTTTGCCTGGGCAGACCATGCCCTTTCCTGTCGAGTTCCTGCTTACTTCTCCTGATCTAGACTTCCATCCCAGGCTTCTCACCAGAAACACGGTGCCTGCTGGCAACTTGGTGCACTGTATATGCTATCCTCATTCCTTGGAATGCCCTTCATTCTCTTCTTCACCTGGGAGCATCTACCTCTCCTTCAAGACCAAGACAAGTGTCCCTTCCTCTGTGAGACCTTTCCTGACTCCACTGGGGGTTAACTGTGCAGCCACAGCTTGTTGCTCTATTTATTATAATCCACATAACACTGCGTTTCATGTTTGTCTCTCCCACCAGCACCTAAAATCCCTAAAGGCCTGTAACTTATTTCTCTATCCTAGTGCCTATCACAGTGCCTGGCACCTAGTAGGAACTGTGGCATGGATATTTCAATGAAGAAAATCTCTTTGTTTTCCTCCCAGAGTGCTGGCTCTTGCTTGCTTACTTGGCTTATTATGGGTTTTGTATTTTACAGCATCGACAGTATAAAAAGAGCAAGACATTTCTGAAGCATAATTAAATGGATGAATGCATAAATAGATAGAATCCTCCTGGCCCCTTTTTAACAGTTATGAGCATCTACTATATGTCAGCCACTGTTCTAGGAGCTACATAATACTAATAGCTATCACTTTTTGAAGGCTTATGTCAATGACCAGTTTTAAGTCTTAAATTTGCTCATTTAAGGCTCACAACAATGCTGTGAGGTGGTTTCTGTTCTCTGTTTTTTTTTACGCAGTCTAGGCTTCGTTCCGCTTTTCAGGCAGGGTAAGCTGCTGTGCTCCGAACTTAGACACCAGGGAGGCGGCTGAGCACGGGGACGAGAGGAGGCGCATCCTCGTTTACGCCGGCGTCTGAAGTGGGCCCCTTCCTGGCCACTGACCCTGTCCTTCCCTCAGAGAGGTGGCGCGCGGCCAGACCTCGGTCGTGAGAGATTCACAGCATGTGAAACACCAGGGGGCGCAAGTAAGTCAGCTTTCCGAAGAAGGGCGGGGCTGCCAGCCCGGAGTAGCCCGTCGGGCACGTTGCAGCCGGGCCTTGGCGTCAGAACCACATGGCTTCCAATCTAGACAAGCAACTTCTATCACCGCCCCTTCACCCACAGCGCCGCTCCACAAAGGGAGCAGCAAACCCATGGAGTTCTTACTATGTGCTAGGCACGTGCCTGCTTTATCTCACGGGATTCTCACAAAACCCTGAGAGGGAGGTTCCCATCTTTATTTTACTGATGCTGAGATGGAGGGTGGCGGAGGTTCACTCACTCGTCCAAGGTTGCGCACGGACCGACAAAGCTCCTGTTCTGAACTGCTTTTCTTGCTCAGACTCCTTGCTGTAGTGTACCCAGAACCCTATCAATGCAAACCGATCTCCTTCTCCCTTTTATTTAAAGCAGGTGCTTCTTAAGTCTCTAGACCCGCGGGTTTCCAGCTCTCCTGAATCTTAGGGGCCCCATCCCTCATTTGGAACACTTGTAATATCCTGCCCTGCACAACCCTGAGAGTCACCTCTTTGAGACATGTTTCTCCACCAGAGTGTAAATGCCAGCCCTTAGCATGATGCTTGCTTGACACAGAGTCAGTACTTAATAACTATATGCTGAATAGATGAAGGGCAAGCACAGCGAGTGTGTGGTGTGTGTCCCCTTCTCAAGCTGGCTGAGGTCTGCACGGAGCCAGAAGCAATAAAACCGGTTGAGTATGTGAATAAGGATTTGTTGGTGTAACATTTCTATGTTGTTCTACCTCCTGTATGTTTGTATCCAGCTGGGCCTGCAAACTCTCAAAAGGCAAGGATGAGGAGTGTGTGTGTGTGTGTGTGTGTTGGGTGGGTTGTTGGGGGAAAGTGAGGCGGCACAGGGCAGGGAGCAGAGCTTTCCCATGGTGAGAATAAGGCCCACATAGAGAATGAAGGAGTGAGAGATGCCAAGATCTGAGTAGAGGGGAAGGAAAACGAGCCCTGAATAGTAGCCTTGTGTGTGGCCCTGTGGCTCTGACTCACCAAGACTCAGGAGAAGGAAAACACGCTAGGGATGAAGAAGGGGCCTGTGTGCTTTGGTCGCCACCCCTAAACTACCCCACCACCCCGAATCCCTTTGGATCAGGGTCTTCCTGAGGACACCCTGTCTGCTCAGAGGCACAAACCATCCTAGAAGGCTTTGATTTGGGTTGGGTGGGCTGAGGGAGCGGGGGAGTGGGAGGGTGGGCACTAGAGAGAAGGGAAATGGATAAGTCCTTTAAAAACGCAAAAGCCCCTTCCCAGCAGAGCTGTTATGTTTGAGTTCAGGTGCGGAAGGCGTCGGAGGAGGAGGAGGTGTCTCCCCTCAAGCATTCAGTTGTTCCCTCCTCCACAAGCAGGTGTGGCAAGTCAGACTCCCGAGCAGGGAGGGGCTAGATGCTCAGGACTTTGGTGGCATCTTGTCCATGCCTGACCTGAGGAGCAAGACATGCCTGATGAGTGCTTCCCAGAGCTGGTTCTAGACAGATGGAGGCACGGCCTGGGAAGAGAAGCCCCACCATGCTCCCCCCTCCTACCCTTGCTCCAGCCGTCAAACCTGTTCAGAGACATGAGGACAGGATTTTTGTGGCAACAAGTGTGGCAGGCAGACAGCCCTAGGCAGAGGGCAGGGCCTGGAATATGGGGCAGCCCAGGTGAACAAGATCAAAGCCAGACATGGTAGAGCAGGTGAGAGGGAAGGAGTGCCCCAGGGAGCAGCCAGGGCTGGGCTAGGAACTGCTGGTTTCAGGTCAGCTCGGGGAGGAGCAGTTGGCTGAGGCAGGATGAGGGAGCCGGACTTTCTGTACAGGCCAGGCCTTGCTGTGAACTAGACATGCACAATTGGGCCTGTCCCCTGGCCTTTCTAGGGCTCATTTTCCTCATCTCGATTATGAGGGTCTCCTCCATGATGAGCTCTAGCTCTAACATCTGATGACTCCACGTGTGTAGGGAAATCATCCTTTTCCTTTCTCTGCACCAAAACCCAATTCCTTCAGTATCTTGTTTCTAGCTGAAGGTCTCAAAGAAAGCTAGCTGATCAGTGGACTTATACTTGGGTATTTGACTGACAAAAAGTCAATATTCCAAACTCCCCAAATGTATTATTACTGTTTTGATACTATAGTGTGGCCAGCAGAAAGAGAGTGGACTTGAAAGCCAAATAGGGTTTCAACGATTGGAATCCCAGCTGACACTGAATCTCAGCTCTGCTGTAGGACCTTGGGCAATTTACTGTGTCTCAGCAGGAGTTAATGATCACATCTGTCAAGTAGGGATTATCTGCCTCTTTTCGTAGTTGTTGATTAAATGAAGTAACGTGTAAAATACCTGATTGAGAGCTTGGCACTATATAAATACTCAGAAAATGTGTCCTCCCTTCTTTAGAGGACTTCATCATGACCAAAGGAACAGAGTAGACTGAGATGGAGATTACGATGGAGATGGCTTACTTGGAAGTGCCCTTGGGATCCGCACCTAGGGCATGGAAGCAGGATGGGAGCAGGATTGGGCAGAGGGAGAAGTTGATCTGCAATATAGTCTCAATAAAGGTCTCAGGCAACTCTAAAGGGGGTTTTGAAGCTGAGATGAACCTTCGGAGTTCTCCTAATTTGGGACAAGAGGGTTAGTATAAACTCTACATCAATCAGTCTTTGTATTTTTTTTTTTTTTTGATACAGAGTTTTGCTCTGTCACCCAGACTGGAGTGCAGTGGCACAATCTTGGCTCACTGCAACCTCCACCTCCTGGGTTCATGCGATTCCCCTGCTTCAGCCTCCCAAGTAGCTGGGATTATAGGTCTGTGCCACGATGCCTGGCTTTTTTTTTTTAGTTAGTAGAGATGTGGTTTCACCATGTTGACCAGGCTAGTCTCGAACTCCTGACCTCAAGTGATCCACCTGCCTCAGTCTCCCAAAGTGCTGGGATTACAGGTGTCAGCCACCATGCCCAGTCTTTGTATTAATATATGAGCTGTCCAGGGAAGGAGCTGTGACTTTGGTCAAGCTGATTTTCTTTCAGTGAAGGTAATTCCTATAAGGGGTTATATCTTGAGGGCCACTTACTGTCAGCATTCCCTGCACCTAGGGAATTAAATTTCACTCCTGAAAGGGAACCCATGTGGCACATCCTAGTGTCTAACACATTGAGTTAATGAGCAGGATTCTTGTCAGGTTAAACAGGTGACTCCCCAGAGATAAGGCCAATCTTGTTTTAACACTCCCCCCAGTAATTTCTCAGAACCAACAACTTCACAGTGGTGTGGACAGAGCCACATGTTGTATGCTCCTTGTGCTCCTCCAGTCTAACAGTGAAACAAACGCTGCCACTATTGGGAGAAGCTGCTGTCACATCCTTCGGAAGAAATAAGTCCCCTGCAAGTGTCCCAGAGGGACTCATTTGATTCTGTTCAAAGCTTAGTTTGCATTTTCCGCATTTGCTTATAGAGATTTAGAGGGTGTGAAAAAGGGAAATGGGTAGGAGAGGACATTGATGGGTAATATGGTACTTTGGCAACCAGGTCCTTTTTCAAACTGCCTTTTGCATGTTCCTAGATCTTCCCTACAAATTATTGGACAGTGTATTGCAGAATGCTGTGGCCTGGGAGCTCCTTCTTAGGTCAGCCCCAACCCTTGAAGAAAGCACCCACTGGTGTCTGTCAGTCTCCCTGAAACAGAACTCACCTCTTGGGGACGTCTTGTGCCTCCGTCTCTGACCTTATCCTAGAATCAAGACAAGCCAATTAAAACAAAAAGCAAACACAGGGACATGTTACAGAACTCCAAGTAAATAATGCCCTGGAGAGAGGAGAAAAGACATTCATTCCCTTTCTAGTTAATGTTTTCCTGCCCACAAAGAGCTCTGTTACCTCTGAGCTACCAGAGTGCTTTTACCAGAACCATCTTCAATAACTGTGTATGGTTTTTTTTTCTTAGACAGAGCCTTGCTCTGTCGCCCAGGCTGGAGTGCAGTGGCGCTATCTCGGCTCACTGCATGCTCCGCCTCCCGAGTTCACGCCATTCTCCTGCCTCAGCCTTCCGAGTAGCTGGGACTACAGGCGCCCGCTACCACACCCGGCTAATTTTTTGTATTTTTTAGTAGAGACGAGGTTTCACCGTGTTAGCCAGGATGGTCTCAATCTCCTGACCTCGTGATCCACCCGCCTCGGCCTCCCAAAGTGCTGGGATTACAGGCAAGAGCCACCGCGCCTGGCCCTCCCTGTGGTTTTTAAAAGCTCGCCTGCATTATTCTATCAAACTGTTGCCTCTGGACTCACTATGTATCATTTTGTTAATGTTTTGTTTCCCCAACTAGATTGTGAGTACCCTAAGGGCAGGGAACAGGATTAAACTTGTGTCTTCCCTAATAAGCACCTTGCTTTCTGGTTCATCTTAGATACTTAAAAAACATGTTGTTTGAGGGGAATTAATGATGTTTTATTTTTGTTCCATTTATCTGACCTGATGAAGGTCTCCTGGCATTGATTAGGTCTGATGATCCATTTCTGGGGTGGCTGTGGAGCAGCATGGTGTCCCGCATGCATTTTCTAAACTTGCTCTATCTGAAGAATCACCAAGGCATTTATCTAGAGCTCCACCTTTGCCTACTGAAATCAGAATCGCCAGGGGAGGAGCCTGGGAATCTGCTCCTCCCCAGAGACTCTCATTTGGGAAATACTGGTAGTGAAAGAACAAAGCACTAAGGTTTAAATCCTGGCTGTCATATGCTAAGGGCCCTTGCACAGATCTCTGGCCCTCAACTACCTCATCACTACACTGGGGATAATAATACCTCACAGCACCCGTGTGAGGATTAATAAGGTAATATGTATGTGAAATCATTAGCATGGTGCTTGGTACTCAAGTAGGCACTCTTGACTCTGAATATCACTGACATTCTGCCAAACCAGTTTCAGGAGCTTAAGACATTTCCTTAGGTCAGAGGCAAATAGCAAGTTGTTGTGAAAGAACAGGTAAGGGCTATGAAGGACTGTTTCTCAAAACAGACTAGCTGCATCAGCTAGTCTGAGGATCTAATCTCCAGAAATCTTTATTTTAGCAGGCTTCCCAGGTTATACTTACGCACAGTAAAGTTTGAGAACCACTACTCCAGTCTCCTTTCCCCTCCTTTATTTTTACTAATGAATTGGCCACTGATACACAAATGGTGGGTGGACAGGCTCTCATTTCTCAACTAGTTTTATAGAAATTAAATTAAAAATTATTCCTGTGGAACAATGCTCATTGCCCACTTCTGATTCATTAGGAAAACACATCCTATTTTGAAGCCAGTGTTTTGAAAGACAGTTGAAGTTCCATTTCAAGGACTAAGCATCAGAAGCACTCCTTATGAATTCACACACACACACACATACACACACACACACACAAATTGACAAGGCAGCACTGCTGACAGGCTATTAAGGGAAACCGGATATGCTAGTATTTGTTGAAATGATCATTAATTTGCTTAAATGCTGAAAACTTCAGATATGTAAACATCCACACTATTTGAACATTTTTTAGACATCAAAGGATTTTCAAGTGCTTCTCTCTGGCTTGCATTTGCTAACATTGCAGCAGCAACAGCGCTGGAGTAGTTGAAAAGGGATGCATTAATCATTTGTAAAATGAGAGAGCAGAACAAGATTATGCTTTCTTAAGCAGAAATACATGAGCCATGGATGGCTTCAGGGTCTTTGGATCCTATGAAGCCATCAAACAAATTTTGCATATAGGCATATTCATTTTTCTAGGGATAAACTCCATGGCTTTTCTAAGATTCTCAAAAAGGTCCAGAACCACCAAAAGGTTTAAAAAATCACAGACTGGATTATTGTAAAGGCTTTTTCCAGCTCTAAGACTCTAAAGAAAATCAATGTCTTAGTTCCTTATGGAGTCTAACCTGGATGGGTCATTGACTTCATTTGTTTTGTCAAAGCCACAGTCAAGTGCTCCCTCTACACCACCCCCTCTTCCCAACAAAATATGCCCAAATTGTGCCATTTTTCACTTTGTACAAACAAGACTATTTCCCCCCAAACAGCAAGATTTAACTTGTTTTAATGCAGTCTGCTATAAAAATGAAGACTTCTGCATGGTATATTTGGCTTTACAAACGTTAATGCCTAGTTAATGCTTGTGTTATATGGTACACATCATTACAATCTGTTGGCCAGTAACAGCTTTTGCAACATGGGTTAATACTAAAATTGTGAATCATGGAACTTTTACTTAGCACACACACACACAATCTACAGCAAACTTAAATACTAATCTATAATACCTAACTGGGTTATTGGATCCATTGCAAGATTGTGCTTATTTATCTCAGAAGGTAGGCAACTAGCAAAAATACACATTTCTTTCGCATATCCCCACCCCCATATTACACTGTAAAAGAAATACATTATTCAGTGCACTTCCTAAGAAATAAACTTCCTTATAGTATCTCTCTCTATATATATCTATCCCAAAACAAAGGAAGAGCACAATGCAACTTTTAAGATTACCATTTAAAGCAAAAGAGACAATAACTCTCTGGCACTGTAGCCTCCTCTCCAGTTTAGAAAGTTTAGCTATTTTATCAACACTATTCGTTTTGGCTCTGCATAGGAATAAAGTTCAATGCATGATTGCCTTGGACAGTTTAAGATACCCCCTACATCATTTTGATAGACACCTTGGGGCATTAGTAGCATTTTTATTTTTCATGTATTTGCCTTTATCAAACTATAAGCTGTGGAGTTGCCAATATACTCCATTGTGATTTATACACTGATTTCCATCACCTGCCTTTTTACTATCAACTCTTATTAGATTAAAAGGAAATAGACTTAAATTATAGCAGGAGGTCAGGGCTGCTGGATAGATGTTGGCTCAGAGAATGTATGTGAAGACACCAAGGCCTCTCCTGTATGGACACAAAATCATATAACCACTGTGTCTGAGCTGGGTTGTGGATAGTCTTATTTGGCAGAGGGGGATAGCCATTATATTCTATGAACCTTGCCAGCTGTACTGGCCTACACAGTTGGAAAGTTTGGAGGCTTTTGTCCGCATAGACTTGCTATGATGAAAATGACAGAAGTTTCTAGAATGAAAGAGGTTGCAACTTGGCAGCTTGCAAGCTAAATCCAGCTGCAGACGTGTTTGTTTAACCAGCACCATTTAAACATTTTAAAATCACTTCTTGATATTTAAAAATGAGAATGTTTCTCATGAAAATTTGGATTTCAAAAAATGTGAAGAACTGGTAATCCTGGTTTAGCATTCTTGCACCGCAGCAAGCAGATGGAGCTGAACAGATGCCCTTTTTAAATGCGGCTTGGGCACTTTAGTTTGCCACAGCTCCCACTGCTCCCAGCTGTTTTACATCGCTTGTGTGAGAGGCCTGTTTCACTCATTTATATGACCAGTTGAGTTTTGTGACACTGGGGTTAGTTTAGCTCTGCCTATTTATTTTTTTAATAGAGATGGGGTCTCACTATGTTGATGAGGCTGGTCTTGAACACCTGGTCTCAAGAGATCCTCCCATCTCAGCCTCCCAAAGTGATAAGATTACAGGCATGAGCCACTGTGCCTGGCCAGCTCTGCCTTTTTATGATACTGAAGATCTAGGCTTCATTTGGAATTTCCTCACCTTCCTGTGGACAAAATTCCTCCTTTGATTGTGTCCCAGCCACATCTAGTTGCTTCGGTAGGTAATCTTAATGTGCAGTTCTACTTGTCCTTTATGCTATATTGCAAACTCCAAAGATATAATCACACTAGTATTTATGTGTTTAAGTGTGTGTATGTTAAACATGTAAAGGGGTAATGTATCTATACAGATATATGTATACTTCCCATTTAAGCAAAAGTTAATTTGGTTTTACAGATACAGATACCAGGTTCTGGCAGCTTGGAGAATAAGTGTAACAATTTGGTAAAACTTGTATAATTCTGACTGACCTATAATATTACAGAGTGAATTTCAAGTTATTGCTTTTTGATTACAGAATAAAAAATTCATTCTCTTGCAAAACTTTTATACAGAATGAGTAACCATTTCCTATTCAAGTAACAGCAATCAGAATCAGAAGTTCCTTACACAACAGTAGATGCTTGAGACATTTTTTGAATGGAGATGTGATTTCATTCTGTTCAAGAACTTATGCAGGAAACTGGGAGTGACTTAATTTTTCAAAAGTACAAGAAAATCAGCACCCCAACTGCTTAGTGCTCAGGAGGGTTTCTCAAGGGCTCTATAAAGCTCAGCTTGTGGTGAGTTCACACCCACCTTTAGAAGGATTCCCATTCTACTTATGCAGCCTTGTTTCAGAACACAAAGCTTGTATTAAAACATTAAAAGAGGATTAAAAGCAGTGTTGGTTTTTAACATTCAGAATTCACAGAGGATCTCATTTTCTGTAATTAAATGATCTATTTTGTGTTTTTTGCTGCAGAATCACATTCATATGGCAGTCATATTTCAGGCACTTTTAAAACATGTTCATCTGGAATAAAAATCTGCATGAACCACTTCTGCATAATTCAAAATGAGTGTTGAGTGATTCTAGTTCTCAAATAGATAGCAAATCACCACCTGGTGATTCGCTTTCTTCATCACAACATGACGGTGACTGCTGAGCTTGAGACATCTTTGAGGTGCCTTTCTGGCTTCAGTAAAAAGATGTGAGCCATAAAAATCCAAACTACTCAGTTTCTACTTAAAAAAATACAAAATGGTGAAATATACTAAATGTATTATACAGATGGTTTCAGCTACTATCAAAATAAATAACATAATCTGACTCAGAAGTCTGACTGAGCTTTTGGACGAAATCTGATGGAATGTCAAACGTGGAGACTCCCTCCTAGGGACTAGCTGCTGGTAGGCAAAAGTAACTCAACATCCTTACCATTTGCTACAACAGTATTGGAAGAGCAGCTGCTGGCAAGGTCTTCTGCAGTGGTCAAAGAGGCTGCCTGGGAATGAGTTTTGGTCAATGGAGTGGTAGCAGATGGAGAAGGGGTGAGGCCAGGTTTCTTGGGTGGGATGGGTGGAGGGTTTCCTCTCTCAGCTCTGGGGATGGTTGGGGACTTGATTCCTGGAGACAGGGGGCTCAGGGGACTGGACACTTTCCCTGGAGTAGGTGAATGGCTTGTGTCACCTCTTGGATTGGCAGTGTTGGCTAGATTTCGATAGTCTGTGCCAAAGGGAGAGCTGTTGGGAGAGACTGGCTTGATTGGCCCTTGTTGGCTAGTGAATCTGGAGAGCACCTGAGTGACTGTGTTTCGGGCCAGCTGCTTGGCGGCAGAGTTGTCTATGAGGGTGGGGGATAAATCCCTGGATGGAGGGCTCTGTAGGCCACTGGCTTGTTGGTCCTGATCTGCTTGGGACTGAAATTTGTGGCGAGCTGCATGGAACCGTTGGTTGATCCCTACTTGGTACGATGACTGGTAGCCAGGGCTGCTAGCTGATGACCCCAATAAACGCTTAGTGAGTACCGGCGAAGAGCAAGGAGAGGATGTTAGAGAGGAGGAGGCAGTGCTGCTGGGAGACAGTGAGCTCCCACTGGAAGAGAGGGGACTGGGCATTGGGACTGGAGTCTCAATCCCCACAGGACACCCACCATTCTCCACTGGTTTCTCTTGGGCCAATGCCACAGATTTTTCCCGTGGAGGCACCTGGTTTTCTACATTGTTGCCTGCAGTCAGCTCCCTGGTAGTTTGTATCTCTGGGTCACAATGGCCATTGGTTTTTGCATATGAGTAAGCAGGAGTGGCAGGACCAGGCAGCCCAGTGTTTGTCATCTTGGCTATGTTGCTCCCATGGGTTCTTTCTGCTGGAAAACTCTCTGTTTGGCAAAACACAGACATTAGCATGAGAGGCTCAGTTGCTGTGCCTTTGGACACGGTTACTGGTTTCTTCAATTGCTCATTAGGGCTACTGTGCTGGTGGGAAGCCTCTAGGTCCTTCACTATCTTCTTTAAACTTTCCATTTCTTCTTTCAGGGTTTTGGTCCGGTTCTCTTCTCGGTTCAGTTTTGCTCTCAGTTGTTCCCTTTCGATGTCAAACTCTGATAACTGCTTCTCTACCTGGGCCTCAGTCTGCAAGCCTCTCTTTCTCTCAGCTGCCAACTCTTCTTCCAGTTTACTCACCCGGCTCTTCTCCTTCTCCAATTTCAGGCTCAGCTCTCCTGCCTTCTGTCCTTCCTCGGCTGCCTTGTTGGTGGCTTTCTTGCACTCAAGCACTAGCATGGATGAGAGCTGCTTGTGGCGGGAGCGCTCCTCTTCCAGCTGACTAGAGAGCTTCTTCTGTTCTTTTTCAAACTTTTTCACTTGGGATTTTTCAAATTCCAACTAGAAAAAAAAAGAAAAGAGAGACATACTGACAAACTGTGATCAAGTAGACTGTCTTCGTTAGCTGTTCTCTGGTATACAGGATTAACATGCACATCACAGTGCTTAGATCAAGTATTTCTGAAATTTTAGAACACCTAACACAAAAAATGCACACACTATGATTTAATCTTTCTTTGATGATTTGGGAGGCACTTCTAGTTCCCATACTGTCTTGCAGTGATTAGTGGGAATATGACGTATCTTTGTGTTTCACGTATGTGGAGAGCATCAGAACCAATCAAAACAAGATAACAGAAAGCTGTATCAACCACATTTTGTGATGAATGTTGCTGAAAACAAACATTTTAAAGTTTCAGCAATAATTTTCTTGGGTCTCAGAAACAAACACACACAAATAGTTGCATTTGAATCATACTTTTTTTTGGAGACTGAGTTTCACTCTTGTCTCCCAGGCTGGAGTGCAATGGTGCAATATTGGCTCACTGCAACCTCCGCCTTCTGGGTTCAAGCGATTCTCCTGCCTCAGCCTCCCGGGTAGCTGGGATCAGTCATGCGCCACCACACCCGCCTAATTTTGTATTTTTAGTAGAGACAGGGTTTTTCCATGTTGGTCAGGCTGGTCTCAAACTCCTGACCTTAGGTGATCCACCCACCTCGGCCTCCAAAAGTGCTGGGATTACAGGCGTGAACCACTGTGCCCAGCCTGAATCATATTTTTTACACAAATATAGCCTGTTTTAATTGTCTTCCCAACCCTATTTGAGGCAGAGACTCTGCGTGAGAGGGAAAGGGTTGAAGAAACTCAGTGTTTTTCAAACTCTGAGATCCATTAATGGATGGGGAAACTAACTGAGCCACGACTAGAATTTTAAAAAAATATATAAACAGAAAACATCAATGTGTACTGTAGCAGTAGGGGTTATATATGATTTCATGAGATTTTTGTTTCAGGCGTAACTGTGTATGTCTACATATACTGGGTTGTGACATAAAATGTCACTTCTTACTGGGGGTTCTAAGTCAAAAGTTTGAGAGCTACAAGCGCTAAGTTACCATTCCCCAAAGAGTGTTCTACGGAACAATAATAATCCCACAGTGAGGGATCTATGCCAATAAAAGATTTTATAAAACCATGGATTTGCTAAACACAGAATACCCTATCTTGTTCTTGAAGACTCACAATGTGCTTCTGCATACTAAAGATCCTAACAAAGTTAGAAACCTGTTTAACTTTGCTTAATCCAGTAGTTCCTAAACTTATTTGACCACAAAGCCCCTTTTCTGAACAATACCAGTTGGCATCCTGCAGAATAATCTTTGGGAAATGCTGTTCCAGGCAAATGCTACTGTGAATCCCTCTACCTTAATTACCTGTTGAGTCAGCCTCTCTCTTTCCTTCTCTAGCATGTAGGTGACATCATCTCCTTCAGCCGTATCCTGTGCATGCCGCTGCCTTTCTTCCTCAAGGTCTAGGATCACCTTTAAAGAATTTTTTAAATTTCATTTTCAAATATCAAGGAGTCACATTTATTAATACAACCAATAATAAGTGCCAAATCAGGCACCTTAGATAGTTCCAGAGATCAAACAAACAAACGAATAAATGAAACCCAGCAAGGGCTATCAAGGAGCACACTGCCTTACAGTGAAAGACATGAAAGCTCTGTGTTAAACAGTAAGATACTTACTTTACTTGAAGTATGTAGAGAATGATATGCAAACAGAGAGAAGAGAGCAACTAATTAGCTAGAGGGGTTGAGGAGGTGTCGAGAATTAACAGAAATTCCAAGAAACTGCAGGCAGTTTGGTGTTACTAGGGGCCAGGTGTAGGTGATGGAGCAAGACAGGACCACAGAAACCTGAAAGCTGAGATTTTCTTCTCAATTCTCAAATCACCAGAGGCACCAAAGAAGGAGCCTGAAATTCAACATTTCAAATAGGTGACATTCTAAGTGTGCCTTGTTTAACTAATAATATACATTTTTATATAGTTAGATAAGAGGTGGATAGACTCTCTTGACTTCCTACTGCATGTAAAAAGGCTCAAATATAGAGACCTTAAATGGAGATTTTTCATACGCCCTTTTATTTAACTTGCCTACCCCTATTTCACTTACCCTGGTGCCAAAGGATTAAGCCCAATTTTAAGGAGAAGACAAATATATTTATTTTTCGAGACAGGGTCTTGCTTTGTCACCCAGGCTGGACTGTAGTAGTGCAATCATGGCTCACTGCTGCCTTGGCCTCCCGAGCTCAAGAGATTCTCCCACCTCTCAGCCTCCCAAGTAGCTGGGACTACAGGTGTGCGCCACCACGCCCAGCTGATTTTAGTATTTTTTGTAGAGATGGGGTTTTGCCATCTTGCCCAGGCTGGTCTGGAACTCCTGGGCTCAAGTGATCCACCCGCCTCAGCCTCCCAAAATGCTGGGATTACAGGTGTGAGCCATCACACATGGCCAAGAATACAAATTTAAAGAGACATTTTTCACATAATCCCATCTACAACTGCAAATATTCTGATTGCTTAGTAGCTTCTGCTCATGCTTCAGAAGTGCCTTGGCCCAGACCTCCAGGGTAGAGCACTCTTGTCCCAAAGGCCATTTCTTAGTCTTCTCACTAAAAATTTTTATGAGTGAAGAGAGTAAATTTTCTGGGACATGAAACCTGTCTATAAAAATAAAAATGAGCTCATGCCTGTAATCCCAGCACTTTTGGGAGGCAGAGGCAGGAGGATTGCTTGAGCACAGGAGTTTGAGACCAGCCATTTATTTCTCCCTCTCCCTCTCCCTCCCCCACCCCCTTCCTTCCTTTTGAGGAGACAGGGTCTTACTCTCACCCAAGCTGAAATGCAGTGGCATCATCTCGGCTCACTGCAATCTTTGCCTCCTAGGCTCAAGTGATCCTCCCACCTCAGCCTCCTGAGCAGCTGAGACTACAGGCATACACCACTATGGCCTGCTGATTTTTTGTAGAAATGGGGTGTCGCCATGTTGCCCAGGCTGGTCTCAAACACCTGGACTCAAGTGGTCCTTCTGCCTCAGCTTCCCAAAGTGATGGGATTACAGGTGTGACCCACTGTGCCCAACCCAAAACCCCATTTCTACAAAAAAGTACAAAAATTAGCCAGGCATGGTGAGGTGTGCATGTAGTCCCAGCTACTCAGGAGGCTGAGGTGGAAGGATCACCTCAGCCCAGGGAGGTCGAGGTTGCAGTGAGCCATGATTATGCCGTTGCACTCCAGCCCAGGCAACGGAGTGAGACTTTGTCTCAAAAAAAAAAAAAGAGGCCAGGAGTGGTGGCTCATGCCTGTAATCTCAGCACTTTGGGAGGCCAAAGCAGGTGGATCACCTGAGGTTGGGAGTTCGAGACCAGCCTGACCAACATGGAGAAACCCTGTCTCTACTAAAAATACAAAATTAGCCAGGCATGGTGGCACATGCCTGTAATCCCAGCTACTCGGGAGGCTGAGGCAGGAGAATCGCTTGAACCCAGTAGGCAGAGGTTGTGGTGAGCCAAGATTGTGCCATTGCACTCCAGCCTGAGCAACAAGAGTGAAACTCTGTCTAAAAAAAAAAAAAAAAAAAAAAAAAAAGAAGAGACTGGTGCTGTGGTGTATGCTTGTAGTCCCAGATACTAGGGAGGCTGAGGTGGATCACTGGAGCCCAAGAGTTCCAGGCTATAGGGTGCTATGATCGCACCTGTTAATAGCCACTGTACTCCCGCCCAGGCAACACAGCGAGACCCTGTCTCTCAAAATAAATGAAAGAAAAAAAATTTGGCACATTTCCTTTTTTTAATCTAATTTTTCAATTTAATAGAAAGACATGCTTTTGGCCAAAAGTGGTAAGTCTTATCTTCTCCCTTTTGGGAGTCCTCAAAAATTACAGAAATGGAATAAAAAGACTAAAACCCCACAAAGGAGAGAGCCTCTAGCAGAGAAAAAATTTTAATAATATTTTGAAGAAGAAAAGAGGCTGGAGTTGTGGTAACTACTTTACTTTGAAGGAGGGAAGCTGTTTTGCCTTGCAGAGCCCCAAAGAGATGGAACCTGGAGGTGGCAGGTACTGCAGAGGAGAGGTGAAATGTAGAATAGAAAACAGGAGAACTGGCTCAAAGCCTGTTTTTTTGTTTGTTTGTTTTGTGTTTTTTTTTTTTTTTTTGAGACAGTCTTGCTCTGTCACCCAAGCTGGATTACAGTGGTGTGATCTCAGCTCACTGCAACCTCCACCTCCTGGGCTCAAGCTATTCTTCTGCCTCAGCCTCCCGAGTAGCTGGGATTACAGGAACGCCACCATGCCTGGCTAATTTTTGTATTTTTAGCAGAGATGGGGTTTCACCATGTTGGCTGGCCTGGCCTCGAACTCCTGACCTCAAGTGATCTGCCTGTCTTGGCCTCCCAAAGTGCTGGGATTACAGGCATGAGTCACTGTGTCTGGCCTTCAAAGCCTGTATTTTCAGAATTATTTGTCCCTTCACCCTGATTCCTGCACACAGACCATCAGCATCTGGCCTCTGTCACATCTACTATTCCCAAATCCTGAGCCTGTCACATTCAAGAAATAGTGTGACAGGCTCAGGATTTGGGAATAGTAGATGTGACAGAGAATGGTGGTGGGAAAAGAGGATTAAATTTGTTCTGGGTAAGGGTTAAGGAGAGGAAAGGGAGGCGGGGTGTAAGATAACTAAATCTGCACCTATATAAAAGAAAGTAATATAAATGTCTAAAATTGATAAAGCAAGAGAGAACAGTGCAGTATTTAGAAATATGGAGGTTAGCTACCAAAGTGAATGGCTAAAAGAAAAAACTGGTTGCCTGTGAATACTGGGGAGGATGGGGAATGAGAAGAGGTGGAATAGAAAACTGTTTTTCATTGTAAGCACAATGACCATGTAATTTATTATTCAAACCAGAACATTTCTGACAGTCAAAGGGAATATGGTTAATAACTAAGCCAAGGTGACAGGCATAAGCTGAGACTATGAGCACCCTAATTATAAGCCTCTAGGTACTGTTTGATTTCTAACAAAGTCAGTCTTCTACTTTGATAAACCACTTAAACTTGAACCTGGGAGGTGGTGGTTGCAGTGAGCCAAGATTGTACCACTGCACTCCAGCCTGGGTGACAGAGTGAGACTTCACCTCAAAAAAAAAAAAAAAAAGAATAGATAGGTACTTTGTTTCAAAAATTTAATATTCACTTAAAACATTTAGCACTGCAATATAGTATTAAGAAATTTTGAATTATTTTTAACTTCTTCCTCTCTCCAATCACCTAGAAACACAAACTGTCCCTAGTACACCTTCCATGGGCATGAAAGCTAGCCCAACTAGCTTCAACACAACTCAGTCACCTCATGGATGAAGTGGAAATAAAGCCTGCCTATTAAACAAGAATGTTGTGAAGATTTTTAGAGAATTATGTAAAAGCTCCCCCTCCACCCAATTTAGGCAACTAACTCCCACCCACTGATACCTTTTAAATTGGAGTGTAAATGTTTTCAGATTACTTCATTCTAACCAGAGGTTAAACATTTTTGGGTCTTGGGTAACTTGGAGAATCTGATTAAAGCTATGGAAAAAATACATTTCCTACAAAAATGCATAAACTCTGAACATTCTGTCTATTTTCTGGGGGACTGTGGAACATCTGAGGCCTATCCATGGTTAAGAAGTTCCACTCTGGCCTTTCATTTGGCTTCTGTGAAGGGAAAGAAAAGATCACGGGCAAGATCCAGAGCCTAGAAAATGTATCAGATGCAATTTAAGAAGATGGCTCTAATGCTGATAACCATAAAAGTAAGGTCCACCAAATTTTGCAGCTGCTAACCCTATTTTTCAGATGAAAATGTTTCCTACCAAATGCACTGATAACTGCCTTGTTGGCATAAATCTAAACTGACAGTGTTTTAAAAATGAAGATTGTAGCCAAGCATCTTTTACAGGCCAAATTTGAGGAGTAAATGACAAGATGACAAGTTGGTGAATAAATTCACAAGCACTAGAATTCCAGTAAGATGAAGCAGAGGAAAGCACAGGTTTGCCTTCTTAGGGCTTGTTAGAAATGGAAACACACACACACACTCTTTACTAATAGGGTAGAACAGCTTTAAAGTAAATACTGTAAATAACCATAAGGTTTGCCTTCCTATTTTAGGGCTTGTTAAATATGGAAAACACACACACACACACACACACACACCCCTCACTAATAGAGTAGAACACCTTTAAGGTAAATAAACCAAGGGACTGTTTATGGTTTCATGAGCAACAAAATGCAATGAAACTCAAAACTAGGAATAATAGGAATAAATGAAAATAATCTATTGGCTTCTGTGTTTATCCTCAGGTAAATTCTTTCTCTCCCTTGGATATAGCATGCCTCAAATACCTGTTAATCTTTTTATTTATCTCTTAAGTAAGCAAATAGAGAACACTCCCGTCAGCTACAAGCTTGGCCAAACCCCAAAGTTTGAATGATCAAGAACTGAAAAAACATACAAAGTGTTTTGGAGTGACATATCAAGAAGAAATGCTGTCTTAAATAACGTGTCTGGCACGTTCTCTAAACTTAACATTTGCAATAAGCTGTGTTTTCTTTTTTATCTCCTGGCTCTTACATAAACTAAGGGGCTTTTTGATACCCGTGAGATGTCCCAATTGAATTACTGTGAAAAACTGGCAGCTGACAAGAAAGTATCAGGCATAATTTATAAAGACTTCACAAAGATTTACACATCAACTGAGGTGAACCTACCTTTCGGTGCCTGCTCTCAGCAGCAGCCAGCTGGGACAGCATGCGCTCCTGCATGTTCTTGCACTGCTTCATCACAACCTTAAGAATAGAGAGTGGATTTGTGCAGACTGGCTGCTTTTCGCCATCATTTTTCTCCTTCAGTGTTTCAAAATCTCTCTGTAGAGCCATTAAAGGATCACTGATGTTATATTTTCCATAGCGTTCTTCAATGAAAGTATCTCTGTGTTGGGCCTGGGAAAGAGGAAAAAAAATAAGCATCTTGCTTTTTAAAACTACTGAGGAAGGGGGATTTGCTATCCAGTGGTTATACATTAAAGGTTGTGGTATTAGTATAAATGTAACCTACTAATTACAAGTCAGATTGAGCCATCTAAAGAAACAGCATTAGAAAGGTGGCATGGTATATTAACAAGAACAAATACTTATAAAGCACTATGTATTAGACATTGTTTTAAATATTTATAGTCAGATTAACTTGTTTAAAATTTACAACCCTGTAAGGTAGTGCTATCATCTCGATTTTGCTGATGAGAAAACTATTCCTGGTTACTCATCTAGCAAGCTGTCTGAATTGGGATTTAAACCCAGGCAACCTGGCCCCGAAGTCTGTGTCCTTAACCTCTGTGCTTACTGACTCTGCTTATATCTGCTTATGAATGCTTATATTACCAGCAGGTACATCTTATTTTTTTCCGTGTTATGGTACTAGCATTTCTAAAACATGTTAAGTATGATAATTTTATGAGTTTATATATTTAGAGACCTAACAAAATGCCAGCAGATATATAAAGTGTGCAAAATATAAGCAGGATCACATTACAATCTAGGACTACTTGTGACCTGTACATATGAACCATTACTCAGTTGTTGATGGGTCAAGGAGGATGGAGGCACCTCATAACCAGACATGCAGACAAAACCTCTTCCACCTGCTGCCAAATTCCACCCCCTCTTCTTGTCTCTGGTTGTTACTTTCCATTCTCTTTTCTGTCTCTTTCAAGGCTTGATGAGCCTTGGGGATGAGCATGTAAGAAAGGGATGCAAGCTGGTGCCTGGAGTCTGGTCAAGGACGTTAGCCCTGGGTACCCAGTTGGGAGTATAAGGATCAGGAAGTGGGTGGAAAGATATTCCTAGGCTTCCCTCTTTCCTTATCTCTGTAGGAAGAGCTTGAAGAACTCCACATGAGCATCATACATTACATGTACATTACTTTTTACTTATTACACAGATATTTAAAAGTTTCTTGAGATATTTTACAATGAAAAATGAAGTGTTAACACAGGGTTGAAGAAACTAAAAAGTCACAGCAAAGTACTATATAATTTAAGCTTTCAAATTAAATCTGGTTATGAAAACTACTATTATTTATCCATTTTAAAAAACTAATCAGTAGTCATGTTTTCTTAGCACTGCCATCCACAAATAGGAGCCTGTTTAAAAAAAAGGGAAATTTGCAATTCATTGGCTATGCTTTAATTTAAAGGAAACTTTAAGAAAATAAAGCAAACATGGGTTTTTTTTTTAACACAGAAGTATTTCAGTGCTGAAAATCTGAAGACTTCTTCTTCATTGACTGTCCAATTTAGGCCCCAGGAATCACTTAGCCTTATGGTAAAATTTTACGTTCTTATCAGCTGGCAAATGTTCAAAGCAGTTAGAAATTCTGGGTTTTACTTCTGGCTTGACTGCAGCCATCTTACTTTATGACATTACTGGAGTATTTGGATGTTATTTGTATACTGGAAATATGAAGAGAGAAATCCATTTCTTTAAGTTACTAATAACTATCTTTCTAGCCTTATGGTGTGTTGTGTGTGTGTGTGTGAATTAAAAGTGGGGGAGGTATAAAACACAGAGTCTAAGATGAAACTCTACTTTTTTTTTTTTTTTTTTTTTTTTTAGATGGAGTCTCGCTCTGTCGCCCAGGCTGGAGAGCAGTGGCACAATCTTGGCTCACTGCAAGCTCCACCTCTTGGGTTCACGCCATTCTCCTGCCTCAGCCTCCCAAGTAGCTGGGACTACAGGTGCCCACCACCACGCCCGGCTAATTTTTGTATTTTTTAATAGAGACGGGGTTTCACCATGTTAGCCAGGATGGTCTCGATCTCCCGACCTCGTGATCCACCCGCCTTGGCCTCCCAAAGTGCTGGGATTACAGGCGTGAGCCACTGCGCCTGGCTGAAACCCTACTTTTTTCAGCTCCAAGTTAAAAAGGAAATTCACAGTAAAATTTCAAAATAACCTCCAGTCCATTTAGGATGGAGAAAGAAAAGATCAGCTCCAGAACCAGCCATTCTTCTTCTTATTTTAAAACATGGTGAATAGCCGGCCGCAGCATCTCATGTCTGTAATCCCAGCACTTTGGGAGGCAGAGGCAGGAGAATCACTTGAGCCCAGGAGTTTAAGACCAAACTGGGCAAAATAGGGAGACCTTGTCTCTACAAAAAACAAAAAATTAGCTGGGCATGACGGCATGTGCCTGTAGCCCCAGCTACTTGGGAGGCTGAAGCAGGAGGATTGGTTGAGCCTAGGATCTAGGCTGCTATGAGCTCTGATTATACCACTACATTCCAGCCTGGTTAACAGAAGAAGAACCTGTTTCTAAAAATACATAAATAAATAAAACATACTGAAAGTAAAACCAAAAAGCTAGTTGTATTTTAAAAGCAACAGTGCCAAACAACATGGGACTCATCAATGTTTCCCTTTTACCATGTTTCTTTAAATTCAGCTATAAAAACCTGAAATTGATTACCTGTAACTCACTGAAAGTATCAAATTTTTTTTTTCTTTTTTCTTTTTTGTTTGAGACAGGGTCTGGCTCTGTCAACCAGGCTGCAGTGTAATGGTGTGATCACAGCTCACTGCAGCCTTGACCTCCTGGGCTCAAGTGATCCTTCCACCTCAGCCTCTTGAGTAGCTGGGACTAAAGGCACATACCACCTCACCCAGCTATGTTGTTTTTTTTTTTTTTTCCACTTTTTTAGGCCATGTTTAGAAAAATAGAAAAGTTTAGAAAAAGAAGCAAAAGAAAAAATAATCTCTTTATGCAGCTGAAATACTACTTTTCTAACTGTCACATTTCTTATTCATGATAGCCATTTCAGTATGGTTAGTGATGGTAAAGGAATAACTATTGGCACTGTTGGTTTAGTTAGGGCAAAAAGGAAATAGAAAAAGTAAACCCAAATACTTTTAATAACCTTTTCCTTTTCAGAGCACCATGGAGAAAGTGGGATGGAGGAGTAGGAGCTGGGACTACAATTCATGACCTTGACATCAGATCTGCTGAGAAGCTGTCTCTCTGGTTTGAGTAGTATATAGTTAACTAATCCCCAAAATATGACTTTTAAAACCCACACTGTGATTACCCTGTATAATTAATAAGCACCACAGAGTTATGAGTAATAGACAAAGAGCTTCTTTGGTGAGGTCTCAGCCTGAGAACAGTTGTTTGGCTGTCTGCTTTCTCCTGTAGTACTTCATAGTAATTCCATAATCACTTGCATAGTAATTACAAGTTGTATAATACAGACGGCTTTGCCTGTAAAGGAAAAGGATCTGTGGAATAACCTCAAGAAGACTCCTTGTCAGAGAGCGATTCTCTTAAGTACATTCTAATATGGGGTCAAATATAGGAAAGGTGAATTCAAAGTCTATATTTATTATATCAAACACTGGACTGGAACATGGGAGACAGAACATGGTATTTTTCAATCAACTTAATGATTCAGTCAGGTGAACTATATGGATTACAGGTTTAACAGTATAAATAATAAAAAAACCCCAAAACAGATATTAAGATTTGAAGAATGAAGAGATTTAATGGGGGTGTGTAATGATGATCTATTCCTGCATACCAATCACCCCCAAAGTAGGCAGCCTAAATAATAAACATTAAAAAAAAATCTCACAGTTTTGGAGGGTCAGGAATCTGGGAGGGGCTTAGCTGGGTGGTTCTGGCTCAGGGTCTCATGAGGTTGCAATCAAACTGTTGGTCAGGGCTGTAGTCATCTGAAGCCATGACTGGGACTGATGGACCCACTTCCATGCTTACTTACTCACATGACTGTTGGCGTAGGCCTTGGCTCCTTACAAGTGCCAGCTTCCCACACAGCAAGTGACCCTCAGCCCCATAAAAGAGACAGAGACCAAGATGGAAGTCCCAATGTCTTTTATAACCTAATCTTGGAAGTGACACACCATCATTTCTGATGTATTCTATCAGTCACACAGACCAACTCTGGTAAATTTGGGGGCAGACTACCCAAGGGTGTGAATATCATGGGGTAGAGATCACTGGGAGCCATCTTGGAGGCTGGCTACAAGGTCAATGACTAGATGTGCTACCACTATCATTTATATCTCGGGTCAAAATTTAAAGACCAAACACCTATATTCAAAACTATCAAAGCTGAGTTGTAATATATTAATGATATTTCAGTTATTTTATAAGAAATTTTAAATGATATTAGAGTTTGGAGGGGGTTTAGTAATAAAAATAAAGTAAATTCAATTTTATTATTTTTAATTCAATAACAACACACACATTAACTGAACAGAAATTCCTACATTGTCAGAAAACATGATGGTCTTTAATTTCAGACAGCAGAAAAATAACTGGCTGGTTAGACAGATTCAATAACAGAGGGTATTATCACAGCAGCCAGAGCACACTAGTCATCTATTACTCATTTATTTTTACTATCACAGGCTGAATGAAACACACCACTACTGAAAGCTTAAAATCAAATCACATAATCTTCTTAGAGTCGGCCATACTTGCTCTCCAAAAGTTTCAGCTGTGTTATTCCTAACTTCAAAAGGAAATATGAAGTAGTCACCTCCTCTCCACTTCCCAGTACAGTGTGTGTGTATATTCCAATCTTAAAGTAGGAAATCAATTTCTTTTTATTCTTTGGCACCAACATGAAAAATCGTTCAAAATCCAATGGTGAAGAATTAAGGCTCATTTAATTGGAAGTTTATATTCAACTATAAGGTTTTATTTTCAAGACTCAGGCTGGTACCATAACTGGATTAGGATGTATTTTTGCCACTAAAGAGACAATTCTGAAGTGATATTTTAAAAAGTAATCAGCAATGTGAACATCATAGGTCTTCAAAGAAATCTGAATACTTCATGCCAGGGACCAGAACAACAATATGATTCCAAGTATTTGGTTAATGCTACCAAAAGCATGTTAAAAGGAATCATTATCACATGCACACTGAATCTATTTACTGTCAAGTAATTCACACTATAGATAAACTATAAGTAGTTTATAGCAACCTGAGCAACTGGAAATAAAGCAAACATTCTGGATAAAGATGACAACAATAAGAAAACCCTTGTTCTGGAAGTTCCTTTATAATTGCTGAACAAGAACTAGATTTTAATGTTTGATACTAATAAAAGAGCTGATTTAGCCTCATTTAAATTAAACTTTATTTTTTGGAAAATAGTACAAAAATTAAACATGACAGTAAAGAGAGAAAATTGTCATGATTTAAAAATATTTCAGGCCAGGTGCAGTGGCTCACAGCTATAATACCAGCACTTTGGGAGGCCAAGGCAGGCAGATCACTTGAGGTCAGGAGTTCAAGAACAGCCTGGCCAATGTGGTGCAACCCCATCTCTACTGAAAATACAAAAATTAGCCAGGTGTGGTGACTCACACCTGTAATCCCAGCACTTTGGGAGGCCAAGGTGGGCAGATGACTTCAGGTGAGGAGTTCAAGACCAGCCTGGCCAACATGGTGAAACCCCATTTCTACTAAAAATACAAAAATTAGCTGGGCATGGTGGCACACGCCTGTAATCCCAGATACTCAGGAGGCTGAGGCACGAGAATCACTTGAACCTGGGAGGGAAAGGTTGCAGTGAGCCAAGATCGCACCACTGCACTCCAGCCTCGGTGATAGAGTGAGACTCTGTCTCAAAAATATTTTAACTAACTGTGAAATAGAATGAACTTCAAATATTCCCTCTGGAGTCAACCTGCAACCATAAATATTTATAAAAGCAATTATTTACATAAGGACAGATGACCATTTATTATTATTTGACTACAGTGTACTAAATTCTATTCAAGACTAAAAATAGTTTAGTATAAATAGGTATAAGTGTGGCACTTCTAGCCCCCAGGCTGCTTGCTGATAGCATAAGAATATGAGTAAACAGGCTGGGCGCAGTGGCTCATGTCTGTAATACCAGCACTTTGAGAGGCCGAGGCAGGTGATCACCTGAGGTCAGAAGTTCGAGAGCAGCCTGGCCAACATGGCGAAACCCCGTCTCTACTAAAAATACAAAAATTAGCTGGGTGTGGTGGTGGGCGCCTGTAATCCCAGCTACTTGGGAGGCTGAGGCAGGAGAATTGCTTGAACATGGGAGGCGGAGGTTATAGTGAGCTGAGATTGCTCCACTGCACTCCAGCCTGGGCGACAGAGCGAGACTCTCTTAAAAGAAAAAAAAAAAGAATATGAGTAACAGAATAATGTAGCTGTTTCAACATTCAAATTCCAGAGTCCTGTGAAATGTTCTAATGAAACTGAAATCAAATGTGTTGAGATTTTTTTTTCTTTTTGTTCTTACTTGTTCAGTGTAGGTAGGTGGTTGAAACAAATTATATGTACATTCTGGACTGAGTCCACAAGAATAACTTTTTGAGGTGGGGAAGAAAATGTGTTTAGGAATTCAACAAGTACTGAACAGATTAATGAACTGATAAAGGGAGAATGCTCTGAATATAAATTAAGAATTTTAAAGTATAATTTAAAAATAATTTATTTTTGGCCGAGGCGGGAAGATCACCTGAAGTCAGGAGTTTGAGACCAGTCTGGCCAACATGGTGAAACTCTGTTTCTACTAAAAATATAAAAATTAGCCAGGCATGGCGGCACATGCCTGTAGTCCCCACTTGGGAGGCTGAGGCAGGAGAATTGCTTGAACCTGGGAGGCAGAGGCTGCAGTGAGCCGAGATCGCGCCACTGCACTCCAGCCTGGGTGACAGAGTGAGACACTGTCTCAAAACAAAACAAAACAAAAAACAAAAAACATTATTTTTTAGAGCACTTTTGGGTTCACTGCAAAATGCAGCAGCAGGTACAGAGATCTCTCATATATCCCCTGCCCCACACAGGCACAGCCGCCCCCATTATCAGTATCATCACCAAAGTGGTACATTTGTTCCAGTTGAAGAAAGTATTATTTTAAATGATACATTAGATCCTAATCTCTTTTTTCGGGAGACCGTACATTTCTGAAAATACAATGGGAAGATGCATACCTTATACCATATACAAAAATAAAAATGCATCACAGACCTAAAGAGAAAACTGCAATAGGGAAAAGCATATGAAGAAGTGCCTAAGTCATTAGGGATCAGGGAGGTGTAAGTTAAAAAAATAAAAAGATACCACTATACAGCCACTAGAATGGCTAATATGACAGACTGACAACATCAAATGTTGGAAGGAATGTAGAGTAAGTAGAACACTCACACATTGCTAGTGAGAGTATAAAACAGTACAGTTACTTTGGAAACTGATCTGGAAATTTCTCATAAAGTTAGACAAATCCTACCTGTAATTCTACTTGTAAGTATTAAATATTAATCCAAAAGATATGAAAACACATTTCTACAAGAGTTTTATACAATAAAGCTGCTATAGCAGCTTTATTCGTAATAGCCCCAAACTAGAAATAATCAGATATCAATCAACAGGAGAATAAACAGAATGTGGTGCATTTATAAAATGGAATACTAGACAGCAATAAAAAGGAACAAAGTGCTGATACATACAGTGACACTGATGAACCTGAACATCATACTGAACAAAAAAAAGAGGCCAGGCATAAAAGAGTATGTTCTGTGTGACTTTGTTTAGATGAAGTTGTGGAATAAACAAAACCGAACTATGGTGAACAAAAAATCAGAAGAGTGGTTTCCTCTGGGGACAGGGGGATGATTGACTGGGAAGGGGCACAAGATCCTGGTGTGATAAGAATGTTCTGTGTCTTGATAGGAGTGTGGGTTATGTGGATGTGTGCATCTGTAAAAACACATTGAATTGAAATGTTTAAGATCTGTGCATTTCACTATATCCAAATTATACCTCCAGTTAAACAATGTAAAATGTAAATATATATAATAAAAGTTATAAGGAAACAAGTTATATGTAGTATATGTTTTACATACAGTATTTCCAAAACAGATAGGAAGGTCAAATCAAAGTATTTTTAACAATGACAGCAAAAACAACAGAGACGTTAACACTCGAGCGTTTATTGCCTGCGAAACAGTGTGCTTTTTACATATCTAATCTATTCCTAACAGCATTCCTCATGAAGTAAACATCACTATTATCTTCATTTTATAGAAAAACTGAATATCAAACACGTGACTTTCCCAAGGTCACAAAGCTAATTAAGTAGTGAAGAACAATAAGTGTTATATATAGTTAAGTGCTGACTATGTTAGCTGATTGAGTAATACAGAAATACATCCCCAGGACTTTGTAGGAATGAATTTCAATTTAGTAGGTCTTGATCAGTAACTTAAAAATGAAACAAAACAGAATAAAAAACACTGCAGAGCACTGAATGTTAGAAGATGCATTTTGAGGAACTTTACTTCTAGCATAAGAATATAGGTGTGTACCCTGGGTCACAATGCAAAGTCTACTTTTTAATATGTGTTACTGTCCAAAAAGTTTGAGAAACACTAGAATGGAATGAAGAATGCAAGAAATCTGAATCCTGAATCTATCATTTTAAACAATTTAAGCTATGATAAACATGCAAATTCTAACAGAAATGATAAGTAATCGGTATTATTGTTTATTTTAAACTAACTAATGTTATAAAGTCGATAAACCAGGAGAGGTTTGGTCTAACATCAAATATACAAAATGTAACAAAAAATAAACAACACAACACATCTCTGTGTTATCAGGGTTAAACAACCAAAATACTATTGGAGAAATCTGGGAAAGTTTTCTGGACTTGTGCATGATTTGCAGGGCCCAGGCTCTGAATGGTTTGAATACTTAATGTTTGCTGGGTACTGTGTATTATAAGCAACGTGAGTAATGACATGGGAACAGAGATGTGACTATGTAAGATGTAGTCCACTGCCCTCAAGGAGCTTAAAATTTGCTAGACAAGTATAAGGCCTAACATCAGCAATGAACAAATAGCCTCTCTGTTTAAATGTTTTCTAAACAATATCATTAATGTTTAGAGGAACACCAAGTACAATTTATTTGAGATTGGAATTTTCTAAGACTTAGACTTTACATTCACAAGGAATAGGAAGGAAAAGGCCAACCCTGGAAGTGGGTGGGTTCTGGCAGATAAATGGAGCAATCGGCAATCTAATGAATTACAGGAAACACCATGAGGTTGGCAGGGTTCGGGTAGGGGGCCCACACAACCCAAAACTGTCTCTGAAGTATTACACAGTGAAACCCAGCCTACAGACTATAGCTGTGTGTGATACTTAAAGTTAACCCTATGAACTTGAAAAACCTTTATTGGAGATGTGCTGGGCTCTTTCACTCACCATTAACAGACAGTGCCGAAAACTTCAAGGTTAATATATTTTAAAAGAGCTCAGTAAACAAGATGTGAAAGGATATCTTCATTTCCTCTAGTTAAGGTATTCTATGGGAGAGAGATCTGAAGCTGCGTAACTGTGAGATGGGTCTTAACTCTAAAAATTTATTTGAAGCAAGTTTCTTAAATTATAAACAGACTGATATTACACAGAAACATGCCAAGAAACAAGCTGCTCAAAAGTGAGGTCCTGGGAAGAGGGCCTTATCTTGGTTAAGAAGTAGAAACTATTCATATTTAGAAGTTATCAAGTAACAGGAATAAGAAATTTGTGGGGGAAGTGGAGGTGGGGTGTGAAAAGAGACAGGGCAGAATGAAAAAGGGGACAGTAATACTTTAAGACCCCTACCATGGTGAGAGCAGGATGCCAGGGCAGGCAAACAGAAGCAAGGACAGTGTAATCATACATCCTAATGACAGAAGGTGGAATAGAATATCTAAGTAACATATTAAGATAAAGAACAAGCCCTATGTCACAAGTCGGCAGATGGAAAGGCAGCAATTTCGGCTGTCACTGTAGCCTTACGTAGAAAGAAGTAGCTAGCTAGTTATTCGGTTTCAACCAGCAGTCAAATAGATAGATTGGGACTCAAATTAAGGAAGGATCATTCTTCTCTAGAGAACAAAATGGGGAGAGAGTAAAAACGTCAAGACTAAAAAGTAAAAGGTGGGCTATCATTGCATTGCAGGGTGTTTAGTGATAATTTTGAATACAACCTGGCAATGGTCATCACTGCAGTAAGGCACAAATATATGGTGAAATTGTGCATGCTAAAGGTGACCACTGCAACTGTTAGGTCCAAGTAATCCCAACCTAAGACTGCCTTTATCTTCTGTTCATAACAGAAGTATACAACAAACCCACAGCCAACATCATACTGAATATGCAAAAGCTGGAAGCATTCCCCTTGAAAGCTGGCAAAAGGTAAGGATGCCCTCTCTCACCACTCCTATTGGAAGTCCTGGCCAGGGCAATCAGGCAAGAGAAATAAATAAAGGGCATCCAAATAAGAAAAGAGGAAGTCAAACTATTCCTGTTTGCAGATGACATGATTCTATATCTAGAATAGATATAGAAATATAGAATACAGAAAAACCCCATGGTCTCAGCCCAAAAATTCCTTCAGCTGATAAACAACTTTAGCAAAGTCTAGGATACAAAATCAACATACAAAAATCACTAGCATTCCTACACACCTACAACAGCCAGGCTGAGAGCCAAATCAGGAACGCAATCCCATTCACAGTCGCCACACATAGAATAAAATAGCTAGGAATACAACTAACCAGGGAGGTGAAAGATCTCTACAATGAGAATTACAAAACACTGCTCAAAAAAATCAGAGATGACACAAACAAATGGAAAAACACTCCATGCTCATGAACTAGTAGAATCAATATCATTAAAATGTCCTTACACCACATACAAAAATTAACTCAAGATGGATTACAGACTTAAATGTAAAACCCAAAAACTATAAAAACCCTGGAAGACAACCTAGACAATACCATTCTGGACACGGGAACTGGCAAAGATTTCATGACAAAGACACCAAATGCAATTGCAACAGAAGCAAAAATTGATAAATGGGATCTAATTACTTAAGGGCTTCTGCACAGCAAAAGAAACTATCAACAGAGTAAACAGACAACGTACAGAATGAGAGAAAATATTTGCAAACTATGCATCTGACAAACGTCTAATATCCAGCATCTATAAGGAAGGAACTCGGCCGGGTATGGTGGCTCACACCTGCAATCCCAGGACTTTGGGAGGCTGAGGCAGGCGGATCACAAGCTCAGGAGATCGAGACCATCCTGGCTAACATGGTAAAACCCTGTCTCTACTAAAAATACAAAAAATTAGCTGGGTGTGCTGGTGGGCACCTGTAGTCCCAGCTACTTGGGAGGCTGAGGCAGGAGAATCACTTGAACCCAGGAGGCAGAGGTTGCAGTGAGCCAAGATGGCACCACTGCACTCCAGCCTGGGTGACAGAGTGAGACTCCGTCTCAAAACAAAAACAAACAAAAAAAAACAAAGGAACTCAAACAACTTTACAAGAAAAAAAACCAAGCAATTCTATTAAAAAGTGGGCAAAGGACATGAATAGACACTTTTCAACAGAAAACATACATGTGGCCAACAAGCATATTTTAAAATGCTCAATATCACTGATCATTAGAGAAATGCAAATCAAAACCACAATGAGATACCATCTCATACCAGTCAGAATGGCTATTATTAAAAAGTCAAAAAATAACAAATGTTGGTGAGGTTGCTGAGAAAAGGGAACACTTATACACTATTAGTGGGAGTGTAAACTGGTTCAACCATTGTGGAAAGTAGTCTGGCAATTCCTCAAAGACCTAAAAACAGAACTACCAGTAATCCCATTACTCAATATATACCCAAAGGAATATAAGTCATTCTACCATAAAGACATGCACGTGAATATCCACTGCAGCACTATTCTCAATAGCAAAGACACAATCAACCTAAGTGCCTACAGTGGTAGACTGAATAAAGAAAATGTGGTACATATACACCATGGAATACTACACAGCCATAAAAAAGAATGAGATCATGTCCTTTGCAGAAACATGGTTGGAGCTAGAAGCCATCATCCTTACCAAATGCAGGAACCAAATACCACACGTTCTCACTTATAAGCTGGAGCTAAATGATAAGAACACATGGACATCAAGAGAGGAACGACAGACACTGGGGACTATTTGACAGTGGAGGGTGGGATGAGGGAGAAGACCAGAAAAAATAACTACAGGGTACTAGGGGTGATGAAATAATCTGTACAACAACCCCCCATGACATTAGTTTACCTACATAATAAACCTGCATATGTACCCCTGAACTTAAAATAAAAGTTAAAAAAAAAAAAGTGTACTAAAGGGAGCCAGGCACAGTGGCTCGTGCCTATAATTCCAGCTACTTGGCAGGCTGAAGGAGATCACTTGAGGCCAGACGTGTGAGACCAGCCTGGGCAACACAGTGAGACCTGTCTCTAAGAAAAAAAAGAAGTGTGCTAAAGAGGATTGGGATATGGATGGATAAGAAGAACAGGAGTGATCTTTGGTGACATGAGCTCTTCTTTTCATTCTGAAGGATGGCAACACCATATGGAAACTTTAAATGTCACCAGATTAGAATAACCAAGACCCTCTTTTCCATTTTAATCCCATAAGGAATAGGAAAACTGGCTCTATTCTAGGCCTCTAAGACTCTGTTTTGGCACCTTCCTCCTTTAATGATTTCTAGGTCTGGGGTGAAGATGTCAGTCATTTGTCCTATGACAGATATTCACAGAAAAGGATGGACAAGAGCCTGAAAAAGACATTTTAAAGGTTAAAGAACTCAAAGTTACCACTTTGGAAAGTAAACAGACAAAGGGGGATGATAAAGATTTTGTGAAAGCCAAACAAACAAACAAACAAACAAGCAACAATAAAACAGGACAAAAAAAAAAGCAAATCTCAAAAAAAAAAAAAAAATCACAGGAGAAATGGAGGATCAGTCGATACATTCTAAAAGATAGAGAATCTGTGTAATTTAGACAGATGACCATAAAGGTTCTTAGCTAAAAAGTCTGGGAAATAATATTTTTGTATGTATCCAGATGAAGAAAGACAAGCTAATTTTTTTCATACTGAACTATTTTATCTGATACTGAAAGTTCCCCTTACTGACCAGTCAGGGAATGCAGATAATCACACCCCAATTTGATAGGAAAGGATACCAAGATTAAATGTCAGTTGAAAATTAAGAAGTAATAGGAAATAATTTCCAAACGATTTTTTCTTTAGATGAATACAAAATAGTGAGCAAAAGTACATATTCCAATTATGTGGTATCCTTCACTACCAATAAAGAACGAACACAATGCAATGATTTCCTGCCTGAAGAACAAATTGTTCCTTCTTAGTACGGGGTAAGATGTAAATAATGTCACTGAATGGAAATTATCAACAACAGTAAAAGTTATGAAATTATATTACTAAAGTTAAGTTTCTTTTCTGAGAAATATGAATTAATAATTAGCAATCTATTTTGAGCCTTGAATACATTCAAGGTAGACTTACAGGGCCTGAAATCATTCTCCTGTATGACAAATACTTATGAAGTACTTACTTGGGTCCAGATACCTGGGATATAGTGGTAAATAAGATTAAGGACCTGCCCCCTGAGGAGCTTACATTTAGTGAAAAAAATAATAATAATAAACATAAAGAAAGTAAACAAATCCCTATAATCTGTGATGCTTATCAGCACAAATATATAAATTCTCCTATTATCACTAATCTAGCGTAGACAACAGAAAAAGAGAAACCATGTTACGTATGATTCAATTCTATGAACATTTATTGGGTACACTTCTTTTTTTTTTTTTTTTTTTTTGAGACAGAGTCTTGCTCTGCTGCCCAGGCTGGAGTGCAATGGTGTGATCTCGGCTTGCTACAATCTCTGCCTCCTGGGTTCAAGTGATTCTCCTGCCTCAGCCTCCAGAGTAGCTGGGATTACAGGTGCGTGCCACCATGTGTGGCTAATTTTTATATTTTTAGTAGAGATGGGGTTTTGCCATGTTGGCCAAGCTAGTCTCGAACTCCTGACCTCAGATGATCCACCCGCCTCGGCCTCCCAAAGTGCTGGGATTACCAGCATGAGCCACTGCACCCAGCCTGGACATACTTTTTATGTGAAGGGTTCTATGTGTGAAGAAGAAGGAAAGGAAAACAGTATTCCAAACAAGGGAACAGTTCAAGCAAGGTTATGGAAGAATGGAAATGCGTAATTTGGCTACAGAGGTCAGATTTATAGCTAGTAGACTGGCAGGAAATGAGACTGGGTTCCAGCCAGTCTGTAAATGTCTTGAATGTAATGTCTTTAAGCTTAATTTTTTAGGCAGCAAGGAGTCACAAGAAGTTTTTAAAGAGAAAAACAAGATCAACTTGATACTAATGATGGTTAGGTTACAAATCTAGGATATAAGATGAGTAGCAGAGTGTCAGGTAGGAGGCTAGATCCAGAGACCATTTGGATCTAAAGTCAAAATATAAGAGGGAGAGAAAAACCACATTTAAGGGGTACTCTGGAGAAGAGCCAACAGGTTTTAGCACCTGATTAGACACAAAGAGGGAAGACACACAGATACTTTGAAGTATTTAGGTTGGGTGAGTGGATGGTTGGTGATGCCATTAACCAAAACAGAGAACAAAGGCAGAACACACAGGCTTTTAGGGAAGGATGCTGAGACTGTGATACGGGATATTTAGGTGCACAAGTCAAAAAGGCACTTGGATATATGGGTCTAGGTATAAGAGAATAACAAATCTGGGTGTTAACAACCCATAGAAACCAATAAAACTGATGAAATCACCCACTGAGGAAGAGAGTAAATAGGTTACGATGTGACAGGGCTAAGAACAAAGTATCAGGAAATATCTTTTTATGTATTATTCATTCAGCTAACATATTCTATGTACCACTGTGCAATGCTAGGTGTAGACACGAAGTCACACAGGAGGCCAGGCATGGTGGCCTTTGGGAGGCCAAGGCGGAAAGACTGCCTGAGCCCAGGAGTTCGGGACTAGCCTGGGCAACATGGCAAGACCCCGTCTCTTTAAAAAAAAAAAAAGCCACAAAGGAGACTCAGTAAAATAAGTGTATATTATGGAGTATGACACAGCAGATAGAAGCAACAGATCATGTGCAGTCATGGCAACATGATGGACTGCAAAGGCATAGTAATTATAAAAAGTAAGAAACAGAACAAGCTAGATAGCACAATGCCATTTATGCAAATTGATACACACAAGGCAATACATTTTACAAGAATATATACAAATAAAAAATGTATTAAGAATAGTTGCTTATGGAGACCAAGAAGGGAATGGGAGGAGAAACTGAGGATACAGGGAATTTTATTATTATTATGTTGGTTTGTTTTTTGAGATGGAGTCTTGCTCTGTCGCCCGAGCTGCAGTGCAGTGGCACAATCTTGGCTCACTGCAACCTGTGCCTCCCGGGTTTAAGCCATTCTCCTGCCTCAGCCTCCTGAGTAGTGGGATTACAGGCATGCACCATTGTGCCTGGTTAATTGTTGTATTTTAGTAGAGACAGGGTTTTGCCATTTTGGCCAGGCTGGTCTCAAACTCCTGACCTCAAGTAATCCACCCACCTTGGCCTCCCAAAGTGCTGGGATTACAGGCGTCAGCCACCGCGCCCAGCCACGGGGAATTTTAAAACAAAACGCACGCATGCACGCACATACACACACACACACACCCCCACACAAAAATGAATAATAACATTTTGGCTTCTACCCTTTAGGATCCTAAAAGGCTATAGGGCAAGAGACAATGCTATTTCAATACAGTTATGAAAAGTGCTATAGTAGATTTTGAACAGTATGTGATGGGAGCTACAGGAAGGGACATTTTATCTAGTCACAGAAGATATCAGATTTAAGAGGAATATGGAAGAAAAAAACACAAAGGAGTCTGAGAAGGACCAGGACAAGAATATCACAGAAGCCAAGGAAAGAAGTTTAACAAGGAGGATGGTCAACACGGTTGAATGCTGAGTTAGGTCATCTAATTAAAGAGGCCATTAGCGGTTACTTTTAACTTCAAAACGTAAAATTTCATTAGAGTAGTAGAAACAAAAGGCAAATGAGTAATGAGGAATGAGAAATATTTAATTAAATATTTCAGTGTAAAGAGAGAAAGAGAACTAGGGTGGTAACTTAGAAGGATGGCAAGATTGAGAAGGTTTTTTTTTTTTTTTTAAATATAGAATGGAAAGTTTCAAACAGGCTTTAGCCAAAAATAAGTAGTAGTATTAAAAGAAGAAACTGGGGCACTAAGCGAGAAGGCAAGGTGTAACTGATGGAGTATGGTCATGAAGAAACAGGGTAAAGATAAGATCAAGAGTACAAGTGGCATTACTCTTAGAATAGGGTGGTATAAGAAAAGAAGAATGTCTTATTAAATGGATGAAAAAAATCTCTAGACATTTCCAATCAGTAAGAAGAGAGACTTAATAATAATACAATAATATGCTCATTTCTACCAATGAATCCAGTTTCCTTGACATCCCATTGTGCATATTATATTTCTTACAAAATTTTTATTTTAATTCCATCATCAGTAAGTATTTTCTCATAAAAATTCAAACTATAGGCCCGGCGCGGTGGCTCACGCCTGTAATCCCAGCACTTTGGGAGGCCAAGGCAGGCGGATCATGAAGTCAGGAGATCGAGACCACGGTGAAACCCTGTCTCTACTAAAAATACAAAAAATTAGCTGGGTGTGGTGGCGGGCGCCTGTAGTCCCAGCTACTCGGGAGGCTGAGGCAGGAAAATGGTGTGAACCCGGGAGGCAGAACTTGCAGTGAGCTGAGATCATGCCACTGCACTCCAGCCTGGGTGAAAGAGTGAGACTCTGTCTCAAAAAAAAAAAAAAAAAAAAAAAAATCAAAATATATAGATAAAGCTGAAACTCTTCCTGACCGTAACCCCCTTTCACTTTCCTCCCTAAAAGTTCTTAGTATGTTAGGTATCCTTCCAGACCATTTCTTTTTCTAATTTAAGTTTTTTATTTTTTGTAGAGACAGGGTCTTGCTTTGTTTCCCAGGCTGGTCTCAAACTTCTGGCCTCAAGTGATCCTGTGTGCCCAGCCTCCATTTCCAAGAATATATATACATTTGCATGTGTGTGGTGTCTGTGTGTATAAAACCTAATTACATAGATATTATTATTGTGTAAAACTGTTTTGCAATTTGTTTTCACTGTCTGAGAGATCTGTCAGTACATAGCTTTCTTTCTCATTAAAAAAAGTATATAATATTCCATACTAAGGATGCACCAGTTTATGCAGCCATTGATGGAACTTAGTGATGAACATTTATGTTGTTTACAGTTTCCAATACTGTATTAAACAATGCTTCAATAAGCTAACTTGTGCATATGTGAGAGAACTGTTTTGTAGAATAGTTATATTACTATGCTTTTCTAACAAAACAATTTCACATAATAAAACTCCCAGTTCATTCTATAAATGCCTCCTTTCCATAAATATTTTCAGCAAACATACAAGATGGTTTTCTCCTATCTTCCAAATTATTCTTACAACTGGCTAAACTGGAATACTAAATGATATGTTTTAGTTTTAGAAGCAACCTCTTTGTCTTCCTTTGCTTCTCTTCTCTTTATGGGGACAACTAGAAATAACCCCTGATTAATCTCAAATCACAAGGCTAACACATGCAAGGAAGACACAATAAGAGGAAGTCAAAATAGGAATAAGCTATTTCCCTTTTTTATTTGTTTTAGTTACAGGCTGAATAAATGCAATGAAATTCCTCACTGCTGTAATCTTTTCTGAAGCCCCTCCGTAACTGCTGGAAAACTGTATGTTCTCTAAATAGGTACTGTTTTATAAACTGAATTTCCCCTTTCTTGAAAAATATTAAAACTACAACAACAAAACAAAACACAGAACCCACAGGAAGACATCAGTCAAACGAGAAATTTGCTTATTCTTCTGGCATCTTCATTCTTAAACCCCTAAATGCCACAATTTGTAATATGAATGATGACATGATAAAAAGTTATACAGCAAACAGCTGATGCCAGACAATAATTTTTAAGAGCTAGCTGGCCGGGAACAGTGGCTCATGCCTGTAATCCCAGCACTTTGGGAGGCAGAGGCAGGCAGATCACGAGGTCAAGAGATGGAGATAATCCTGGCCAACATGGTGAAACATGTATTTTAGTCTCTACTAACATGTATTTTAGTCTCTACTAAAAATACAAAAAAATTAGCTGGACAAGGTGGCACGCACCTGTAGTCCCAGCTATTCGGGAGGCTGAGGCGGGAGAATCACTTGAACCCAGGAGGAAGGGGTTGCAGTGAGCCGAGATCACGTCACTGCACTCCAAGCCTGGGCAACAGAGTCAGACTCTGTCTCAAAAAAAAAAAAAAAAAAAAAAAAGCTAGCTATGGCCTGGTGCGGTGGCTCACGCCTGTAATCCCAGCACTCTGGAAGGCCGAGGCGGGTGGATCACTTGAGGTCAGGAGTTCGAGACCAGCCTGGGCAAAATGGCGAAACCCCATCTCTACAAAAAAGTACAACCACAACAAATTAGATAGGTGGGTGTCGTGGTGCAAGCCTATAGTCCCAGCTACTTAAGAGGCTGAGGTGGGAAGATCACTTGAGCCCAGGAGGCGGAGGTTGCAGTGAGCTGAGATCATGCCACTGCACTCCAGCATGGGCGACAGAGTGAGACCCTGTCTCAAAAATGAAAGAGAAAAGACAAGAAAAGAAAAGAAAAGAAAAGAAAAGAAAAGAAAAGAAAAGAAAAGAAAAGAAAGAAAAGAGCTAGCTTTTATATATGGGGTTTGATGTTTTTCTGAATGGAGCAAAGACATTTAATCGCTTAAGAATGCAGTCCTTTTTTAAATAAATAGCCAATTTATGAACAACTAACACATATGAATAGCCTGTCCTGTACCTTTTGGCCCTTTTCTGCTAGAGTACTCTACCACTGAATCTGGCACTTCCCTCTTACTAATTTCATGCTCTTCCTAGAACAGATTATTAGAAGAGTTCCTACTATTCTCAAGAGAACCAAGCTAAAAGGAAGGAAGAGGCTTTGTGAGATGTATTTCTGGCTTCACCAGTGGCAACTTAATACTGCCTTTTTTTAAGAATTTAGTACAGTGCTCTGTGACTTTCTTTCTTTATTATATATAAAGATCTTTCATTTTATTAGTTTCACAGTATTTTATTCTACAATCATACCATAATTTACTTGACCAGAACCCTAATAAGAGACACTAAATTGTTTCTAGCATTTTGTTTCTATGAATTATGCTGCAATGGGTATCTTTACACATATACTTCATTGTGTAAAGATTAGCTCTAAGAACATTTGTATTGTAAAGGCCTAAGGACATCTGTAGCAGAAATTTCTAGAAGTGAAATTTCTTCTAGATACATGCATTTTTTTAAGAAAGAGGTAAGGTCTTGCTATATTGCCCAGGCTGGAGTACAATAGCTATTCACAGGCAAAATCATTTTGCATTAGAGCTTGGAACTTCTGACCTCAAGTGATCCTCCTGCTTCAGCCTCCCAAGTAGCTGGGACTATAGGCAAGTGCCACCATGCCTGGCTCTGCATTTTTAAATTTGATAGATATTGCCAAACTCTCCTTAACCAGTTGAGGACAACAATATAGGAGAGTGCCAGTTTCTCCTCACCTTTACAGGTACAGTTTTTAATGAAACACATTTTATCTCTTATGGTCAGATCCCATAGTTCATTTAGCTGAGCACAGTTAATCTGAAAATAATATGTTAAATTACAAGAGATGAGCTCCAGGATCTGCATGTAAAATATCAACTTCACAAGGGTACAGAGAATTCAACAACATATCACACATAGAAACACTCTGAAAACCATAGAGGGCTATATACAATGCTAGTTCTTGTTAAAGGAATAAACTTTGGGAATAGCTTCTGATTCCATAGCTTAGCAAAATTCTTTTAGAATTTTATAAGAAACATACCTAAATAAATCTTATTTCCAGTCTCAGGATCTGGCAAGATGAAACAAAGTGAAATCTTGCCACTATAAAACAAATTAAGAAATTAAAGGAAGTGCTTTAGACTAATGTTTTTCAAACTTTGGATCACAGCTCATTAGTGGATCATAAAACTAGTCTAGTGGGGTCATAATCAGCATTTAAAGAAAAATGAAGTATAACAGAAAATATTACAGTACAGTATGGTATAGTATAAATATTATAGTATAGTAAAACACAAAGTAAATTCTAGTGAAATTTTGGTTTTAGTTAATATACGTATATGGGTGTGTATATGTATCCTGGATTGTGGTGAAATGTGAAATTTATTTCAAAAATGTTTAAAAGACAACTCTTTAGACTGTGGTATGATAAAAAGGTCTTTATTCAAGTCTTCTTTTTTCTTCCCCCAAACTCTGCAATCTTTTTACTGGATAGTCTGGAAATTTAGGTTGGTTTTTTAGGCAGATTCAGTTGAGTTATTTCAGGTGGGTTGGAAAGAAATAATATTAACTTAATATCAGGAACAACCAAAAAAGAAGAATTTAACTGTAGGTCTGATTAGCTCTAATTTATTTTCCTACAAAGTGAATAATAGAAGGCTAAAGTATCTTCTTTGGGCAAGAATGTTAATAAACTGAGAGTTGAGAAAAAAATGTGTTGTACAAGATTATTGTTACTTAAAAAAATCAACATTTCTGAAATAAAAGTAACTAAGATATAAAGCAGAAGTTCTGAAGAAAAAATTAAAATATGCATATGATTCTACTACCTAGGGCCAACCACTATTAACACTCAAACTACAAATTTCAATGTATTTGCTTGAGTCTTTTATGTGTGTGTATGTGTGTGAGTGTGTGTGTGTGGATACATATATATATAAATGCTTATAATTGAGATTAAAGGATATATTTAATTTTGTCCTAGGAACACTACTATGTCATTAAACGTTCTTCATATGCATCTTATTTTAAAATGGCTTCATAATGTTCCATCATGTGGATATACCACCCAATTCATGTAGCTATTAATAAAGGATTTACTGTTTTTTTTTTTTTTTGAGACAGAGTCTTGCTCTGTCCCCCAGGCTGGGGTGCAGTGGCGCGATCTCGGCTCACTGCAACCTCTGCCTCCTGGGTTCAAGGGATTCTCCTGCCTCAGCCTCCCAAGTAGCTGGGACTACAGGTGCATGCCACCATGTCTGGCTAATTTTTTTGTATTTTTAATAGAGACGGGGTTTCACCGTGTCAGCCAGGATGGTCTCGATCTCCTGACCTCGTGATCCACTTGCCTCGGCCTCCCAAAGTGCTGGGATTATAGGCATGAGCCACCACACCCAGCAGGATTTACTTTTTCTGAAGACTTAATTGCTAGATCAAAATAACTATGTTATCATGGGTTGTCTGAGGGGTAATTGGAAGTTAACTTATACAAAATGTTTCGTAAATGGATTTTTATGTAAAATCATGTCAACTACAGCCACTCTCCTCAGTAGGTGTCCTGAGATTAGTAAATTCAGTAAAAGAAACAAACCCTGAATTTTTTTACCCAAAAGTAAAACGGAGAAGCAATACTATGTTTACTTATTCTTCAACAACTGACTCTGGAGCAGCATTCAGAATATAGGGGATGTCACCTATAAACACAATCCCCTTTAAAATCAATCTTCTTGTGCTCCCAGATTAACGAGAAAAAATGCCTTCGGAAAAATACTAAAGGAATGGTACATTTTGATGTCTATTTCCTAAGTGAGCCACTAAAAATCAATTTAAATGGTTTACCATAAAAGGAGCCTTTAAGATTGTTTCAAATAAATTATTTCTGTTATTCCTGGGAAAGGGGTAATAATATTCTATCAGGTATAAAAATTCACACTTTGTATTTTTGTCTTTGGAAAAATGATCATAAGAAGCCAATAAAATATTAAAACCAATAAAAGACAAAGGAAAGTTGCTTTAAAGGAGAGGAGTTCATAAAAGCAGTAGAGGTATTGTTTATTCTGTTGAAATGTTTATGATTTTTAAATTACTATTAAGTTTTGCCATGGGGAGGCCAGGTGCGGTGGCTCAACCCTGTAATCCCAGAACTTTGGGAGGCTGAAGTGGGCAGATCACTTGAGGTCAGGAGTTTGAGACTAGTCTGGCCAATATGGTGAAACCTTGTCTATAGTAAAAATACAAAATTAGCTGGGTGTGGTGGTGGGCAACTGTAATCCCAGTTACTCAGGAGGCTGAGGCAGGAGAATCATTTGAATCCAGGAGGCAGAGGTAGCAGTGAGCCGAGATCATGCCACTGCACTCCAACCTCAGTAAAGGGCAAGACTCCGTCTCAAAAAAAAAAAAAAAAAAAAGTTTTGCCGTAGGGAAAATGATTTAATTACTGGACTCTACTCAGCAAAATTTTACTTTCTTTTCTTTTTTCTTTTTTTTAGAGATGGGGTCTTGCTATATTGCCCAAGCTGGTCTTCAACTCCTGGCTTCAAGTGATCCTCCTGCCTTGACCTCCTAAAGTTCTGGGATTACAGGTGTGAGCCACTGTGCCCAGCACAGCAAAATTTTAAAAATTAAATTACAGAATTTAGTTTCTAAAAAGCAGCAGAATAAATCTGAAAAAGCTACTCCACATCACTCTACTTGATCTCAGAGAAGGTCAATAAAAAAGGGGATGAAGCTCTCTTTCACACAATACTTCAGACACACAACAAGGACATAAAAATTTTTATGCTTTTAATGGGTACAGAAAAAGCATGACAAAATCCAGCATCCATTCCTAATAAAAATTCCCTGCAAATTAAAAATACAAATTTCCTTAATCTGATAAACAGCATTTGCAAAAAACCTACGGCCAACAACTTGACAGACTGAAGGCTTTCTGGGAAGAAGACACAGATATCCCCATCATTTCTACTTGACATTGTACTGAAGTTCTAGCCAATGTAGTAAGACAGACAGACACACACACACACACACACACACACACACACACACACACACACACACGGCATCCAGATTAGAAAGAAGTAAGTAAAACTGTCCTTATTTGCAGACATAATTGTCTGTAGAAAATCCAATGGAAACGACTGACTGATTGATTGAGCCAGGGTCTCATTCTGTCTCCCAAGTTGGAGTGCAGTGGTGCAATTATAGCTCATTGCAGCCTCAATCTCATTAATTCGATCAAGTCTCCTACCTCAGCCTCCCTAGTAGCCGGGGTTACAGATGCACGCTACCATACCCAGCTAATTTTTTTTTTTTTTTAGACAAGGGGTTTCACCATGTTGCCCATGCTGGTCTTGAACTCCTGGACTTGAATGATCCACCCACGAAGGCCTCCCAAAATACTGGGATTATAGGCATGAGCCACCGTCGTGGGCCCCCATGAAATTTATTTTAAAAGCTACTGGAATTAATAAGTGAGTTTATTAGCATGGTTGCAGGATATAAAATCAATGTATACAAAAATCAATTTTATTTCTTTTTTTGATGGGGATGGAGTCTTGCTCTGCTGCCCAGGTTGGAGTGCGGTGGCGCGATCTCAGCTCACTGCAACCTTTGCCTCCCAGGTTCAAGTGATTCTCCTATCTCAGCCTCCTGAGTGGCTGGGACTACAGGCGTGTGCCACCTCGCCCGGCTAATTTTTGTACTTTTAGTAGAGACGGGGTTTCACCATGTTAACCAGGCTGGTCTTGAACTCCTGACCTCAGGTGATCTGCCTGCCTCAGCCTCCCAAAGTGCTGGGATTACAGGTGTAAGCCACCGCACCTGGCCAATTTTATTTCTGTAAAACAGCAATAAACAATCAGAAATTAACATTTAACAAACAATACTGGCTGGGTGCAGTGGCTCACGCTTGTAATCCCAGCACTTTGGGAGGGTGAGGTGGGAGGATCACTTGGGTCCAGGCCAGGAGTTCGAGACCAACCTGGGCAACACAGTGAGCTCCTATCTCTCTACCAAAAAAAAAAAAAAAAAATTTAGCTGGGCGTTGTGGTGTGTGCCTGTAGTCCTAGCTACTTGGGAGGCTAAGGCAGGAGGATCACTTGAGCCTGGGGCTTGAGGCTGCAGTGAGCCATGATCATGCCACTACACTCAGCCTGGGTGACAGAGTCAGACCCTGTCTCAAAAAAACAAACCAAACCAAAACAACAATAACAACAAAACCCAATACCACTTACAGTATCATCAAAAGTGTGAAACACTTAGGGTAAATCTGACAAAAAAAATGTGAAAAAGCTATACACTAAAAGCTACAAAGCACTGCTGAGAGAAATTAAAGACAACCTAAATAAATGATGAGATATAGCATATTCATGGATCGAAAAACACAATGTTGTTAAGATATGAATTCTCCCCAAATTGATCTCTAGATTCAATACAATCCCAATCAAAATCCCAACAGGATTTTTAGGGAAATTGGCAAGCTGATTCTATTCATATGGAAATGCGAAGGACCATAAATAAGTAAAGCAAGTTTCAAAAAGAATACAAGTTGGAGGACTAACACTAATTGATTTTAAGTTACCACAAGGCCACAATAACCAAAACAGTGTGGTACTGGCATCAAGGTAGACAAATAGATCAAAAGAACAGAACAGAGGGTCTAGAAATAAACACATGAATATATGAATAACCGACTGACAAAGGTGCAAAGACCATTCTAAAGAGGAAGGATAATCTCAACAATTGGTGCTAGAACAACTGGACATCTATATGCAAAAAAACAAAAAATGGATCCATGCATTGTACTATATAACAACATTAACTGAAGATATATCATAGACTTAAGTGTAAAACTTAAAACTATGAGACTTATAAGAAAAACAAAAAACAAAAACAAAAACAAAAAAACAGGAGAAAACCTTTCTGACCTTGGTTTAGGCAAAGATTTCCTAGATATAACATTAAAAACAAAATCCATAAAAGAAAAATTGATAGGCTGGGCACGGCGGCTCATGCCTGTAATCCCAGCACTTTGGGAGGCTGAGGCGAGTGGGTCACCTGAGGTCAGGAGTCCAAGACCAGCCCGACCAACATGGTGAAATCCTGTCTCTACTAGACACAAAAAATTAGCCGGGTATGATGGCATGTGCCTGTAATCCCAGCTACTTGGGAGGCAGAGGCAGGAGAATCACTTGAATCCGGGAGCCAAAGGTTGCAGTGAGCCGAGATCGCATCACTGCACTCCAGCCTTGGCGACACAGCGAGACTCCGTCTCAAAAAACAAAACAAAAAAAATTGATAAATTGGACTTCATGGAAATGAAAAACTTTTGCTCTTCAAAAGATACAGTTAAGAGAATGAAATGAGACAAGGTTAAGTATCTTTTCTTAAGATACAGTTAAGAGAATGAAATGAGACACACTTAAGTATCTTTTCTTTTTTCCTGTCTACAAAAGATGCATTTTTTTTTCCTGGTCTAGATTATGGCTGGGTTTTTATTTATTTAAAATTTATTTTTTAACTGATAAAAAATTGGAAATATTTATAGTGTGCCACATGATGTTTTGAAATATGTATACACTGTGGAATGGCAAAATCGAGCTAATTAACATATGTATGATCTTACATACTTATCATTTTTGTGTAGTGAGAACATTTAAAATCTACTCTCAGTGATTTTTGAAGTATACAATACATTATTATTAACTATAACAGTTAAGTATCTTAACTGTAAAAAAAATAGAGTTAAGATAATGAAATAAGTCACAGACTGGGAGAAAATATTTGCAAGGCATATATTTGATAAAGGACTTGCATCCAGATATATAAGAAACTCTCAAAACTAAATAATGAGAAAACAAATAACTTAAAAAAAATGGGCAAAAGATTTTAACAGATACTGCATGCACCAAAGAAAACAACACAGGCCAGGTTGGTGACTATGCCTACAATCCCAACACTTTGGGAAGCCAAGGCGGGAAGATCGTTTAGGGTGAGGAGTTTGAGACCAGCCTGAGCAACATGGTGAGACCTCATTTCTACTAAAAATTTTAAAAATTAGCCAGGCATGGTGGTGTGTGCCTGTAGTTCCAGCTACTGGGGAGGCTGAGGCTGGAGGATTGCTGGAGCCCAAGAGGTTGAGGCTGCAGTGAGCCATGATTACACCACTGTACTCCAGCTTGGGCAACAAAGTGAGATCCCATCTCTAAAATAAAAAAATACAAAAACAAACAAAAAAACATAATACAGAGAGCAAATTAGCAAATAAGCACATGAAATGATACTTAACATCAGCCAACAATAATATGCAAATTTTAACTATAATGAGATATTACACACCTATAAGGATGGCTAAAATGAAAAAGATTGGCTATACCAAGTTTGGTGAGGATGTGCAGCAACTGGATATATCTGTGGAATGTAAAATGGTACAATCGCTTTGCAAAACACTTGGGCAGATTCTTAAAAATTAAATACACATCTATCATATGATATAGCCATTCAATTTCTAGCTTTTATTCAAAAGAAATAAAAGCATATATCCACACAAAGCCTTGTACATGAATGTTCACAGCAACTTTAATTATAAAGTCCCAAATTAGAAACAATACAAATGTTTATCAACAGATAAGTGGATAAAACAAAACCGTGGTATATACATATAATGCCAACACTATTAAGTAACAAAGAAGAAATGAGCTATCAATATACACAACGACATGAATAAATCTCAAAGTAATTATGCTGAGTGAAAGAAGCCAGGAAAAAATAGAGTATATTCCATATGATTCCACTTATATAAAATTTCAGAAAATGTAAATAATTTCTGATGACAGAAAGCAGATCAGTGGTTTGGGGTAAGGGGCAGAGAGTAGTGGGGAAAGTTGAGCAGGAGAGGTCACTAAGGGGCATAAAAATTTTGGGGAGCAATGGATATGTTTGTTATCTTGATTGTGATAATGGTTTCTTGGGGAAACACATATCAAAACATCAGTATGCACATATCAAATAATACAGTTTATCATGCCAATTATACTTCAATAAAGCTGTTTTAAAAAAACAAAATAAGCTGCATCAAACAATGGAATAATAAACAAATCAATGAAAAAAAATCTGCTACGAAGGCTTCTGCATTATCCCTGTATTTCCTGTTTTCATTATAAAGAGAAGGAATTAAAACATCTGTTCCATGCACCAGAGTACACCCTTAACCTTTGCTGTCTCAAAATACATGCTTTTGGGTGTGTGGATGGGAATGGGTCACCTCAAAACTGTCAATTCCCATAAGAAAAACAAGATAATGTCCAAGTGCCACTAATAACAACAAAGATTTAATTGAGAAGAACTGTCATTTTCCTATTATCAGTATTTCTTTCTTCTTCTCCTTTTTTTTTTTTTTTGTAGAAATGGGGGTCTTGCCGGGCACAGTGGCTCATGCCTGTAATCCCAGCACTTTGGGAGGCCGAGGCAGGTGGATTACGAGGTCAGGAGTTCAAGACCAGCCTGGCCAACATGGTGAAACCCCATCTCTACTAAAAATACAAAAAAACTAGCCGGGCGTGGTGGCGCACACCTGCAGTCCCAGCTACTTGGGAGGCTGAGGCAGGAGAATCGCTTGAACCCAGGAGGCAGAGGTTGCAGTGAGCTGAGATTGTGCCACTGCACTCCAGCCTGGGCAACTCCGTCTCAAAAAAAAAAAAAAAAAAGAAAAGAAATGGGGGTCTCATTATGTTGCAAAGGCTAGACTCAAACTCTTAGCACTTCAGGCTAGGAGTCCGAGTCTAGCCTTGGCAACATAATGCCTCCTGCCTCGGCCTCCCAAAGTGCTGGGATTAATAGGCATAAGCCACAGTGCCTGGCCTTATTAGTATTTCTTGCTTTATGGAATGTATCTTTGTTCCTAAATGGATGGATGGACTTTGAACCTCTGTTCTAATAATAATAACCAACAGTAAATGAGCACTGAGCACTTCAATTAGCATTTGCTATCTCATTTGGTCCTCGTAATAACCATAACATTTTACCAATAAAACTTACAAGGTAAAATAATTGGTCTAAGATCACACTACAATTGAGTGGCAGAGCTCAAACCCTAAAGTCTGTCTCACTTGAAAGCTCACATTCCTAACAGCTACACTTAATTGAATGTTCTGGTTGATGGTTTTGAAGAGTGCCTAGTAATTATCTTTATGTTTCTTTTTTGAAAAATCAGGAATCCATGTATAAACTTTACTCAGAGAGAGCAGGAATAGGCTGGCACGGTGGCTCATGCCTGTAATCCCAGCACTTTGGGAGGCTGGGACAGCAGAACTGCTTGAGCAGGAGTTCGAAACCAGCCTGGGTAACATGGCAAAACCCTGTCTCTACAAAAAATACAAAACTTAGCCAGGTATAGTGGCATGCCCCTGTAGTCCCAGTTACTCAGGAGGCTGAGGTGGGAGAATTACTGAAGTCCAGCAGGTTGAGGCTGCAGTGAGCTGCTCACTCCAGCCACTGCACTCTAGCCTAGGCGACAGAGTAAGACTCTGTCTCCAGAAAAAGAAACAGAGCATAGGAATAAAAATAGCCACTCCAGGCTGGGTGTGGTGGCTCACGCATGTAATCCCAGCACTTTGGGAGGCTGAGGTGGGTAGATCAGGAGTCAGGAGTTCAAGACCAGCCTGGCCAATACGGTAAAACCCCATCTCTATAAAAGTATTAAAAAATTAGCTGGGTGTGGTGGCGCACGCCTGTAATCCCAGCTACTCGGAGGCTGAGACAGGAGAATCACTTGAACTCAGGAGGCGGAGGCTGCAGTGAGCTGAAACCATGCTATTGCACTCCAGCCTGGGCAACAGAGCGAGACTTCATCTCAAAAAAAAAAAAAAAGCCACTCCAACTCTAAAAAACATATTAAAATGTGGCCACAAATGGTCACTGATTAATTCATTAACGTTTTATAATAAAGGTTATGAATACTGTAAATATAAAAACCTTATAACTCAGTAACCTAAATAAAGTTCTGCTCCCACCCTAATATCCCAGTTGGGAACTAGACAGAAATTGGACTTCTGTCAGTTATAGCTTATGTTCATGTGTTCATGTGATCTTTATCAATGATCGAAACCACCCATCCCAATCTTAAAAGCTCTTCCTAAAAACCATCTATTAAAATGGGATCATTTTTGGCCAAAGAACTGTTAGGTCCAGGCTTATGGGTGCCAGAGAATGTTTCAACTTGAGTCCGTTTAAGACTTTCAAAGATCTGTTATCAAGCAAGCTAATATCTGATTTTTTTAAAAAATGCAAACTCTCTTCACAGGCTTATTAGTATGTATGGTGATTGCTAAGTTCAATTTTACGTTTTTCATTTCAGACCAGTCTTTATAATAATCTGCTTCCATAATAAGTACAAGGCCGTGACCAAAGGCAGATGTTAGGCTATGGACTTATAGTGAACTTGCATTGTTATTTTTTTTTTAATTTTTGGTGCCACAACTTGGATACAACTGAGGTTGCTGCAGGCACAACACAGAGTACTAACCACTATATGATCATAGCTGTGATGTTCTTAAGCCACAGCACCTTCCATGGTAACTTTTGTTTTCTATATTTTGGCACTGTCATTAGATCCTTATGATTATTTTTTCAATAATATTTTCAGTGAAAGTAAATTATTTGTTTCAACAAAGACATAACATTTCGATTTTTTCATTTTAACCCTTTGTGGCTGAAAAAACTCACAACAGTTAAACCTATAGAATGATGTATTACATAATCTCATACTCTAAATATACTTCTAACTTTGTCATGTCTACAACATTTTTGCCTGTAAATCTTCTTGCTTGGGGGATTTTGCAACAGCATTTGGCCAAACACAACAAAGTTCTATCCTCGGTTTTAAAAGAGGATATCCCTATTTTATGATTGAGGCATCAATGGAAACGAATTCAAGACTCCTTAAGTTAATCGCACATGAAAGCTGTAATATTTCACCATTTATCATTGTATAGATGATTTAAAGAATGCTTTAAAATAAAGCAATACCAATAAATGCAAGGTGGATTCTATTTAGTCACAGAAGCCATTTAGTGTGGCTTTGCATCAGATCTAAGATGTGCAGATGTAATATACCCGATGTGGAATATTCAGAAATAAACTATTTAATCTAAATTTTATTAGCAGTCAAATCTATTTTTCAGATTTTTTAAAATGGCCATTGATTAACCTTCCTTTATTCTCCTCTGAAGCAATCACAGCCTATGGTAGGAAGCCATTTACTAGATTTGCTTGGAATTAATGAACTGAGGCTTTCCTGCTGAACTATGTGGTTCCACTCTCTGCTTCCCCCAGACAGTTCATGAGCAATGTAATTTGCTTTCATTGTAGAGGGTATTCCTTTGGTGTTCTTATTCATGAAATTAAAGTAATAAAAGGGAAAGACGTTCATAAAGAAGTTTTTTTTTTTCTGACATGATTCCTTCTAAAACAGAAAACCACTTTAAATAAAATTTAATTAGGACCAAATATAGTATAGGTCCCCTCCATAACAATTAGATTTGAAATATACAAGACACTGAATAATGTGTTACATTATTTTCTATTGGCTTTCCCTGGTTCTATGCCAAACATGTCTTGGCTGCAATAGAGAGTGAGTGAGGAGGATTCTGGGAAGAAAAAGAACGTAATTATGGGGGGCTCTAGAAGAGTATAGCTGCAATCTGGCACTTTGCAGAAATTTTGGAATAGGAATGTAGCTCTTTTACAATTCTAACTCTATAGGTGAGGTCAACTTACAGCCTATGGGAACTTTACAACATATCCTGAAAGAAACTCAAGCCTTGCCAAAGAAGTGACAGTAAGCCATATGGTTTTGTTTAGAGATATAAGATTAAAGAACAGATTTTATGTCCAGACAAAAATCTATTTTGAAGCTAGGGAGAAAATAAAAAGATAAGCTTTTTTTTACTGGAGACAAAACAGAAAAGAAAAACAAATCATAACTATTTAGAACAAAGACCAAAACCTTTTCAACCGACTAAGCATCAATTAAGAACCAATATTAAAAGGAAGAAAATTGGTAAGTTGCCATAGTAGTTCATAAAGTCCAACAGGTGTTTATTGTTAAGCAAAAACGATACAAATAATGCAGTAAAATCCTGATACATTGGAGAACCAAAACAAATAACAACAAAAAACCCCCCAAAACTCCATAAATAAAATGATACTTCAGTTTAAAGAATGCTATGGCAGTTACTTTTCTCAAACGATTGAAACAATTTTAATCCCGGCTGCCCCCTATTTTATCTAACAATAGATTGTTTAAAGATATGTCACTTCTGGTGAAGTTATTCATTTCACCTAAACTGCACAGAGTTAAGCCTCAGAATAATTTTATCACCTACAGACCATATGCAGACTAAATACAACACTTGTGCCTGATTCTGAATGGTATCTTATATCAAAATGCTCCCTTAATTTTAGCTCTTGCTTCTCAAGCTTCTCTCTCAACTTATCAGAACTGCCTATAGTAACCAAAATTGGATTCATGAAGAAAAAAATATATTTTAGGAAAACATGTGCAAAAAGCATCTAAGCATCTGTTAACATTAAAACCAGAAGGCAGTATGTGCTGCAGAGTACATAAGAAGAGGCTTTAAAATTTAGTAATTCACAACATCCACTTAGAAGTATTATAGTAATCTTTTAAAGTAACACACCACAATGGTACAATCATTTCATTTGTTCAACAAACATTTACTGAGCATCTACATGCCTGGCACTATGCTGGGTGCTGAGGATACAGTGATTAGTAAATAGACACATAAAGCACTACAGGTTTGTACAGTTTCTAAGGCTGAAAAGCAGACAGGTTATCTCGGTAAAACTATAAAAGAGAAAACGAGGTCATCCTCTGATTTTTCCATTAGAGGCAGCTGTTACCTCCACTCCTATCCTAATTATGAAGGGATTGAGACAGATGATAAATGGGGCAAAGAAGTGAGACTAACAATAGGCAATTAGCAGTGACAATTAGAAATGGGCTAAAACTACCAAAAGAATTCTTAATCTGGGGTCCAGGGAATCCGTGGATGTTTTCATGGGATCCTTGATCTCCCAGATATTATATTTCAAATTTTGATATATGGATGTATGTACATTTATTAGGAAGTTGCTCTTATCAAGTCTCAAAGGGGTCAGCGTTCAAAAACAGCTAAGGGCCACTAAACTAAAAGAATGAAATTCTGCCGGGCGTGGTGGCTCACACCTGTAATTTCAGCACTTTGGGAGGCTAAGCGGGGGCGGATCACCAGGTCAAGAGATCAAGACCATCCTGGCCAACATGGTGAAACCCTGTCTCTACTAAAAATACAAAAATTAGCTGGGCATGGTGGTGTGCGCCTGTAGTCCCAGCTACTCAGGAGGCTGGGGCAGGAACTTGAATGCAGGAGGCAGAAGTTGCAGTGAGCCGAGATAGCGCCACTGCACTCCAGCCTGGCGACAGAGTGACACTCCGTCTCAAAAAAAAAAAAAGAATGAAGTTCAAGGTCTAGACATCAGATCGAGAAACTAAGGGAACTATTTTGAAAACAGAAAGGTTTCACCAGTGTCCCTAATAACACACAATGTAGGTGGCTACCTATGGCAAGTATCAGTATGTCCTCCATTTAATTTCAATGGAAACTGCAGAAATACCTTAGTTAAATAAATTAAAACTAATGAATGACTTTCACAATGTATGATGACCTCTTTTTTTTTTTCTTTTAACATACCTTTAAGGCTTCTATAACAAGGTCCCTTGCTTCAAGCTCTCCTTCAAGAATACTAAATAGTGTCAGGAGTTCAGGCTTGCTGAGTTTTTCCAGATTCATCTTGAAAGCCTGAAACAAAGGTAACAATCAGACAATCTCCAAAGACATAGTTAATTTGATACAATTAAAGAAAAAATAAAGTGAGAGATAAGAGCAATTATAGTATCAAATGCCTTAATAAAGGAAATAGTTGAAATTAAATAGAAATATGTTTTCTGGTGTTAATCACAAACTAAGCAACAACAGAAAGTAAAATTCACTTTAATTATTGATTTCACTACCACTCACAAAGATCAATTTTTCATCATATTTCCTCCAGACACGTTTACAAACAAATATCCTAGGAAATCTCAGAAAGAATTAGCCGCTAGGGCTGGGTGCAGTGGCTCATGCCTGTAATCCCAGCACTTTGGGAGGCTAAGGTGGGCGGACCACGAAGTCAGGAGATCGAGACCATCCCGGCCAACATGGTAAAACCCTGTCTCTACTGAAATACAAAACATTAGCCGGGCATGGTGGGGCACGCCTGTAGTCCCAGCTACTCGGGAGGCTGAGGCAGGGGAATCACTTGAACGCGGGAGGCAAAGATTGCAGTGAGCCGAGACCACGCCACTGTACTCCAGCCTGGGCGACAGAGTGAGACTCTGTCTCAAAAAAAAAAAACCAAAAAAAAAGCAAACAAGAATTAGCCACTGATTTTTCAGGTAAAATTGTGTTATAATGAATACCATTTCTCTGAAAAATTGATAGACCATCAAAAGATTTCCCAGTTTTAGATAACCAATTTCCAAAACTGTATATAAAACATTCTGATATCCCTCTTCAATTGGTTAAAATAAAATTCGGGAAAAGAGATAATGTTTGGTGGGAGTATGGGAGAAATTTTTCTTTTAAATTGTCTGCTTTCACAGACAATAGCTAACACAATATTTATATCTTGTATAGTAAAATAGACTTAATTCAACTATATGCAAACTTACTTTTAAATGAATTCTCAAAGTATAGGGTTTAAACATCTTTATTTTTTTTTGTTTTAAGACAGGGTCTTGCTCTGTCACCCAGGCTGGAGTGTAGTGGTGCAAACACGGCTCACTGCAGCCTCAACCTCCTGGGCTCAAGTAATTCTCCCGCCTCAGCCTCCCAAGTAGCTAGGATCACCGATACATGCCACCACGCCTGGTTAATTTATTTTTTATTGTTTGTAGAAATGGGGTCTCCCTGTGTTGCCCAGACTGGACTCAAACTCCTGGGCTCAAGTGATCCTCCCACCTTAGCCTTCAAAGTGCTGGGATTACAGGCATGAGCCACTGTGCCAGGCCTGTTTAAACATCTTAATTGGCTAGGCTACCAAAAACTGAATTTATCTGACTTGGTAAGTTCACATTTCTCTGAGAATCTGCATGTTCCAAAGTATGTTAAATGGCAAATTGCATGACACAAACTCAATCCTTTCTACAACACTAATTCTCACAAACCACATAAAGATACAAGTTAGACTGCTGTACAATCTTGGAAGAGCCTTCTGACCAGTGTGTATGGTAAGATATATTTTATAATTTCCAAAGTAGAACAAATATTTCTCTCTCCACTTTTTATTTTCAAATTGCCACTCTTATGGAAAGTGAATCAAAACATGACCAGTTCACACATCCTCCAGTAATTTATCACTCTTTTTAATTTTGGGGGGCACACAAAAAAAGAATTGATTCCTTCCAGAGCTACTGCTTTTAAGTGAACATGTATAAAATGCATACTTCACTTTGTTGTTAGATTGTGTTCCAGGACATGCTGTCCAAGTCTTTTAAAGCATAGTAAAACATCTTCGATGTAACCTCAGCTCTAACTGCTAATTTTCTTTTTTTGAGATGGAGTCTCACTCAGTTGCCCAGGCTGGAATGCAGTGGGGTGATTTCGGCTCACTGCAACCACCGTCTCCCAGGTTCAAGTACTTCTCCAGTCTCAGCCTCTGAGTAGCTGGGATTACAGGCAACCACCATCACGCCTGGCTAATTTTTGTATTTTAGTAGAGACGGGGTTTCACCATGTTGGCAAGGCTGGTCTTGAACTCCTGACCTCAGGTGATCCGCCCACCTCAGTCTCCCAAAGTGCTAGGATTACAGGTGTGAGCCACCACACCTGGCCTTTTTTTCTTTTTCTTTTTATTTATTTATTTTTTTGAGACAGAGTTTTGCTCTTGTTGCCCAGGCTGGAGAGCAATGGTGCAGTCTTGGCTCACTGCAACCTCCGCCTCCCGGGTTCCAGCGATTCTCCTGCCTCAGCCTCCCAAGTAGCTGGGATTACAGGCACATGCCATCATGCCCAGCTAATTTTTGTATTTTTAGTAGAGATGGGGTTTTACCATGTTGGCCAAGCTGGTCTCCAACTCCTGACCTCAGGTGATCCGCCCGCCTTGGCCTCTCAAAGTGCTGAGATTAAAGGTGTGAGCCACCACGCCCAGCCTCTATTTTCTAACAAGTGAATTTCAGCAACTAGTAAATGACGTTCACTTTAGTATCAGGGATATATCTGATAACATTTATTTTAAAAATAAAAATAAAAACTAAAACAAAACTAAACAAAAAAATTCTAACAAACCTAATAAAGCTACACTTTATTAGAGGTTATATTGGAAAGAACATGTAGCTTGGTAGTCAGATGCCACATCTGCATCTTCCTAGTTGTGTGACTGGGCAAGTTATCTGACTCCGTTTTCTAATCTGTGAAAGGGGGATGATGATATTTAACTCATAGGGCTGCTATGAAGATTAAGTTAATAAATGTAGAACATCTTACCACATTGCTGATACCTGGTTTCATTATTAGTAACTATTATCCTGTCTCATTTTTCAAAAGAATTTAAGAAAGGCACTATCAAAAACTGCAGACAGCCAAGATCGATGACCTCGGAAATAACTTCAGTTGCCCTTTTGCAATTGGGAAGTCCTTCTTGGTTCTAGTTTAAGCTTCTAAGTAAAAACCAAGTATTATTTGTTAGATTCTAATAAAATAAAAATAAGAGGTACATATACAAAGAACTAAATTATATTGTACTTAAAGTGTTCGATATGTAAAATGAAACAAAAAGTCTTTGATCTGTTATGATAAATATACATCCTTATAAAAGAGTAAAATTAAAACAATCTTCAGAGTCACTTTAATTACAAAACAGTCCAGCCTAGGCAAGAAAAAGTTCTATTCCTTGTCAATGACAAAGAAGAATTCTTTTATTATCTCTGTGTTTATAAATCACTTCTGCACACAAATGTTAATAACTGGAACATTTCACTAATATGTCCCAACTCGGCTAGGCATGGTTACCCACACCTGTAATCCCATCCCAGCACTTTGGGAGGTGGAGGTGGGAGGATCACTTGAGGTCAGGAGTTTAAGACCAGCCTGGCCAACATGGTGAAACCCTGTCTCTACTTAAAATACAAAAAAATTAGCCAGACGTGGTGGTGCACACCTGTAGTCCCAGCTACTCAGGAGGCTGAGGCAGGAGAATCGCTTGAACCTGGGAGGTGGAGATGGCAGTGAGCCGAAATCACGCCACTGTACTCTAGCCTGGTTGACACAGTGAGACTCTGTGTCAAAAAAAAAAAAAAAAAAAAAAAAAAGGTACCAACTCAGCTTAGTGTCTACATGAACACAATATAAATATTACACAGGAGGAAAGAAAGGCCACTGCTGTGTAATGTAAGAACCAACAGATCTGTTTTTGCATATTCCAATAACCACCATTTATAAGTATTAACATTTAACAGTTCCTTCTGTTCTATGCATTTGAATGTAATCTCAATATATAGACACTGCAATAAATTTTTGCCTGAAATATAAAAGAATGACAGTAAAATTGCATTAGATTTTAGGATAGCAGTGATATCCTTGGAGGTAGGGGTGATACTGACCTGATAATCGGCAGAGTCACACTTCAGTCCTCAAGTATAAACTTACAGTTTTCTTCAGTAAAAAATTGGGAAAATTGCCAAATATATTTAAAATGCCATTAGCATGGTGGAAATGTGTCCAATGCTGCAAAATAAGGAGAAATTTATTGTTCATGTGATTATACTATAAACAACTTGGTAAATCCCATTAACGTCAACTGTCATCGCTGATGAGGTCTGACAGCTGCAGGTTGATAATGACAAGAAAGAAGAAAACAGCCAGTTCTTCAAGTTGAAGTTGAATAATATATGAAAAATACCAGGAATCTGACTTCCCTTTTGCAACTAAAATAAGGGAAGGTAGAGGCTTTTGAGATCTTTTCCACTTTAAGATGTCCACTGCCATTTTAACTTCTGACTTTTCTCTTCCTGAAATGACAAAAACCTATTTGCTTGAATCACCATGACTTAAGCACAACGCACTTAGATTTAGCCGGGCGTGGTGGCGGGTGCCTGTGGTCCCAGCTACTCACGAGGCTAAGGCAGGAGAATGGCGTGAACCCAGGAGGTGGAGCTTGTAGTGAGCCGAGATTGTGCCACTGCACTCCAGCCTGGGCGACAGAGCAAGACTCCATCTCAAAAAAAAAAAAAAATCATAATTACAACGGAAATTTTTAAACTGCCAAATTCATATAAGGAAAATTCTCATCTCCTCACCTCCCAACAATCCATAAACAAACAAATCAGCCTCTTAGCATCTCGACTTTGTCTATAAAGGCTGATTACACATCCCCACAGTCTATAAATCTGAAATAAAAACCACTTGTAGACAAATTGTGTGGATACATTATCATACACTGTGGTATAGACAGCTATAGCTGTATATATTTTTCACATTTATGATCAGATGTTAAATGTTAAATTATATGTAATTTTTTGTTTATGATTTCCTAACAGTGTATTAGACCCAGCAAATTTTATTAAAAATGATAGGCTTTAAATTTTATTTGATAAAATGTAATCTTTGCCTTTTATTTTAAGGCACTAAGTCTGAAAGCCCATTTGAGTTGCTGAAACCTAACAGTCAAATGGGGACAGTGTCAAAGGAAGAAATAATGCTGCAGTAAGTCCTTGGTTGCTTCATTAAAACAAGAATCAGTAATTAAACTAATTACAGATCTCTCAAGTTAGGACAGGAAGTATGAATTTGTTATACAGTCAAGAATATAGACCCAACAACATATACACAAACCACTGCATAAGCTATTCCAGCAATTTCTGCCCAATATATGGGCAGAATTATGTGGCCAAGGATATTCAGAAAAAGGGTATTTCTAGCCCCATATTCATTATCAGAAAAACTGACAGATTTTTGGTATGCCACATGGTGTCTATAGACTCATTCCCTACTTATTTTCTAAGTAAGCTGTCACTTGTCATCTTCATCATCAGTGACTCTGAAGGACAAGATCAGTTCAACTAGATGCTCAGCTCATTCCTTCCAAGACCCGAATTACCTTAGAGTTTAGACACAGATATTTCTAAGTCTATGGACTCATTCCCTACTTATCTTCTAAGTAAGCTGTCACTTGTCATTTTCATCATCAGTAACTCCGAAGAGCAAGATCATTTCAACTAAATGCTCAGCTAATTCCTTCCAAGACCCAACTTTCCTTAGAGTTTAGACATAGATATTTCTAAGGAATGCTACAGTCTATAAATCTGAAATAAAAACCACTTGTAGACAAATTATCTGGATACATTATCATACACTGTGGCATAGCCAGCTATAGCTATATTAAGCTTTATAGTTTTCTCAATAAAAAATACACATATAAATATATACAATAAAAAAGATAAAGATATTTATTTTTAAAAAAGATATTTTAATAGCCTGGAAAAATAAACCCATTTAAGGGCTAAGTATAACACTTTTTTTTTTTTTTTGAGATGGAGTTTCGCTCTCATTGCCCAGGCTGGAGTGCAATGGCACGATCTTGATCACCGCAGCCTTCGCCTCCCGGGTTCAAGCTATTCTCCCACCTCAGCCTTCTGAGTAGCTGAGATTATAGGCATGCGCCACCATGCCTAGCTGATTTTATATTTTTAGTAGAGATGGGGTTTCTCCATGTTGGTCAAGCTGGTCTCAAACTCCTGACCTCAGGTGATCCCCCCGCCTTGGCCTCCCAAAGTGCTGGGATTACAGGTGTGAGCCTCCGTGCCCGGCCTACACTTATTTTTATGTTATCAATAAGTGATTTCAAATGAGCCTGCCCAGCATACCATTTGGTGTATTCACAGGTTTCATCCCACCATGAAATCTTAGCCCAATAGCCAGGACAGCATGAGTCTTTTCTAGATGAACTTTCTTGTGCCAACAGTCAGAAGTTATGGGTATCAAAAACTGCATCCCCCCAACTACCCCACTGTGCCTCCTTAACTGTAGTACTGATTTTGCCTAGAAGTATGTTGGTGTGGCTCTGCTCATTTTATTCTGATATTTTCCCCTCTCTGGATACTATCCGAGCTCCACTTATTCTGGTTTCGGTTATGCTTCTTCTTTCTTGAAGAAGTCCCAGTTTCTGCTCTGGAATTCTGACTTAATTCTATAAGATAACAAGCATTGCTGCTGCCATTTTACCATATAGAGACTGAATGGCGGAAAAAGAAACACCCTAAACAGCTTCTATAGCCATGTAAGCAGTAGGACAGGGCAGGACAGGGCAGGGCAGGGTGGAGTACAAGCAAGATGTTTGTCTGTCTATTATCTGGGTGTGAGCATATCTACATAGAACTGAGGCTTTATTTCTTTCCAGGTGGTAGGTTTTTCCACATAAGGTAGGAAAACAACATTTTTAGATGAGGCTTAGATAGCTCCTGACATAGAAATGCCTCAAAAAAATCTATATAGATCTATTTAAATAAATCAACTGGACTAATTTTTTTTAATCAGTAATTTTACCTAGGAGAGCATTCTTGCAACGCTGGATAAAAATCACTTTTTAATTATATACTCAGATATCGAACTTAAGAAATTTATACTCAGCTATCAAATTTAAGAAATTTATATTTGGACTACAAATGACTCAGATTAAGGTCATTCAGTGAGTTTTTAGTATTGGTGAGCAAAGTGATTAGTGATTAGCGAGCAAAGTTATAAAGGAAATTGACTCCAATTATGTAAAGACTCCTTTTTTTTTTTTTTTTTTTTGAGACAGAGTCTCACTTGGTTGCCCAGGCTGGAGTGCACTGGCACAACCTTGGCTCACTGCAACCTCTGCCTCCGCAGTTTAAGCAATTCTCCTGCCTCAGCCTCCTAAGTAGCTGGGACTACAGGTGCGTGCTACCACGCCTGGCTAGTTTTTATATTTTTAGTAGAGACGGGGGTCTCACCATGTTGGCCAGGCTGGTCTTGAACTCCTGACCTCAAGTGATTCGCCCACCTCAGCCTCCCAAAGTGCTGGGATTATAGGTGTGAGCCACCATGCCCGGCCCGTAAATACTCTTTCAATACATATAAGCCAAGCCAAAATATAGGAGGCCAGTAAATTCTTAAAACTCAAAGAGCCAAGATGGACATGTGAAATGGGTGTTTTTGATAGTTTGCCACTAGATCATGTACTTTTCTTAAAAACCCAGTATACATGAAATAATAATAAAAAAGAAACTTGCCACATTTACAAATACTAAATCTGAATATGAACAGAAATGCACTGCTATTTTAAAAAATGCATTCAAAGCTTCAGTTAATAGGGTTGCTCCTTAAAAAAAAATTAAAATGTATACAAAACAACCTCATATTGGAGGTAGAAGGTGTTGACACACTACCTTGACTATCTCAAAAGATTTAAGATTCTAATTTTTCAGAAGGATTATTTATTCATTTGGGATAAAAGAGTGACAACATTCTAAATGGTCCCTTTCATTCCTCTTTGGCATTTAAGGGTTAGGCTAGGAAGTAAAACATGTCAATGTGCCACTAGAAAATAATTTTCTGGCTGGGTGCAGTGGCATATGCCTGTAATCTCAGCACTTTGGGAGGCCAAACAGGAGGATCAATTGAGGCCAGGCGCTCAAGGCCAGCCTGGGCAACAGCAAAAAAAAAAAAAAAAAAAAAATTAAAAAAAAAAGAAAGAAAGTAATTTTTTGATTAAGAAAGCAGATCTTTTGTACATTTGTTAAAGAAAGCTGTTTTTGAAGGGCGTGGCTCACACCTGTAATCCCAACACTTTGGGAGGCTGAGGCCGGCAAATCACCTGAGCTCAGAAGTTTGAGACCAGCCTGGACAACATGGCAAAATCCTGTCCCTACAAAAAATGCAAAAATTAGCCAGGCATGGTGGCATGTGTGCCTGTAGTCCCAGCTACTTGGTAGGCTGAGGCAGGAGAATTGCGTGAGCCCGGGTGGTGGAGGTTGCAGTGAGGCAAGATTACGTCACTGCACTCCAGCCCGGGCAATACAGCGAGACCCTGCCTCAAAAAAAAAAAAAAAAAAAAAAGAAAGAAAAAAGAAAGCCGTTTTTGTTACTATTTACAAAAGTTCTAAAATCAAGGTATAATAACTGATCTCATTTTATTCAATTCCAATATTAAACAGTATATATCTCAAATCAAGCTTCTCTCAGATGAAGGTGAAAGATATTACTGGAATATTTGGATTACTATAATACATGTGTTAAATACACATAACACAGGCTGACTTGTACCTCCCAAAATTCATATGTTGAAGTCCTAAGCCCCAGTACCTCAAAATGTGACTGATTTTGGAAACAGGATCTCTAAAGAGATAATTAAGTTAAAATGAGGTCATTAGGGTGGGCTCTAATCCAATATGACTGGTGTTTTATAAGAAGAGGAAATAGAGATATAGACGGGTCAGAGTTAAGACAATGTGAAGACAGCCATCTTTATAAGCCAAGGAGAGACGCCTCAGAAGAAACCAATCTTGCCCACACATTGATCTCAGACTTCTAGGCTCCAGAATTGTGAAAAAATAAATTTCTATTTTTTAAGCCACCCCATCTGTGGTACTTTGTTATAGCAGCCCTAGCAAACTCACACAACATGTTAACCACTTACTACTTTGACAGATGATTAGAACAACTGGATCTAATTGAATTGTAGGTAAGGGGGATCTAAGCCTTCCTCTTACCATGACAGCACTACAACACAGTATTTCTCAGAATGCCTTATTTTGCCTTATCAGTCTGTTTTTTCCCAGCCATATTATAGACAGCATTATATAAAACAGAATGGTTTGGGAACATTTTTAGAGAAAATCAATTTCAGGATCCCACGAGGAAAGATGTTTTGAGTTATCCTGAAATATAATATGAATAGTGCACTTACAAAGAAATTACAATGGTGCCAAGGGATCAAGATGCTTGTTTATTCAATACTGCCAACATAGACTTTGAAGCAGGCCTCAAGAGATCAGCTCTATAATTAAGCTAGTATTTTTTAGGGTCAACATTTATAACACTGTAGTACTCTATTCAAATACATAGTGCTCTATTTACATTAAAGCAGATTCCAGGTTACCAGATTATCTGGATCTATGCTTAATAGAGAAATTAATTATGATATACTATCAGCAATAATCACCACCACTTCAGAGTTCTATAGCAGTTTTCTAAGAAGAATTTAAACAATAATAGTAATAATGAAAAAAAGATAAACATTTATTGAGCTAAACATTAATGTATGCCAGACAGTGTTCTAAGTACTTGACATGTACAGGTATTAACTAATTCAGTCTTCACAACAACCTTAGGTGATATGCTATAACCATCCCCAACAAATTCATCATTATCATCATCCTCCTCATTTAACAGATGAGAAACCTGAGGCATAGAGGCTAAAAAACTTGCTCAAAGCCTCACAGCTAGTATGTGGTAGAAATGGGATGTGAACCCAGGTAAATTGACTCCAGAGACTCCCTTGGTAACCACTGCTTACATCTGATCCTCTCATTTTATCAGCCTTAGGAATTGTATGGTGGAAAAACCTCAGCTAAACAACGATTCACAAAGCTGGAAGGAGCCTCAGCAATAATCTAATTCAGCACTCTCATTCTACAGATGAGTACTGAGGCCAGAGTTGTTAATGTGAATACAGTTAAATAGAACTAGGTCTAGCACACGTTTTTTTTTTTTTGAGACGGAGTCTCACTTTGTCACCCAGGCTGGAGTGCAATGGCGCGATCTCGGCTCACTGCAACCTCCGCCTCCCAGGTTCAAGCAATTCTCCTGCCTCAGCCTCCTAAGTAGCTGGGATTACAGGTGCCCACCACCACGCCCAGCTAATTTTTCTATTTTTAGTAGAGACAGGGTTTCACCATGTTGGTCAGGCTGGTCTCGAACCCCTGACCTCGTGATCCACCTGCCTCGGCCTCCCAAAGTGCTGGGATTACAGGCGTGAGCCACTGCGCCCGGCCGCATACATGTCTTTTTAAGATCCAGTTTAATTCGCTTTCTGGGACAACATAATAGGTATCAGGTTTTTGTTTTGTTTAGTTCTAAGACTCATGCAACTCTGCTATATCTCTCTGTGAGTGTGAATGTGTGAATGTGTAAGTGTGTGTGTGTACACATCTCTTTCTCTGTCTCTCATATATGATGTCAGCAAGATTTATATGTATATTGAAGAAAAGAAGGAAGTAGCCTTATGCCCATAAACAAACATTCAGATATCTCTTCCCTCAAATGAGAACATTAGTGCAAAGCTATTAAAAACAGGTCTGGGCTGGGTGCAGCGGCTCACGCATGTAATCCCAGCACTTTGGAATGCCGAGGCAGGCAGATCACCTGAGATAAAGAGTTCAAGACCAGCCTGGCCAACATGGTGAAACCCCATCTCTACTAAAAATACAAAAATTAGCCGGGCATGGTGGCGCACACCTGTGATCCCAGCTTCTCAGGTGGCTGAGGAAAGAGAATCGCTTGAACCCAGGAGGTGGAGGTTGCAGTGAGCTGAGATTGCACCACTGCACTACAGCCTGGGAGACAGAGCAAGACTCTATCTCAAAACAAGAACAAAAGGTCTGTCTACCTGGATATCTGTTTACACCATCTCAGGTATTCTCATCTGAGACAAGGCCAAACTAGAACTACATTAGTTAAGCTACTGGAATGGATGTTAATGAAAATGAATAACAACTTTTATATTAATAAATTTTTTATCATTGAACATTTTAAAAAAGATATGTCTTTTAACATCAGAATATTATTACCAGGAAACTGAAACATTACATTTTTTTTGTTTGTTTTTTTTGAGATGGAGTTTTGCTCTTGTTGCCCAGCCTGGAGTGCAATGGCGCAACCTCGGCTCACCGCAACCTCGGCCTCACCGCAACCTCCGCCTCCTGGTTCAAGAGATTCCCCTGCCTCAGACTCCCAAGTAGCTGGGATTACAGGCTTGTGCCACCATGCCTGGCTAATTTTGTATTTTTAGTAGAGACGGGGTTCCTCCATTTTGGTCAAGCTGGTCTGGCACTCCTGACCTCAAGTGACCCGCCCACCTCGGCCTCCCAAAGTGCTGGAATTACAGGCGTGAGCCACTGCACCCGGCTGAATCATTTCTATATAATTTGTTAGATGGCTTTATTTCATTTAAATGAAATTGTAACATGATTTCAATCAAATATGTATCTGACCGTCTCTATTGTCTATCTGTCCATCAGTCCCCTAAATTTTTGCTTTTCTGAAATAATGCCACCATAACTTGTAAAATACCACAAGGGAACAATAACATGTAGATTGATTATTTTCAGTAAGATGATTCATGGGCCACAATTCTAGAGGCAGCCTGGAATGCAAACCCTTCAAATGCTAATGTAGGATGATGACGTCATTGATTCCACTAAGATTCCACACTGGGGAGAAACTCCAGAGTATGGTATGAAGGATTAACCATCAAACAGTTAAGGAATCTGTGTTTTAGCGATGCCCATAACCTGACTTTATCTGAACTGCAAAAAAAACTTCAAATAATCCTCTAGCAGAAATAAAACTCGTGATGTTGTTTTGTCTTCTAAGACAGATAACTGACTTAAAAAAAATTTAACAATTGAGTATCAGTTGAATATTTCCAACAACAAGCCTGGCAATTGTTGTTCTATGGTTCTTCAGGGACAGTAATTCTGCTGGGAGACAGTATGTTATAGTGGAAAGCACATGGATTTTGGAATCTGACAGAGCTGAGTTTGCATCCTGGCTCTGCCACTTGCTCTTTCATCCATTTAACCTTTGAACTTCAGTTTTTTAGCTATAAAATGGACATAACAATACATACTGTAACAGGAGGCTGCATGGTTTAAATGAGTTAGTGACTGGTCAGCTTCTCATTTCTCATCCTTAAAGAGCATACTTTTTGGTTTCATCTGCAAGGATAATGAAGTTTTCCTTTTCCAATGGGTCATCATTGTCTATCATTCACGTGTCTAATTTACAAACCAAAACAAGTTTACTTCTGACTTCTGGCAGGTTGATCTGCACCAAAAAGAAAGAGATGGCCTGGCCAGTTCCTGGGAAAGTCAGTTTAGAGACATGTTCAAGCCAATTGTATCTGCACAATACTTGGGAAAAGAAAAGGCCAGCCTTCTGCTTAGATTAGTTTTTTGTGCCTTTAGCATACAGGTAAACGCATACCTTTGCTTCCACTGAATTTTAACAGGTTTTAATCAAGTCACAACTTTAACTTGTGATGACTGAGAAATGGGTTTCCTGAAAATATCACAGCTATTTTTTTACATTAAATTAAATGCATAATGGATATGTATCTACATTCGTAATTCAAGAGCAGTTATCACATTCTATTACATCAATTCATCTGTTTACATATCTGTCTTCTGTCTCACAAGACTCTGAACTCATCTGAACAACTACTCTGTCTATTCAACTTGATCACACTTAGCACTAGCAGTGTCTGGTTCAGATACTGAAAAAATGCTGGTTGGAAAGAAATGTACAGCACTTTCAATCTCAGCCAACACAACTGGACTTTACCTTTTAGAAAATGGGAAGCCACTCAACATTTTTAACCTGGTGAAAATCATAACAAAAGCATAGTTTTAGGAAAGTTAATGCTTACAGTACAGGGCTGACTTGACTGAAGAGAAAATGGAAACAGAAAGAGTAGTCGGGAAAAAAATTTAACAGCATAGGTATGAGGCAAAAATGTATGAACTAGGATGGTAGCAATAAGAATGGAAGAGACTGACAAAAGAGACATTAAAAAGAATTTACTTAGTTATTTAAGAATTTACTTACAGTAAATGACGGATTTTCATTTAGGGAGGTAAGAGGGGAAATAATCCCAGATCAGCTGAGGTTTTGAGACTGGGTGACTAGAATGATGATACCATTAGCAAAAACAGGGATGTTAGAAATGGAACTGGGTTTACTGGGGAAATGATGACTGTGATACGAGACAGGCTGAATGAGAAGTTATTTGACCCCCAAGAGGAACGTGTTAAGAGTCTGTTAGTGTGGTGATGGCTAAGGGTTTAGAAGTGAAGAAGTCTTTGGGGATAGAGCCTTTTAAGGAAATTTATTCTGTGCCCTCAATTTAAGGACAAGAGGCAACAAGATGAAACTGATATATAGGGCTAGACCAGATCATTGTTATACCCTCAAACATTAAGTCAGTTAAGAACTAGATTGGTTCTGTTGTTACTTCTGTAGCACCTGCTGTAACAGAAAGGACTATTTAGCAGAAACCAAGTAATGAGGGCCTCCCTGGAGCCCCCATTCTCCAACAAAAAACCCAGTTTGTGCTTCTTTCTTTTTCCTATAACTTACCTGTCAGTTATCTTTCATCCTTCTCTCCATTATAACTTACAATTCTTATCTCGTGTTAAAACAATTTATCCCTGCTTCTACTTTCTGTTCTCCTTCCCTGGCTCTCACTTTTCTTTTTTTTGAGATGGAGTTTCACTGTTGTTGCCCAGCCTGGAGTGCAATGGCGCGATCTTGGCTCACCACAATCTCCGCCTTCTGGGTTCAAACGATTCTCCTGTCTTGGCCTCCCGAGTAGCTGGGATTACAGGCATGTGCTAACATGCCTGGCTAATTTTGTATTTTTAGTAGAGACGGGGTTTCTCCATGTTGGTCAGGCTGGTCTTGAACTCCCAGCCTCAGGTGATCCACCTGCCTCAGCCTCCCAAAGTGCTGGGATTACAGGCGTGAGTCACCATGCCTGGCCTGGCTCTCACCTTTCTATGGTGAGTAGACCCAGAGCACACTTCAGCTTCAGCCTAGCCTTTCCCAGCAGTTTTGCACAAAGAATCTACGCAGATGCTCCCGAAGCTCACGGTCAGGAGTCTTTGTCTGTAGACCCACCCCATCATCCTGTGCTTTCCTATTTTCCTTTCTTGTTTCTATTAAACTCAGTAACAATTAAGGGTTGCATTCTTTAAATTCAGTAACAATTGAGAACTATATTCTTTGTGGCTCCAGAAGTCAGAAAGGATTCATTAAACAGCAAATGACACATTTAGATTGGAAGTTCTGGCTCTGTACCTGAAATGCAGAGTTTGGAAATAACTGGCAAAGATGAGCCATATTACAGCGCATTGCATTATCTAGTTCAATGCCTCTTTGTAGTCTTGTTTTCTTCAACCCACAAACTCCCGCCTTTCATGTTCCCCCACCTCTACTCAACTCCCCTATCCATGTTTTCTTCTCACTCCAGTTTTGGTTGTTCCTATCATCGCTCCTTACTTTGAGGACAGTGGGGGAGGCTGTCTTCAAAAGTAAGGTAAAAACCACTTTTAATCAAAATTACCATTAAAAGTCCCTTAAATTTCACAGAAGGTATAACTCTGCACGGTAATCACAGTATCTACAAAACCATTTATATGACATTCAGGATGATGCTACTTAAAGATAGTAGAGCTTAGAGTGGAGCAACTGACAATTCAGAAAGAAGACATCGGCTAGCTGAATCCCTTGCCTTTCTTTTTTCCTTGGACCAAAAAACTCAAGAAAGATAATCTGCATGACAAAATTATTAAATACACACACTCCAAGACAGATACACACTCTCCTAAAAATCTTTGGCTCAGATGCTTGAGATCATGACATATGCAAACAAGCTTTGTTTCCCTCTATTCAGGACTTAGTCATATGTTGAAAAATTTAAAACAAAACCAATCAATAACTAAAATCCAACACTAAGTCTTCACCTTTGCTAAAATGCTGAAGGGGTAAAATAATGTTGAATATTAAATTCTTTAACTCACATGCCAAGTGCTAATAATAATACCTGTCAATTACTAAGTGCTTCTTATATCCTGGGTACCTTGCTTTGTGATATGTGCACGTGTATGTGTGTATATTCATGTAATCCTTTTTTTTTTTTTTTTTTTTTTTTGGTGACAGAGTCTTGCTGTGTCACCCAGGCTGGAGTGCAGTGACACAATCTTAGCTCACTACAACCTCCACCTCCTGGGTTCAAGCAAATTCTCATGCCTCAGCTTCCTGAGTAGCTGGGACTACAGGCACGTGCCACCATGCCTGGTTAATTTTTGTATTTTTTTTTTTCTTTGAGACAGAGTTTCGCTCTTGTTGCCCAGGCTGGAGTGCAATGGCACGATCTTGGCTCACTGCAACCTCCGTCTCCCGGGTTAAAGCCATTCTCCTGCCTCAGCCTCCGGAGTAGCTGGGATTACAGGCATGTGCCACCACACCCTGTTAATTTTGTATTTTTAGTAGAGATGGGGTTTCTCCATGTTGGTCAGGCTGGTCTCAAACTCCTGACCTTAGGTGATCCGCCTGCCTTGGCCTCCCAAAGTGCTGGGATTACAGGTGAGCCACTGCACCTGGCAATTTTTGTATTTTTAGTAGAGACAGAGTTTTGCCATGTTGGCCAGGCTGGTCTCGAGCTCCTGGCCTCAAGCGATCCACCCGCTTCGGCCTCCAAAAGTGCTGTGATTACAGGTGTGAGCCTCCGCACCTGGCCTATTCGTGTAATCCTTAAAGAAACCTCTCCAAGTTATTTCTATCTCACAGCTGAGGAAACAGACTGAGCTACGGTGAAGACAGAAAATTTTTCTCTTGCCCTGGATCACACAGTGAACAGTAGCACAGTTGGGATTTGAACCTAGGTTTGCCTTTAAAGTCTGTGTTGTAAATAATTACATTCTCCAGGCTCATGATAAGTAAGCCATTTTCTCACTAAAAGGCTTTAAATTGAACTTTGGAAGATTTAAATTTTAGTTATTAGCAGCAAATATTCAGAAACTTTAATTTTGTTAATTTTTTATTTTTTGAGATGAAGTTTCTCTCTTCTTGCCCAGGCTGGAGTGCAATGGCGTGATCTCGGCTCACTGCAACCTCCGCCTCCTGGGTTTAAGCCATTCTCCTGCCTCAGGCTCCCGAGTAGCTGGGATTACAGGTGACCATCACCATGCCTGGCTAGTTTTTGTATTTTTAGTAGAGAAGGGGTTTCACCATGTTGGCCAGGCTGGTCTCAAACTCCTGATCTCAGGTGATCTGCCTGCCTCAATGTCCCAACGTGCTGGGATTACAGGTGTGAGCCACCATGCTCGGCCAAATATTCAGAAATTTTAAAATGGCCTTTAGAAAACATGCTAATAAGCCACTCCTGGGGCCAACCAGCATAGACTGAACAAATTTCCTCTAGAAGCATATCTCTGCTTCCTGCTTCATGACGTCAAACACCAGTTAGATGGAAACCCCCAAGAAACACCATTCTGCTCCACTCAGAAAAACCAAGAATTCAAATCCTACGCTGCAAATCAACTGGTAGCACTGCAAATGTGATTCTGCCAAGATACAAATCCAGAGAAGACTGATTGTATTATGCCCACCACAATCAATAATCAGCCTGTATAATTACACTTAGGGACCCAAGGCTGTTCTGTGCTCCGTTCCTATTTTTAGTGTTACTTTAAAAACACAAAATCAACTAAAAATCCATTTTAAAAGTCCCAAAGTAGATCAATAACTTGTCAAAACCAAACACTCAGAAACTATTCTTTTTTTTTTTTTTTTTTTTTGAGACAGAGTCTCGCTTTGTTTCCCAGGCCGGGGCGCAGTGGTGCAATCTCAGCTCACTGCAAACTCTGCCTCCTGGGTTCAAGCAATTCTGCTGCCTCAGCCTCCTGAGTAGCTAGGATTACAGGTGCATGCCACCACATCCAGCTAATTTTTTACATTTTTGATAAAGACGGGGTTTTATCATGTTGGCCAGGCTGGTCTCGAACTCCTGACCTCGTGATCCACCCGCCTCAGCTTCCCAAAGTGCTGGGTTTACAGATGTGAGCCACCAAGCCTGGCCTCAGAAACTATTCTTGAACAAAAATCAGCAATCAGTCCCTAGTGATCTCTCCTAAATTCACTTCATTCCTATCAGGTCAGATATTTAGAACAATAAAATCCTAAAATGATTAGCACTCATTACGTTCTTAAGTCTGGTTCAAATTTCATGACAGTAAAATAGTATTTTCTAACTAGCAGATTACATATATATTTTTTTAACTTTTTTTTTTTTTTTTTTTGTTAAGAGACAGGGTCTCTTTCTGCTGCCCAGGCTGGAGAGTGCAGTGGCATGATCATAGCTCACTGTAACCTCAAACACCTGGGCTCAAGCAAGCCTCCTGCCTCAGCCTCCCAAGTAGCAAGGATTACAGGGATGAGCCACCACACCCTGCCTCACAGATATTTCTTTATAAGAAATTCAAAATTTTAGTCACTTAAGACACTGGAATTTCATAAGACAGAAGATGGGGAAAATCAAGTTAAATGAAGACAACAAGTAGGCCGTTTATACTAACAAATTGTGCCAAATCTAATCAGTACATTGCCTTTCAGTCTACCCTAAGGTGACAGCCTCAAACTAAGTTAAACAAACACTCATGAAGTCATACTATATACTAGGAACTGTGAAAGATATAAAGATGAAAAACAAAAAATACTACTATCTGCCCTCAAAGAATTTATAATTCAAGGAGAGAGATCAGACATCTATCCTCTGCATACTATGCTTTTCTTCACCTAGCATGACCAAACAGGTGTTGAAAAGGTTAAAGGAAAGATTTTCAAGACCCAAAAGTGTAACAAACAGATCTTGCTTACTGTGCTAAATAATAAAAGAATATTATTTGCTTTTTCCTATTAAACCTCGGCAATCACAACTTTGGTTTGCTTAGTCTCTTACCTTAGTTTATTTTCTGTTCTCTGTTGATATAATACAACTTATCTTTTTGGGATTTTCTGTTCTGCTTTTAGTTTTTTCTGCTGTTATTGCTGGGAGCTCACGTCTTACCCTTCTATTGCAGCACACATTGCGTTTGCTAGAGACACCCTCCAGTTTCTTCTTTGTACTTTCTTACTGGAGATTTGGAAACAATCACTGAGAAGACCTGTGAGCACCGAGTGGCTCTGAAAACTTCAAACCTAACTATTCAAAAGTAATTATCTTTAGGAAGTCTACCTTCAGAAAGTCTAATCAAGAAGGTAAAAGACAACAGTCATTACAATCACCCTCCGTGATTCCAACTCCTTGCATTTTATTGCCATCAGCTTTGGCTATAGCTGACAGAGGGGAGGTAGACTTGAGATTGGAAGCAAAAGAAACTATGCTAAAAACATGGTAAATTTTAATATATAAAAGCGCTAGCAATAGATGATTACTGGGGATTCAACGACATTAACATGAGGTCAAAATCAACACTTTGCACCTGCTGAAATGAAGACCACTTGACAAAACCTTTAGGAGCACACTAGAAGAGGCACTTTTTGGTAAACATGAATAGCTAGAATACCTTGCCTTTATTTACTCTTATCTCTGAGATTTAAAAATTGTTCTTACTTTTCATCCTCTAAATTTTGATAGATGATCGTAAAACCAATCAAAATATACATGAATGTTTCCTGGGGGCGGGGAGGACACTATAAAAAAGGGGTTAGAGAGTTACCAAAGGACATAGGACTAGATTAATCATAAACCTAGATGACTGACCCTGAATTTTCTTCAAACACTTCCTGTCTTTTGTTTCAACCTGCAGTATACCTTCAAGGTTAACTGCAGTCTCCCTGAGCAATGGACCAGCCCACCCTAGACTGGGATATACTCATTCCTAATCCACTGCTACTTATTTACTTATGTATACTGTTTCATTTGAAAACATGGTGTTATTCATTGACTGTCAAGCAACATATACTGCATTCCTGCCCACACAAAGCCAGCTCTGCAGATATCCAACACACCCACCTCACTGTGAAATATAAGATGGCTTTTCATCAAGTTCTCAGGGAGGAAATAGGGTGGAAAAGGAAAAATGAAACGCAATTCAAACCTAAGAAACCCTTAGAGGCTGGGTGCTCCCAGAAGGAACAGAAAGTAGAAGGAAGGTACAAAGGGTGAAGGAGAGGAGGTCCTAGTTCTCCCTCTTTCACAGTCCAAAACAGTCCCAAAACAGGAGAGCTCTCGACTCCTCACAAGAGGCCAGAGGATGCGAGGGGCTGCGGGAGGAAGACTGAGCATCAGAGAATGGGGGATGGGAAGAACTTAAGTGGGAGAAGCCGCTTCCTCCGTAAAGCTGGCTGTCTAGGTCGGTCTTTGATTTTTGCTTCGCCCCATCCCTCCTTTTTGGGAAACACCAATTTTATCTTACGGAGGAAAGCAGCTCCAGTCCCACCCTGGCGAGCAGGGACAGGTGTAGGGAGGGATGTTTGGCCTTCCGGGGGTACGAAATGGGGTTGGGGGCGGCAGCCTAGAGAATCGGTACCTGTGAGTCCTCTCCGCCAAGGCTGAGGTGCGGGGTGGGAGGTGCCTTTGAATGAGGGGTGTCAGAGGGAAGCCCCTTCTGAGGAGCTGGGAATCGACGAGGGACAAAAAGTAGCTGTGAGGACCCTCGGAGGATGAGGAGCCGCCTCCTCGGGGAATACCGGGAGGTGGAGGAGACGGCCCCGCCCCCTCAGGGGATGGGCCCAGAGGCCGTTGAGACGGCGGCGGGAGGCTACCGGTGCCCCTATCCTTGCTTTGCTCTTGAGAACCCGGCCTCCCAGCCATCACCAAGCCCCAGGGATAGTTGCTCCTACCTTTCCACGACGCTCCGGGCTCCGCTCCCCTCCGCCTCCACTCCCCATCCACAGCGGCTGAGGCTCCGCCCCCTCAGCCGCCCGGCGGGGGCATTGGCATTCACCAGCGCCAATCGCCTCCTTGCTTCTCCAGCCTCGGCCCCAATCCGCGCCGGCTGGAGGCGGGGCTTCTCCAAAGTCATTCAGGCTCCTCCCGGGGCCCCAAGATCCCTTTTGTTTGGGAAGAGCAAGGCCGGGATTGAGCTCGCGTCACTTCCGGGAGGAAGCGCCCTCCTGGGTCCTGGGCTTCAGGGTGGGCTCGCGCCCCTCCCGGCTCGGGGTCTGCAACTTTCCACCTCTGCGTGAAAAGTCTGGGCAGGACCGTGACTAGTGCTTCGTGCTTTTACCTGACTGTACGCGGAGTTTAGGAATGGAGGGCTCTGGTGGCCTAATCGATTGGGATTTTATCCAGAATGTTAATAAATGAAGTGGGCTTTGGTGTCTGCATTAGAATGAATTCGTTGTTGAAAAACCTGGCTTCCTTGCTCCCTTTTTTTTTTTCTTTTTTCTGGAAGCGCCTGTGGGCGTGGTGCTGGAAGCAAGGGTGCAAAGATGAAACACCTGGAGATCACCCTTCTCTCAACCACATTTTGTACAGAAGAGGATACTAACTTTGGGGGACATAAACCCAGCCGACCTGCCTTCCAGGCGGAAGTCAAATAATTGCAAATTTGTGTGGCAGGTTTTTCCACCCTATGCTTGCCAGCTGAGGCGACTTTTTTCTTTCCTTGGCCTCATTATATTGTGGGGAATGGTGTTTGCAGTGAAGTTGAAACAATGGAGAGTACAGAGGATGCAAGGAATGTCTGCCTTGTGAACACAGGAATGCAGATCTTGGTGGCAGCAAGTCTTAGGCAGGACCAAATAACTCAGAGAGGGGAGTGGATGTATAACTAGTTGTATCCCTACCTAAGGTCAAAGTTTCTGAATTCCTTTTCCACAGAATGGCTGTCAGCTCACAGATTGATGCAGCTGGTTACATTTACAATAACCACATTATTTAAAATACAATATAATAAATATTTGAGACGAATATTCATAATGCATAAATAATGTAGTACACTTAATACATTATCCCTAAACTTAGCAATTATAATTCGCAAGACAGCATTAGGGACCTAGTGCTTGCCTAGGCAGACAGTCCCCAAGGCAGATGCAGCCTGCCTCATGCAGTTTACAGTCTGACTGAGGGATGTGATCAGTTTGTGCGATTATAGTCTGAAAGAAGTAAACAAGTATTTATCATGTTATCACTGTGCCATGTACTTTCATTTAATGGTATTTGATGTCATTTTCAGTGCTGTATGAGAAATCTATCCTACAGTGTAGGATAGACATCATTGTGTCCAATTTACAGATGAGAAGATAGAGATTCAGAGAAGTCAAATAAAGTCATAGAGCTAGTAAATGGTAAAGAATTTCCAGTAAGGATGTATGACTCCATACTTATGCCATATTCTGCTCACTTCACACTGGCTCTCACATGCTGGACTAAGAATGGGCGTGGATGATGGTAAAGCAAACATTAGAGCCAGAAGGACAGCTCTATGCCTCCCCCTGTTGATTTTAGGCTTGGGAGGGTCATCTCTGTATATGAAGGATAGCAAGACTATGAGTGAAGGTGCTCGATAGCAGTGTAAGTGAATCTGGAGTAATGATGCAGGGTATACTGAACTTCAGAAAGGCATTATGCCTTGTGTTCTGAAAACTGACAATCTGAAAGCTAAAATGAGGGGCCAGGCACAGAGTAGGTACTCAATAAATATTGACTTGAAACAAAATGTCTGAAATGATTACAAATACAGAGTGTTAGGTGCTGGAGCAGGCAAAGGAACTTGAAAAATCCCATTTCCTCCTCCTCCCTTTCGCTCTGCCTATGTGTATGCAATGAGGAAGTGCCTCATCGCCTGACAATGAAGCAGATGTGGGAGAACAAGCTATTTTCTGCTGGCTTCTGAGTCACTCTAAGAGTTGTTCTAGTGAATCAGCTCCTCCCTTGTTTTTCTTTTCTTTTTTTTTTTTTTTTTTATCGAGATGGAGTCTCGCTCTGTCTCCCAGACTGGAGTGCAATGGCGCAATCTCTCACTACAACCTCCGCCTTCTGGGTTCAAGCGATTCTCCTGCCTCAGCTTTCCGAGTAGCTGGGATTATAGGCGCCTGTCACTGTGCCCAGCTAATTTTTATATTTTTAGTAGAGATGGGGTTTTGCCATGTTGGCCAGGCTGGTCTCAAACTCCTGACCTCAGGTGATCCACCTGCTGGCCTCCCAAAGTGGCTGGGATGACAGGCGTAAACCACCATGCCCGGCAGGTCCTCCTTTCTTTCCCTCATTCCCTTTGTAGCTGTTAACCCACCACCACCCATTCTTTTCCCTGGCTGACTGGGTGGGAGCAGTGCTCTGTGACCTACTTCCTTTAGAGCAATGGGCAACTCCCCTGATTTCCTGGCTTCCCTTCTGCGTATTCCTAAATGAGTGTAGAAGGACTCAGCAAAAATGAGAACATCCCTGCCTTGTAGGATTCAGAGTCTTGAGGGTGTTCAGATTGCTTTCCTTTTAATTTTTCACCCCTAGAAGTAGGGAACAGGCAGGGCTTGTGAACCTCGTGTATCTTTCAGATTGTAGCAGTGAGAGAGTTATGGAGGTTTGTGATTCTTCAATACATAAACCTTGTAAATAAATTTAGAGTCTGGTGCATAGGTGTACGCAGAGGTAAAAAATGGTTCATAACAATATCTTAGATTTGTATAACAAAATATAACATTTTAATGTCTATCATTTTATCAACTGGACAGTAAAATATTTATTAAATGCCTATTGTGTCAGGCAACAACTTAAAGTGCTTAAAAATTATAGATTGTGTCAATTTTTTTCCAAATAAGTAAATTTCCATAAATGTTTATTGCTGGTTTGGGGAGGCAGCAATGGAGTAAAAGAGGTCTAGGCTAGAGGTTAAAAAATCTGGAGTCTAGTTCTTATTCTGTCATCAACTATAGTAGTTTCTATCTGGGCAGCTTAAAACAACAGAAATGTGTTCTGTCTCAGTTCTTGAGGCTAGAAGTACAAAATCAGGGTGTTGGACGAGTGCAGTGGCTCACTCCTGTAATCCTAGCACTTTGGGAGGCTGAGGTGGGTGGATCACCTGAGGTCAGGAGTTCTAGACCAGCCTGGCCAACATGGTGAAACCCCGTCTCTACTAACAATACAAAAATTAGCTGGGCATGGTGGCGGGTGCCTGTAATCCCAGCTACTTGGAAGACTGAGGCAGGAGAATCGCTTGAACCCAGGAGATGGAGGTTGCAGTGAGCCGAGATCGCGCCACTGCACTCCACCCTGGGCAACAAAGAGCGAAACTCTGTCTCAAAAAAACAAACAAACAAAAAAAAATCAGGGTGTTGACAAGGTTGGCTCCTTCTGGGGGCTCTGAGAGATGCTCCATCCCATGCCTCTCTCCCCTGGCTTCTGGTGGTTCCCAGTGATCATTGGCGTGTAACTACATCATCCCAATACCTGCCTCCGTCTTCACATGGCCTTCTCTCTATGTCTCAGCGTCTCTGTATGTCCTCTCCTCTTCTTATAAAGGCCCCACTCATGTTGTACTTAGAGCCTACTCTATTCCACCATGACCTCATCTGAACTCATGACATCTGCAAAGACCCTATTTCTAAATAAATTCACAGTCTGAGATGGGTGCACATGAATTTTGGGGGGACATCATTCGACCCGATACACAAACCTACTTGGCAAAGTAACCTTCTCACTTAACTCCATTTAAGTTCATTGATAAAAGGCATGAAAGTAGTGGAATAATTCCTAAAGATCATTTCAGCCTATGATTTAATATAATGATATATGCTAGATACATTAATCAAGCTATCAAATTATGTGCTAAGCATTATGCAATTTTTTATATGACATCTCATTTCACCCTTAAAAGAATTCCACGAGATAGATATTAACAGTCCCCTTTTGCAGGTGAGGAAATTGAGGCACAAAGAGGTCCAAAGTCATGGAATTCATAAGTGATGAACACAGAATATTTACTTAGATCTGATTCCAAAGTGCACTCTCAAAATTACTATGCTCTATCATCTCTCCATCATGCTAAGTGGGTTAGGAAGATGGGGAATGCAACAAATATTTTCAATTTTGATTTATAGAATATTTGGAGCTGAGTAGCAATTTCCTGGAATTATGTGTAAAGTTTGGACTTATTTTATTTATTTATTTATTTATTTATTTATTGAGACAGGGTCTCACTCTGTTGCCCAGACTGGAGTGCAGCGGCCCAATCTCTGCTCACCGCAACCTCTGCCTCCCAGGCTCAAGCTATTCTCCGGTCTCAGCCTCCCAAGTAGCTGGGATTACAGGCGCGCACCACTACTGCCGGCTAATTTTTTATATTTTCAGTAGAGGCAGGGTTTCACTATGTTGGCCAGGCTGGTCTCGAAATCCTGACCTCAAATGACCCACTTGCCTCGGCCTCCCAAAGTGTTGGGATTACAGGAGCCACCGCGCCCGGCCTGGACTGATTTTAAAACAAGGGAAAGCAAGAGAAGCGGGAATAGTGGGTGGCAATGAAGGCTTAGTAGCTAGGAGGAGAGCTATGGGCACTTACCTGAACTTGTTTCCTCATTTGTTAAATGAGATAATAGCTCCTGTCTACAAGACCAGGTGGTTGTCAGTATCCAAGCGATCTGATGTACATGGAAGTATTAGCTACCTGGGAGATCTTGCTCAATCCTCTTCTCTGAGTCCTAGGCTCCAACTAAACATCTGGGACTCCATAAGGCTCCTTCTAGCTGTGGCCCACTGGACTGGGACTTATTAAGATGCTGAGTGCTGAGTGAGCTAGATGTAGAAGTTGAAATGAATGGGAAAAGTGATGAAAAGAAATGCTTTCTTTCTTCTGGCTTGTCTTCACTATCTCCTTTTCCTCACGCTTCCCGACCCCACCCCTTCTCCCCGGGGTTGATGAGGAGGTCAAAGTCTGAAAGCCAGAGAGGGCTCTCCAAGCCCCGGACCAGGCTGAAGCCGAAGGCAAGGTGTGCCCTCCACTGCCCCCTGCATTTCTGCATTTTCTCCCATCATTTGTTCCCACAAAGGATTTGCTGGGCAGTCCTTAAACGTTCTCTTCTTGCTTGGATCTGCCCTATCTGGGGAGACTCGGGCACCAGGAAACGAGATTTCTGGGTGTGGCCCTAAAGTGTTCCCGAGCTTATTGTGCCCCCTAGTGTCGAATAGTGAATCCTGCAGCCGTCGGCTTCCTTTCTGACCGTCCCTCTGATGCCTCCCGCCCAACACAGTTTTTCCTTTTAAGGGTGTGGGCTGACAGCACAGCAGGTGGGGACTCCAAGGACTGGCAGCTCAAAAATCCACCTCAGGGACAGACAGATTCTTTGGTGTTTGGCAAAATGTAGGGGCCAGCTTGGCCATGATGGAAGCTTTAAACTCTTTTTTTTTTTTTTTTTTTTTTGAGACGGAATCTCGCTCTGTTGCTGGAGTGCAATGGCGCCGGTCTCGGCTCACTGTAACCTCTGCTTCAAGCGATTCTCGGGTTCAAGCGATTCTCCTGCCTCAGCCTCCTGAGTAGCTGGGATTACAGGCGCCTGCCACCACTCCCGGCTAATTTATTTTTGTATTTTTAGTAGAGACAAGGTTTCACCATGTTGGCCAGGCTAGTCTCGAACTCCTGACCTGAAGTGATCTGCCCACCTCGTCCTCCCAAAGCGTTGGGATTACAGGCGTGAGCCACCGCGCCCAGCCGGAAGCTTTAAACTCTTATCCTAGATTGCATTAGGGGAAGTCCAGAAGTGAGAGGGATAGAAATCTAACATTGGGTGCCTACCAGGTACATATGTGACATAAACAATCCTTGTAACCTTTGCATATATAATTATTGCTACAATCCTGAGAGGTAATTTTTATTACTTCTAGTTTTTCAGAAGAGAAAGCAAGTTCAGAGAGGTTAAGTGTCTTCCCCAAGGTCACATAATAACAATAACAATATGATAGCAACATTAGCCAATTAATTAGTGCCTACTCCACACCAGGCATATGATTTCTTTTAATCCCCACAGCAACACTTTAAAGTGGTGATCATAATCTTCATTTTAGTGATGAGGTAACTGAGATTTTAGTGTAAGAAAGGAATAACTGAGAAGCTGCCTGAGGTCACACAGCGAGGTCCTCCCGTTTCCAGTCCCACACTGTTTCTATTCCGCCATGGCCTCATGGAGGTGGTGGGTGGTAGAGGTGGGACTCGGGCCCAGGCCTGTGTGACTCAATGTTCTTTCCATTACTGCTGCTGCTCGGCAGTTCTTCCTGAGGACCAGGAAACCATTGTCATGTGGTCTTTTGGAGTTCTCAACCTGAGATGATGGCAATGAAAACACCAAGGCAGAAGTCCAAAGGATCCTGGGGACAATTTGCTCAGGGAAGCACATGACCAGAGCAGCACTATGGGAACTGCACAACAATATTGCTGTCAGGGGCCCCGGGGAGGGCCTTCAGAGGAGCTGAGTCCTGTCTCCCTCCAGTAATTCTGTGTGGAACTCACATGTTCCCCTGAAGCTGATGGGCCAGGACGGGAAATGCAAAGCTCAAAGAGACCTAAAAGGAAAGGTAGATGGAAAATTCCTGGAAGTAGATGAGAGAGAAAATTCCAGATAGAAAATTACCAGAAATAAGCAGGGCACGGTGGAGTGTGCTTGTAGTCCCAGCTACCTGAGAGGCTGGGACAGGAGGATTGTTTGAGTCCAGGAGTCCAAGACCAGTCTGGGTAACATAGTGAGACTCCTTCTCAAAAAAAAAAATTACTGGAAATATATAAGCTATACCACAGAGTTCCCAAATCATTCAACAAAGTTCCCCTCACACCCAAAATATAGATTAGTCATAGGTCCCTGGAATAATGCTTTATGTCCCTTTGGGTGAGTCACAAATTTTCTTTTTCACTTTTCTCTATTAAATTATTGATTACATTTTATTAAATTATTAAAATTATTAAATAATTATTAAATGTGTTACCATCACATATGCCAGGTGGTAAGTTGGCAAACTGGTTGACGTTATGTTTGTTATTTTGAGGTGTAAATTTCACATAAATAGTCTGGTGGGAAAAGATATCAGTTGGGAACTATTTTTTAAAAACTAATTTGTAAGTTACCTTATTTCATTAAAGAGTAACTCCTTCCCTCTCTTCCCACCCCTCCCCTTACTGCCTCTCTTCCTCTGTCCCAGGTCCCTTCCTCTCCAAAAGTCTGGAGCCAGATTCCTTTTCTGTCCTTGTTGGCTGTTAAGACAAAGCTCTGAGTAGCCTTGCCAGAAGGGCTGAAGCTGACCCAAAGGCTGGTCCTCTTTCTTTTTCCCCTCTATTTCCCCTTCTTTCCCACATATAACCTCACATTAAGCAGAAAATAATTTCTGTGCTAGGGCCAGAGACAGAGCTTCAGCTTGGCTAGGCTGCCTTACAGTTTCAATTTGATGAAAGCCAATTACACATTTCCTCTGGTCTGTTATTTCAGCTGAAGCACCACACAGTTGGCTGAATGGGTCCTTGTTGCACACAAAAGGGAGAAATATTTGTAGGGAAACTAATGACCCGGTTATGGCTGCACCGTCATTTCTAGGCAATTTCCTGGTAAATGGCCCTTTGGAACAGTCTGGTGCTGGATGCTTCTGTGCCCTCATTTCCTGCTTCATGCTCCTGCTGGGCTCCTGCAGGACCAGTCTGCCCTGAACAAAGTGACCAGGTGACCCGCTTTCTTGGGAGGAGTTTATACATTTCCCATCCCCTTTTCTTTCTTCCACTTGCCTTTTTCTTGTCCTCCTTTTATTCCTAAAAATAATCATTGAATGCCTGTTAACATTGCAGTGATAACTAACACAGGCTTTGGACCTCAGGGCACTCAGTCTTGAAAGGAGGTAGACTTGCGTAACTCATGGACCCAGGTACTCCTGCTTTCTGCAGCCATGCTTTCCAAATAAAATAACTCAAATCCCTATCTTACATCATCATCGGGACTCCAGATGTAAGGGACAGAAATCGTTATCCAAAATGGCAAAAGGATTTTTATTGGCGCATACAATAGGAAAGTCCAGGAATAGTCTGACCTCAGATGAGGCTTGATCAGTTTTCTCAAAAATGTTACCAGGACCACCAGGTTTCGTTTCTTTTCTTTTTTCCTTCCTTCCTTCCTTCCTTCCTTCCTTCCTTCCTTCCTTCCTTCCTTCCTCCCTCCCTCCCTTCCTTCCTTTCTTTCTCTTTCTTTCTCTCCCTTCCTTCCTTTCTCTCTCTCTTTCTTTTTCTTCTTTCCTTCTTCTTTCTTTCCTTCTTCTCCTTCCTTCCCTCCCTTCCTTCCTTCCTTCCTTCCTTCCTTCCTTCCTTCCTCTCTCTCTGTCTTTCTTTCTGGTCTTGCTCTGTCACTCAGGCTGGAGTGACAGAGCAAGTGGTGTGATCATAGCTCACTGCAGCCTCCAACTCCTGGGCTCAAGCAATCCTCCTGCCTCAGCCTCCCAGGTAGTGAGCCACCAGGCCTGGCTGATTTTTGAATTTTTTGTAGTTTTACTATGTTGCCCAGTTGGTCTCGAACTCCTGGCCTGAAGTGCTTCTTCCACCTCCACTTCCCAAAGTGCTGGGATTACAGGGGCAAGCCACTGTACCCAGCCAGGACCAGGTTTCTATCCCTGTGTCTCTCAACTTTGCTTCCTCTGTGTTGGTTCTGTTTTAGACAGGCATTCTTCCTCAGCTGGCAATAAGCACAGTAGCTCAGGCTTCATATCTTGTCGTATTCAATAGGAAAGAGCACCTGCTCTTTTCCAGAAGTGGGAGAAAGATCCCACTATCTCCTTGGCTCTGCTTGGACTGTGTGTTCATCCCTGAACCAGTCATCGTGGCCAGGGATAGGCTGCTTTTATTGGCTAGATCTAGGTCATGTGCCTGCAGACATGGATGAAGAGTAGGAAAAAGTTATAGCCTCAAATGTTATCTGTCTGTCTGTCTATCTATCTATCTATCTATCTATCTATCTATCTATCTATCTATCTATCATCTATCCATCCATCCATCTATTATCTATCTATCTATCTATCTATCTATCTATCTATCTATCTATCTATCTCTATTACCAGAAAAAGTGGGGATGGATGTTTGGGAAGAAAATAGTATGTACTATGTACTTGAGAGTTTGTTTCACATTTGCTCTCATTCACAGGTCAGCTCAAGCTGGCATCTGTCCAGCTCTGGCTAAGCCTGGGGCTTTTATTGGCCTCAGAGGGGAGGAAGTGCATGTCAGTTGGTCCATGGGCAGCCCGGAAAAGGCACCACAAGTCCCCACTAGGGTCAGAGGGACTGGTAGCCTGGCCTCCAGCCTTTGGGCCCTCCCTGGCCTAAAGGTGAGGCCTCACCAGGGACCTGCCCCCTTCCACCCAGGAGCCTATCTGCCTCCTATTGCCATCCATGGTGACCAGGCTGCTCCCACCAAGGGGCACCTGCAGGCCAGCTCCAACCTGCCCTCTGCCCCACCTCAGCTCCCCCCACCCCATTGCCCCCCGCAATCTGCCTCAACCCTGCTCTGAGATCAGAGTGGGCACCAGGAGTGGGGAAAGGCCAGGCAGTAGGAGCAGACACCCTCGAGCCTGTGGAGGCAGCAGGAGCTTTCCTGGGCCCCTGAGGGTGCAGAGTACAGAGACACCCAGGTCCTGTGTCTGGGAGGGCGGGGCTGTCACCCAATCCCTGGAGCATGCATGCAGCTCCGGTGGCATCTCCTTGCAGTCTGGGGTGGGGGACTCCAGGTCCTCACTGGACCCCTCTCTGCCCACCCCTGCATGCCCAACCACCCTCCTCCTCTGCCAGTGGGTGGCTCGGCTGGCCTCACTGTGGCGGCCCCCAAACAGTGGGCTCTGGGCATGCTCCCACTTGTCCCTGGCTCCTGCTGACTCCCTTGGAGCACAGCACTGCCCTAGGCCCAGCTATCCCTCCTCCCCCTACCCTTCCTGCAGGGGCGCCACGCAAAAGCCGTGATGCGGTGCCAGGGTCCAGAGTTGCAGAAGCTCCGGGCCTGGGAGTGGGTCCCACCTGGCCATGCAAGGGTGGGGGCGGTGCAGTCAGTTGTCTCCAGACATGGGGCACAGGGGACCCACCACCACCATTGCTGCTCTCACAGCTACTTCTGCCACCACCACTTTCACCTCCCTGCGGCAGTTGGCGCAGTGGCAGTGGCTGCTCCAGATGGCCCACCACTGACATCAATATCACCCACAAGAGAGAGTTTGCCTTTAATGTATATCAGACAACTGTATAAACATTTGACCAGAAATTTACATGATTTATGTAATACAAAGTTCTATTCCAGTCCAGTTTTATAACAATTTTTCTTTTAAAACAGAAAATTTAAAATTTAGTATCAGTTAATACTGTTTGTAGAAAGCCATGGACCATCCCATTTCAAGGAATTCCATTAGACTTCATCAGTCCTGTTTCTTTCTTTCTTTTTTTTTTTCCTTTTCTTTTTTTAGATGGAGTCTCTGTCACCCAGGCTGGAGTGCAGTGGCAGTGGCGTGATCTCAGCTCACTGCAACCTCTGCTTCCTGGGTTCAAGCGATTCTCCTGCCTCAGCCTCCCGAGTAGCTGGGACTACAGATGTGGGCCACCACACCCAGCCAATTTTTGTATTTTTAGTAGAGACGGGGTTTCACCATGTTGGCCAGGCTGGTCTCCATCTCTTTACCTCATGATCTGCCCTCCTTGGCCTCCAAAGTGCTGGGATTACAGGCGTGAGCCACCGTGCCCGGCCACTCCTGTTTCTTCATTAATTTCTAACGCCACTTCTCTCCAGACCCTGCCTCCCATCTTCTCTTCCAGACATAACCCCCTTCTTAAAGCAAATTCATTCAACAAAATATGTTGAGTACCTGTGTTCTAGGCACTAGGGTTACAGTGATGGGCATGATGGTTGTAGTTGTCCACTTTGCATTGCCATAAAGGAATACCTGTGACTGGGTAATTTACACAGAAAAGAGGTTTATTTGACTCACGGTTCTGCAAGCTGTACAAGAGTGGCACAAGCATCTGCTCAGCTTCTGGTGAGGCCTCAGGAAGCTTTTACTAATGGTGGAAGACAAAGGGGGAGCAGGCATGTCACATGGCAAGATAGGGAGCAAGAGAGAAGAGCAGGAGGTCCAGGCTCTTTTTAATGATCAGATCTCATGGTAACTAATAGAATGAAACTTCAGTCATGACCATGGGGAGGGCACCAAGCAATTCATGAGGCATCCATCCTCGTGACTCAAATATCTCCCATTAAGCCCCACCTCCAACATTGGAGATCACATTTCAACCTGAGATTTGGAGGGGACAAACATCCAAACTATATTAATGGCTATGGTTCCTTCTTCAAAATTCCTGTAACTTTGTCATGCAGAGCAAGTTAATTTCTTATTGCCCTAACCTTTCTTATCTCAGCTCTCTTCAGGGGCCCTCACTTTTTATAGCCAGATAAGCCCAAGAAGTCACCTTCTTCAGCAAAGGAATTGATTTGTACTGTCCTTGGAGGTCAGCTGGCTTAAACTGCGGCCGGCTTCTGTGATAATATTCTTATTTATTTTCCTGTTGTATAGGCAAACAGATAATGAGAATATTGTAGGTGAAGTACCATGCTATTAGTAGAAGTATTGACTAGGCATAGCCTTCAGTGGTGTACGAGGAAAGAGACCATTCTTTAAGGAAGAACTGCTTGACTGTTGTATAACATAGTGGAGCGGGCGTCACTTTAGAGCCAGACCTACCAGCTGTGTGATCTGGGCATGTCGCTCAAGTACTTTGAGTTTCAAATCCCTTATCCATAACATGGAGGAAATAATAATGTGTTTCACAGGGTTGTAGTAAAGATTAAATGAGATACCAAGCCATTTATTGATACCTTTTTCTCCCTGCCACCAATCTATCACCAAGTCCTGTCAGTTTCACCTTTTACATTTCTCAAATCCCTCTATGTCTGTTTCTACCACCACCATCACCTTGTTCTGCCCATTTTCTTGTCATGACAATAGCACTGGCAATCTAACTAGTCTTCCAGCATTCCTTCTCACCCCCTCCAGCCTGTTCTCCGTAGAGCAATCTGAGTAGATTTTGAGAAAACACAATCTGATCATGTCATATCACTTCCTTCCCAATTAGAACTTCTCAGTGCTCTTAGGATAACTGGATTTACAAAGCCTTGACTGCTGCTTATCTCTCCAGAATAAGCCAGAGCAGATCTGCCCCCTCACTCTCTGTGCCCCAGCCAACTGGTGACAAAGACTCTCTCCTTGACCAAACTTTAGACAAGCTGCTAAGTGAAATAAGCCAGTCATGGAAAGATAAATACTGCATGATTCCACCTGTGTGAGGCACCTAAAATAGTCAAACTCTCCCAGGCTGTTGGAATGAAATAAAATAAAAGAGTCAAACTCATAGAAGCAAAGAGTGGAATGCCAGGGGCTGAGGGGAGGGGGAGGTGGGGAGTTACTAATCAATGTGCATGCATACAGTTTTAGTCCAGCAAGATGAATAAGCTCTAGAGATCTGCTGTATGATATCATACCTATGGTCAACAGTAATGTTCTGTACACTTAAACATTTATTTAGAGGTTAGATCTCATTTTAAGTGTTCTTACCACACGTACACAAAAGCAGGGTGCTGGATGCCTCTGTTCTGGGACATGACTTCTACTTCCACCTCCTGCACAATTCTCCCTGAGACACTCCCTGCTCCCTGTTCCCACCTTGCAGCTTCTCCTCTTCCCCTTGCAGTCTCACTCCTGCCTGCAAGTGAAACTGCACCCTTAAGATTTGCAAACACCATCTTGTTGATAAACTGTGTGGATATGCCTGGCCCCGAACTTGTGCCCCATGAAGCCTTAGACACTGTTTTTCTTTTCCTTTTCTCTTGGCGGCCCTGAGGACATCAAGCTTTCCTGCTCAGTCTCTCCCATCTCTGCTCGTTCCAACTCTTTGTGGCCTGTTTTTTTCTTTTTTCCTTTCTTTTCTTTTTCTTTTCTTTTTTTTTTTTTTTTTTGAGACAGAGTCTCACTGTTGCCCAGGCTGGAGTGCAATGGCACGATCTCGGCTCACTGCAACCTCTGCCTCCTGGGTTCAAGCAATTCTCCTGCCTCAGCCTCCCAAGTAGCTGGGATTACAGGCATGCACCACCATGCCTGGCTAATTATATATATATATATATTTTTTAGTAGAGATGGGGTTTCTCCATGTTGGTCAGGCTGGTCTCGAACTCCCAACCTCAGGTGATCTACCCACCTCAGCCTCCCAAAGTGCTGGGATTACAGGCGTGAGCCACCCCACCCAGCCCATGGCCAGTATTTTTCTTCGTATTTTCTTGTGAGGAGAGACACTAACACTGGATTATGTGGCCAGTTCTTTTTTTCTTTTCTTTACTTTTTTCTATTTTTTTTTTGCTTTGAGGCAGGGTCTCGCTCTGTCACTCAGGCTGGAGTGTAATGGTGGAATCATAGCTCACTGCAGTCTCCACCTTCTGGGCTCAAGTGATCTTCCCACTTCAGCCTCCTGAGTAGCTGGGACCACAGACGCATGCGACCATGCCCAGGTAATTTTTTTTTTTTTTTTGAGACAGAATTTTGCTCTTGTTGCCCAGGCTAGAGTGCAATGGTGTGATCTTGGCTCACTGCAACCTCTGCCTCCTGGGTTCAAGTGATTCTCCTGCCTCAGCCTCCCGAGTCCGAGTAGCTGGGATTACAGGCATGTGCCACCACACCCAGCTAATTTCGTATTTTTAGTAGAGATGGGGTTTCTGTATGTTGGTCAGGCTGGTCTTGAACTCCTGACCTCAGGTGATCTGTTTGCCTCGGTTTCCCAAAGTTCTGGGATTACAGGCGTGAGCCACTGAATCCAGCCCATGCCCAGCTAATTAAAAAAATTTTTTTTTCTACAGACAGGATCTCCCTACATTGCCCAAGCTGGTCTCGAACTCAGATCTTCCCACCTTGGCCTCCCAAAGTGCTGGGATTACAGGCATGAGCCACCATGCCTGGTCTTGCAAATTCTTCCACTTCCCACTCTACAGACTCCCCTGGGTAAGCCATCTAACCAGCTGGCCTAATTACCATCTCTACATGGGTGATTCCCAAATTTATGTCTCTTGCCCACGTCTCTCTCCTGAGCTCCAGACTCAGATGGGACATCTCTCTGGCATCCATGACCCTTCTTTCCCCTCACCCACCACATCTTCCTCATCACCAAGTCCTGCCAGTTCTACCTCCTTGATATACCAAGTCTTTCTGCATCTCTAGTCACCACCTTAGTTCAAGCCTGCTTCCTCCCTCTGATGGATCCTGGCAACAGCATTCTGTCTGAGTTTCCTGTGTTTGCTCTGGCTCTTGCCTCTTCAAACCATTTCTGCATGGCAGCACTAATGATTTTTGTAAAGTGAAAATTTGATCAGGTCACTTCTCTGCTTAAGTTCCTAGTAAGCCATGAGCTTCCCATTAACTTCAGGACAAAGTGCAAATGTGAGCATGTCAGTAACATCCCTTCTTGATCTGGCCTTTGTATATATTTCTAGCTCCAACTTTTGCTCCTTCCCTGACCCCAGGCAACACTAACCCTACTGAACTATGTGAATTCATTGTGATTTCTTTGGCCTTAGGACCATCTGATTTGCTGTTCTGCCTGAACCAGATTTTCCTGGTCCTTCCAGTCTAGATAAAATACCCTTTCTTCAGCACTCTCCTCAGATGTCACTTCCTCCAGGAAGCTTTCCATGATCTCTTAATGCCTGATTAGATACCACTCCCACCTCTATACCAATTGTTCTCAATGCACCCTGTACCTGTACTCCTTGTCTTTTTAGTTGTATCTTTGTTTCCCTCAGACTGAAAGTTTCCTTGGGGCACGTCCTCTGCCTGTTTCATTCTGTATTCCTAGTTTGTAGCATGGTGCCTGGCACATAGTAGGCATTAATAATACTTATTAAATGAAAGAACACTTGATTTCCTAAAGCTTTATCATAGCTTACCACAATGGTTAAGGACAAGGATATTGAAGCCAGTTGCCTCTGTTGGCAAATCCTGGCTCAGATACTGACTATATGTGTACCCTTGGGCAAGCTACTCAACCTCTCCTGCTTTGGTCTGATTACTTTGAAAACATTTCTTAGCTCATGAGATTGCTTTGAGGATCAAATAGATTAACGTTTATATGCCTGGCATAAAATAAGTGCCATATAAATAGGATAACTTATTCTACTTTATGACCAAACATGATACTTTTGAGAGTGAAGCGGTTGCAATTAGTAATTATGCCAGGAAAATAGATGTTAATTGGGACCGTCCTGGGCTAACAGGGACATTTGGTTACCCTGTATATAAGAGCTCTTAGGTAAATAAACGTTTTCATCTTTGTTGCTTTTGTTTTTCCGTGTCTATTTTCCTATAGTGATTAGCAGTTAATTCTTCCAATCATAAAAGCTTGTATGTTTGTCTTTAGAGACAACAGAGAAAAGGACTTGGGGGACAGGGTCCCAAGGTTCAGAGTTGGTAGGGTACCATTAAAGAAACAGAAATGAAGTTGAATTCTTAGGCTCTGAGTATAGAAAAAAAGGGGAGCCTTTACACCCCACTGAAGCTGAGTAGGCTGTATGGGTTTGACAATAGAAGGTCACGTGGTTTCCTGATGTGTAGTATGATTTCAAGGGGTCCAGCCTTTCCTGGAGCCTTGTCTGGGGAAGATTTGTGAGTGAGGCAAACTGTGCCAATCTGCTTGACATGTTTTTGCTGTCTGGTCATTGAGTTTGCTGTTTTCTTTCAAACTGTTTCAGAAACATGTAGTTCCATTTGCTTCCCCAACAGGGAGTTCTTTTCATTACCTTAAAATAGTTGTTTTTATGAACTGGGATAAACACCTAGTGTGCAGAAGTTTTGTTGCATGGTTATTACAATTTGAATTCTATTATTTCTCCTGCTTACCTGGGGAAGAGAAAAATACACCTTCTAAACACAGTTTTCCTTTTCCTTCTTCTGGTTTTCCAGACAGATGCACTGTCAGATAACGCACCTTACAGCTGGCTACATCTGCCCAGAATACCAATTGCAGGCAGTTCTGGCGGTGACCATGATGTTGGAAGGGGGAAAGAAGGGGAAGAGGAGAGCAGCTTTTCTTATCTTGAAATACTGAAGCCTGTCAATCTGAGCAGGTGCCATTCAGAGATGTGTGCCAACTCCATTCTCACCCTCTCTCCATCTGGGGTGGGAGTGGAGGTAGTAGTGGGGAGGAGAAAGGAATAAGAGAATGAACTAACATTTGTGAAAATAATTTCCACAAAGCATGTTGGTCACGTGCTTAATAATATAGGCGAGTGAGAGAGAATTGAAGACATATTTGGCTGTTAGTTATTTCACATTTCATTCATTCAACAAATAATATATAAAGTGTTTACTATGTGTCAGCCACAGCGCATCAATGCATATGAAGAATATTGTATAGGGCAAGGCACAATGGCTCACGCCTGTAATCCCAGCACTTTGGGAGGATGAGGCAGGTGGATCACTTGCGGCCAGGAGTTTGAGCCCCAGCCTGGCCAATATGGCAAAACCGTGTCTCTACTAAAAATGCAAAAATTAGCCAGGGATGGTGGTGCATGCCTGTAATCCCAGCTACTTGGGAGGCTGAGGCACGAGAGTCACTTGAACCTGAGAGGTGGAGGTTGCAGTGAGCCGAGGTTGCAGTGAGCCAAGATTGCACCACTGCACTCTAGCCTGGGCAACAGAGTGTGACTCTATCTCAAAAGAAAAAAAGAAAAAGTAAAAAAGAAAAAAAATAAAGAATATTGTATGAAAGGTAGGCTTAAAGTTATGTGTGGTAATTTTTTTTTTTTTTTTTTTTTAGAGACAGAATCTTTCTCTGTAACCCAGGCTGGAGTAGAGTGGCACAGTCATAGCTCACTGCAGCCTCGAACTCCTGGGCTCAAGCGATACTCCCACCTCAGCCTCTTGAGTAACTAAGACTACAGGCACATGCCACTATGCCTGGCTAATTAAAACAAATTTTTTTTTTTTTTTTTTTTTTTTTTTTTTGTAGAGATGTGGGCGTGCTATATTTCCCAGGCTGGTCTTGAACTCCTGGGCTCCTGGCCTATAAGGCATGAGCCACTGCTTCTGGCCTATGTGTGGTAATTGTCTTAGTTTTGGACATGTTGAGCTTGAGATAAAGATTTTCCATTAAGCATTTGGATATAGCTATCTGGAGCTCAGGGGAAAAGTCTGTGCAAGAAATGTAGATTTGGGAACGATCCTCAAATAGGTGGTAGTTATAACACGAATACTGAGTGAAATAATTATGGTTATATGAGGGAGAAGAAGAGGATCAAGAATGGAACATCAAGTAACCCCTGAGTTTCAAAGGGAAATATGAAGAATTTATAAAGAAGATTAAGGAGTACTCTCCAGAGATGTTGGTGGAGAATCAGGAGAGAGGGATTAATTTAATTATATTTTTTCTACTTCGTTTTAAAAAATCAACTCTATTGAGATGTAATTTACATACAACCAATGCACCTATTTTTAATGTACAGTTCCCAGAGAGATGCCACCATCAGATGCTACCACCTGAGCAGCTGACAGGCAGTTCTGGTGCAGTTTTGACAAGTATATACACTCTTGTAGCCCCCACTGAAGATATAGAACATTTCCTTTGTATTAAAAGCTCCCTCCAAAGTAACACCAATTATTTCCAAACTATTCCAAAAGATGAATAGGAGAGAATTATTTCTAACTCATTCCATAAGATAAGCATTACTCTAATACAAAAACCATATAAGGATACAACAACAACAAAAATAAAACTACAGGCCAATATTCCTGATGAACATGGATGCAAAAATTCTCAACAAAATACTAGCAAACATAATCCAACAATGCATTAAAAAGATAACACAGCTGGGCACGGTGGCTCACGCCTGTAATCCCAGAACTTTGGGAGGCTGAGACGGGCGGATCACGAGGTCAGGAGATTGAGACCTCCTGGCTAACACGGTAAAACCCCGTCTCTACTAAAAATACAAAAAAATTAGCCGAGCATGGTGGTGGGCGCCTGTAGTCCCAGCTACTTGGGAGGCTGAGGCAGGAGAATGGTGTGAACCCAGGAGGCGGAGCTTGCAGTGAGCAGAGATCGCGCCACTGCACTCCAGCCTGGGCAACAGAGCGAGACTCCATCTCAAAAAAAAAAATAATAATAACACACCAGAATCAAGTGGGATTTATTCCAGGGATGCAAGGATGGTTCAGCATACACAAATCAAGAAATGTGATACACCAAATTGTACAACAGAATAAAGAACAAAACCATATGATCATCTCAATAGATGCATAAAACAGCATTTGATAAAATTCAACATCTCTTTATAATAAAAACTTACAACAAACTAGGTATAGAAGAAACATACTTCAAAACAATAAAGGCCATATATGACAAACCCATAGTTAACATCATGCTGAACTGAAAGCCTTTCCTATAAGATCTGAAACAAGACAAAGATGCCCACTTTCACCACTTTTATTCAACATAGCACTGGAAGCCTTAGCCAGAACAATTAAGCAGGAGAAAGAAATAAGGGGAACTCAAACTGGAAAGGAAGAAGTAAAATTGTCCCTGTTTACAGATGACATGATCTTATATTTAGAAAGTCCTAAAGACTCCGCAAAAAAAACTGTTAGAATACAAGAATTCAGTAAAGTTGCAGGACACAAAATCAACATACAAAAATCAGCAGCATTTCTATATGCCAACAGCAAACAATCTGAAAAAGGATACATCAAGAAAGCAATCTCATTTACAATAGCTAAAAAATTAATAATAAAATACCTAGGAATAAATTTAACCAAAGAAGTGAAAGATCTCTACAATTAAAACTATAAAACACTGAGGAAAGACATTGAAGAGGAAACACACACACAATGGAAAGATATCCCACGTTCATGGATTGGAAGAATTAGTATTCTTAAAATGTCCATACTACCCAAAGCAACTTATAGATTATATGCAGTTCCTATCAAAATGCTGATGACATTCTTTACAGAAACAGAAAAACAATCCTAAAATTTGGATGGAATCACAAAAGACCTTGAATAGCCAAAGTAATCCTGAATAAAAATAACAAACCTGGAGGCATCACATAACCTGACTTCAAATTATACCATAAAGCAATAGTAACCAAAACAGCATGGTACTGGCATAAAAACAGATACATACACCAGTGGAACAGAGTAGAGAACCCAGAAATAAATCCATACATTTACAGCCAACTCATTTTTGACAAAGACACCAGGAACATACACTGGGGAAAGGACAATCTCTTCAATAAATAATGCTGGGGGACAGGTGCAGTGGCTAAAACCTGTAATCCCAGCACTTTGGGAGGCTAAGGCAGGAGGAATGCCTGGGCCCAGGAGTTTGAGACCAGCCTTGGCAAGAAAGACTCTACAAAATAAAAAACTTATCCACATGTGGTGGTGTGTGCCCATGGTCCTAGCTACCCAGAAGGCTGAGATGGGAAAATCACTTGAGCCTGGGAGGTTGAGGCTGCTGTGAGCTGTGGTTGCACCACTGCATTCCAGCCTGGGTGACAGAGAGAGACTTTTCTGTCAGAAAACTAAAAAAAAAAAAAAAAAAAAAAAAAAAAAAAAAAAAAAAAAAAAAATGGTTCTGGGAAAACTGAAGATTCATATGCAGAAGAATGAAATTAGATCCAGGTAAAAAGTGAGCAAATGTTCTGAATAGACACTTCTCAAACGAAGAAATACAAATGGCCAACAGGTATATGAAAAAATGCTTGACATCGCGAATCATCAGGTAAATATAAGTCAAAACCACAATGAGATATTATCTCACCCCAATTAAAATGGTATTATCAAAAAGATAAAAAATGACATGCTGGTGAAGATGTGGAGAAAGTGGAACTCTTGCACACAGTTGGTGAGAGTGTAAATTAATATAGCCACTATGAAAAACAGTATGGAAATTCTTCAAAAAACTAAAACTAAAAATACAACTACCGTATGATTCAGTGATCCCACTGCTGGGTATAAGAAAGGAAATTAGTATATCAAAGAGATATCTGGACTGCCATGTTTATTACAGCACTATTTACAATAACCAAGATATGGATTCAACTATTTTATACTGTCCTCAGTAATATATGAGATTTCTAGATGCTCTATTTTCTCACCAAACTTGGTATCATTACAATTTTTAATTTGTAGTCATTCTGGTAGGTGTGTGGTAGTACTTCATTGTGATTTTAGTTTCTGTTTACCTGATGACTAATGATTAAACATCTTATCGTGTGCTTATTGGCCATGCATGAGGTCTATTTCTGGTCTATTTGGTTGTATTTGTATATTTGTCTTTCCTTACCCTAATATTACATTGTATTATCTAGGGTGCTCTATATAATAAGCCTTGAAGTGAGGTTATACAAGTTCTCCAACTTTGTTACTCTTTATTTCAAAACTGTGTTGGATATTCTAGGTCCTTTGAACTTCCATATAAATTTTAAAATCAGTTTGTCAATTTCTGTGAAATAAAGCATGTTGGGTTTTTTACTGGAATTATACTGAATCTATCAATCATTTTGGTAAGAGTGGGCAACAATATTGTGTCTTCCAATCCATGGACAAAATATATGTGTCAATTTATTTAGGTATTCTTTAATTTCTCTCAGCAATGTTTTCTAGTTTTTCATGTGTGGATTTTGCACATATTTTGTTAAATTTATTCCTAAGCATATTATGTTTTTGATGCAATTTTATGATGTGCTTTGGTTTTTCATGTTTCTTGTGCCTGGGGTTTACTAAGTTTCTTAGGTTTCTGGACATCTAATTTTCATAAACGTTGGAAAATTTCAGTTATTACTTCTTCATATCTTTTTTTCTGACCTCCCTTCTCACTCTCTCTGTCTCTTTTTTCCCCCCCTTTGGAGTCTGATTGCCTCGTAGGTCACTAATGCTCTGGCCATTTTTTTTTTCAGTCTTTCTTCTTTCCGTGTTTCATCTTGGATAGTTTCTATTGCTCTGTCTTAAACTTCACTAATTTTTTTCAATGTCTAATGTGTTGTTATTAATCTCAAATATTTTAATTTTTCTCTTTACAAGTTCAATTGGGCCTCTTATTTTTATTTATTTATATGTGAGACAGGGTCTAATTTTGTCACCCAGGCTAGAGTGCAGTGGCCCAATCTTGGCTCACTGCAGCCTTGACTTCCCGGGCTCAAGCAATCCTCCCACCTCATCCCCAAGTAGCTGGGACTACAGGTGCATACCACCATGCCTGGCTAATTTCTAAAAAAATTTTGTACAGATGGGATCTTCCTGTGTTGCCCAGGCTGGTCTTGAACTCCTAGACTCAAGTGATCTACCCACCTCGGCCTCCCAAAGAGCTGGGATTAGAAGCATGAGCCACCGCAGCCAGCCAATTTGGTAATTTAAAAATATCTTTGATGTTTTTACTTAACATGCTCAATCTTTCCTTTACCTTCTTGAACATATGAATATAGCTTTAATAACCACTTAAATGTCTTTGTCTACTAATTCTATCATCCATATCATTTCTAGATTAGTTCTCATTGATTTTTCTCTTCATTACGAATTGTATTTTCTTGCTTATTTGTGTGTCTTATAATTTTTTATTGAATTCCAAATACCACGTATTTTACCTTGTGGGTACTGAATACCTTTGTATTCTTATTAATATTCTTGAGCGTTGTTCTGTGATGTAGTTAAGTTACTTGAAAACTGGTCCTTCTGAGGCTTGCTTTGTTAGACATGACCAGAATTCTTTGGTGTATGGCTAATATTGCCCACTACTACAGCAATGCCTTTCTGAATATTCTACCTGATGACCTGTTAATTATGAGGTTTCCTACTGTGGCTAGTAGGTGAATGCTGAAGATTTTTCCCTGTACTTTTTTCAGGTGTAATTTTTCTTAGCCTGTGGTAGTTTCCTCACACGAATGTGCAGATCAGCCTTCAGCTGCAGACCTTCCACAGATCCCTGGAGCTCTCTGTCTGTGCTGCTCTCTCAGCTCTTGTGCTCTGCCAGGTGAACTCTAGCTGGCTTGGCCTCCTCAGATGCCCAGCATTTTCTCCTGAACTGAGGGAGACTTTTGGGCTCTGCCTGCATTCCCCCTTGCTGTGCTGAAGCCTGGAAACCCTTTCCTATCACAGACTGCGAAAATCATAGAACACATCTTGCTTGTTTCCTGAATTCACTGTCTGTGCTGCCTGATGCTTAATGTCTGAAAGCTGTTGCTTCATATGTTGTGCCTGGAGTTTTAATTGGTCCCTGTCACTCCATGTTGCTCAGAATTAGAAGTCCTGATGCTATTTTATTTAATTTTTTATTTTTATATATTTAGGAGGTACAAGTGCAGCTTTTTTACATGCATATATTACGTAGTAAAAATAGTCTGGGCTTTTAGTGTACCTATCACATTGTACCCAATAAGGAATTTTTCAGACCTCACCCTTTGATCTGGTTTGGCTCTGTGTCGCCACCCAAATCTCATCTTGAATTGTAATCCCCACGTATTCAGGGAGGAACCTGGTGGGAGGTGATTGGATCACGGGGGCAGTTTCCCCCATGCTGTTCTCATAATAGTGAGTCCTCATGAGATCTGATAGTTTTATAAGTGTTCGGCAGGTTCCTCCTTCACTCACATCCTCTCCCTCTCACCTGCCACCATGTAAGTCATCCCTACTTCCCCTTCCGTCATGATTGTAAGTTTCCTGAGGCCTCCTCAGCCATGTGGAACTGTAAGTCAATTAAACCTTTTTCCTTTATAAATTACTCAATCTCAGGAAGTTCTTTATAGCAGTGTGAAAATGGACTAATACACCCTCCCTCCCACCCTTCCACCTTCTGTAGTCTCCAATGTCTGCTATTCTACTCTGTATGTCCATGTGTACTTATTGTTTAGCTCCCACTTTTAAGTGAGAACATGTGGTATTTGACTTCTTGTTTCTGAGTTATTTCGCTTAGGATAATGACCTCCAATTCCATCCATGTTGCTGCAAAAGACGTGATTTCCTTCTTTTTTATGGTTGAGTAGTATTCCATGGTGTGTGTGTGTATAACATTTTCCTTACTTGATGCTCTTTTAAATGGTATTAAAGTTTTTTTAAAAATTCCAATTATTTATTCATAGTCTATGGAGAAATACTTTATTTTTGATATTTGACCTTGTATATGGTAACCTTGTTAAATTCACATATTAGTTTTCACTTAAATTTTTGTTTGTTTGTTTGTTTTTGTTTTTGTTTTTTTAGACAGGGTCTCTCACTCTGTTGCCTGGGCTGGAGTACTGTGGCACAATCTTGGCTCACTGTAGCCTCGACCTCCGGGTTCAGATGATCCTCCCACCTCAGGCTCCCAAGTAGTTGGGACAACACGTGCGTGCCCCCATGCCCAGCTGATTTTTTTGTGTTTTTTTTTGTAAAGACAGGGTTTCACCATCTTGTCCAGGCTGGTCTTGAACTCATGGGCTCAAGCAATCTGCCTGCTTTGACCTCCTAAAGTGCTGGAATTACAGGCATGAGCCATTGTGCCTGATCAAAAGGAATTTTTTTAAAAATTTAAATATAAAATTTTTTTTTTTTGAGATGGGGTCTTGCCTGTCACTCAGGCTGGAGTGCAGTGGCATGATCACGGCTCACTGCAGACTTAACCTCCTGGGGTCAAACAATCATCCTACCTCAGCTTCTCAAGTAGCTAGGACTACAGATGTGCACCACCATGACCAGCTAATTTTTTATTTTTTGTAGAGACAGGGTCTCACTATATTGCTCAGGCTGGTCTTGAACTTTTGGGCTCAAGTGATCCTCCCACCTCAGCCTCCTAAAGTGTGGGATTACAGGCATGAGCCACCATGCCTGGCATTTTCATGTATATATATATATATATATATATATATATATTTTTTTTTTTTTTTGTGGTGGATTCCTTAGGAGTGTCTATAGGCACAATCATGTTATCTGTGAATATAGAACGTTTTACTTCTTCCTTTACAACTTGTATTATCTCTGTCGCTCTCCCTTCTGTACTGGAAATGCTATATACATTGTTGAATAGAAGCAGAAAGAGCAGCTATCCCTTGCCTTCTTTTTGATCTTGGGAGGGAAAGCATTCATTCCTTCACCATGAAGTATGATGTAAGCATTAGGTTGCTTTTTTTTCCTTTTTCTGAGACAGAGCCTTGCTCTGTTACTCAGGCTGGAGTGCAGTGGCGTGAATGTGGCTCACTGCAGCCTCAAATTCCTGGGCTCAAGATATCCTCTCGTCTCAGCTTCCTGGGTAGCTGGGTCTATAGGAGTGCATCACCAGACCCAGCTAATTTTTTATTTTTTGTAGGGTGTCATTATGTTACCCAGACAAAGCACTGTAGATGTTATTGATTTATCTATTTTTATAGAGACGGAGTCTATGTTTCCCTGGCTGGTCTCAAACTCCTAGGCTCAAGTGGCTTCCCAAAGTGCGGGGATTATAGGCATGAGCCACTGTGCCCAGCTTGTAGATGTCTTTACTGGGTTCAAGAAGACTATGTGGTGGGTAATGCAAGTATACTTATGAAAGAAGGGGATAAGTTGAGAGTTCTTGGATTTAATTTTCTCAGTGAAGCAGGAGGACAGGCTATCTGATGAGGGGTGGGGAGAATGAGGTGGATTTGTAATAGTCCTTCATGAACCTCTCAAAAGACAAACCTGTGGCAGAGTGTACAGTTTTCTGTACCAGGACTTGGAGCTCCAGGTTTAGGACGAGCGTGGGCAGCTGTAGAACTGGGTTCTGTAGTCAGGGTTTTCCAGCACTTATGAGTGGAGGGAAAAGGGAGCACGGGTATTGAGGGAGCTGGCGGGAAATAATTCAAGTTGTTGGCCAGAGGTCTAGCTTGGGTTTTAAAAGACTGAAGCCTGGGAATTGAGGGGAAAGTAAAGATAAACTGTGAGGCCACGAAGGGATTAAAGGGCTGGAACTCAGCGAGGCCAAGGAGTGGTAAAGTGGGAGGAAGAGAATAGAGCTGGGAGGATTGTGGTTCAAGTGGGATATTGAAGTTTCATTTTTTTCCACATCAGATGGGTAATGTGCCAATGTTGTAACAAGGTTTCAGGGAGGCACATCTTACACATGAAAGTGAAAACCCAGTCATCACTCTTATGAACTGTGAAAGGATCCAAAGATTTTTTGAGAGGCAGTGGAGCTATGGTAGTAATGGTCTAATTGTGGCCTTGAAAAGTGTAAGTAGAGCAGAAGGTTATTTGAAATGATTAGGGGAAGGTTAGGGTGTGGGATGGATTGGGTTCAGCAATTTGTCTCAGGATGATGGTGGGAGTTAATGTGTAAGGTAAATGGGGGAGTCCTCAGCCTCTGTGGGCCAGGGTCAATGACGGCCAGAAGAAGTAGAGGGCAATGAACCATTTGGTATGAGGGGGACTTTGACAAAGGTAGAAAAGTAATCATGTAAAACTGGCAGGGGAAGCTGGGAGACTGCTGACCCCAAGTGCCCCCTTCTTGGCTGGAAAATAGAACTCATGGGAGGAAGAGCAGCTTTCCCTTAAGAGGGCTGCAAGGGAACCAGTGTCCTTGGGGCAAGGCCAGGCTTCAGTTACGGTAAGGAGGAGGAAGGTATAGTGAAAGTTCTTGCAGGTTGTTGTGGATATAGAAGAATTTGTTTTTAGTGGAATGAGGTTACCAAGAACACAGAAGGAAAACTGACAGGAAGATGGCTAGGAGACAGGTGGTGTCCCAGTGACAGTGAAAGTCCCAGTGAAAAGACTTAAAGGGCAGAGACTGTTTCACCCATGTATCACAGTATCAGCCACATAGTAGGTGCTCATTTAATACAGCCAAGTGAATGGCTGAATACAATCCATTTCTTGTGGCTTCTTACTTTGATTCTCTGAGACTTCATTTTTCTGTGTTTCCTGGGGAGTGCTGCTGCTTTTATCCCCCTAGTTCTGAAATCTATAGCAGTTTTCTCTCCAAAGTCCCAATTCTTTCCGTCTGGCAGAGTCAGTGCCTTATTATTCTGCGGTGTAACACCCTAGGAGGGCCTGGAAAGCCAGAGCTGAAATCTCTCTCTGGTTACAACTTGGGAGAAGCTGAAGTTCAGAAAAAGCAAAGAGTTCTTTCAACAGAATAGATTAAGATTTACCATAGACTGTGAAAGAAATAAAGATGCTTCTCTCAGTCAAAGTTTGAGGCTACCAGCCTGTACTGGTACCTACCAGAGGGGTGGCGTCTGGGACTCAGGGAGAGCAGTAGTCCAGGGCGGGCTGTGGACTGTCAGGCTGTGTGCAAGGCAGCCTCCAGCAGGTGGGGCTGTGGAGTCGCAGAAGGCTGGCAGCCTTGAGCGGAACGCGGCGCTGCTGCCACCCTCTGATTTGGATGGAATAATCCCTGCGGTATGTAGAGTCAAGCTCGGGAGATTGCTACCTTCTCGTGGAGAGTCAAGCTTGGGAGATTGACTTTGCTACCTTCTCATGGAGAGTCAAGCTTGGGAGATTGACTTTGCTACCTTCTCATTCTCCACCATTACTCCAGAGCCCTATTGTCTCCGCGGAGGGGAAGATCTTGATGATGGGGAATGTCATCTGATGGAACGTTCGCAGGGTTTATGAGTTTTAAGTCCCAGTGCTGTGGGCACACAGGCCACTTGCTGGACCTCTGAGAGTGAGTGATAATGGAAATATATGTGAAAGCCTTGGTAGAGTGAAGACTCTAAAAATATAAGGATTTATTATTAATGCTTAATGGGTAGTTAAGAGCAAAAATATGTTCCTTGATCTATTCTAGAGAAGAGGAACTCTAGGGAAGGTATGGGCTGAAGATTTTCCTATTCGCAGAAGAATTGGTCCTTTTGACTATATGTTTTCACTTCTGTCAGGTCACATAGTGGGGTGAGGGGTAAGAATGCCAATTTGCCACAGAACATTCTAGGGAGGTTGTAAGCGCTTAGAAAACAGAATTCATAAAAATAATAGTAACAAAATACCATCTATATAACTACTATATACCAGGCACATTACATATGTTATTCAATTTGGTCATCATAACAGTATAATAGGGTAGATGTATTTATCTATTGTAACTAGAAATTGAACATCAGCATCTGAGAGGTATGAATAGCAGAAGGTTACAAACATAATAAGCAGTGATGGCAGGATTTGAACCCAGGCCTTTTTGGCTTTAATGGCTCATGTCTTTCCCATCATAATGTGTGAACTCATCCTTTTCTAAATCTCTAAGCCCATTTCCAAGGACCTGTCTTAAGCTGGTTGCTTAAGAATCGATCAGGGAACTTGTTAAAATGCATGTTCTTGAACCCCACCCTGGGGGAGCCTCATGAATGATTTAGACTTTTCCTTTTCTTTCTCTCTTTTCATACCACATTCCCTTCCATTACTTAAGTTGTTGAACAGTCACAGTAATCAGGACTTCTGTTTTTTGAACGCCTTATACCTTACACCTTTCACTGAAAACAATGGCTAATGCAAACTCATTTTGTCAAGCCAAAGATCCCTGAGTTTCCCCACCAGAGGATTATACAATCAGCAGCTCCTTTTTGTTTCAATAACACATTTTTATCTCCCTTATTTTGCTGGGGGTGCAGGAGTTATGTTTGGACACAGATAGTTCACTACTAGGGAGAAGCTTCTACTTGGGGAGGACTTAGCCCTGGAAGGGAGATAGAAGCAAAAACCAAGTGGATTCCTGGGGTTTTATTCACCTACATCAATCAACAAGTATTTATTGAGTACCTGGCACTAGGCCAGGTATTGGTGCTAGAGCAATGCATACGATAAAGTCACAAAAGTTATGGAGTTTTAGGTAGGTGGACAGAGAAGGGAGCGGATATTCATGCAGATATTCAAATGAAGTGGCAAAGTGAGCCATGAACTTCTGGGGAGAAGCATACCCGGCAGAGGGACTAGCAAAGTGCAAAGACTCTAAGCAGGAGTCTCCTGGGAGTGTCTGAGGGACACCAAGAAGGCCAGTGTCCAGCAGAAAGGCAAGAGTGGAGAGTGCAAGGAGGAGCAAGGTAGGAGGTGGGAGGGGAGAGGCACCACTGGTTGGATCATGACCTTCCAGGCCATTGGGAGGATTTTGGGTTTTGTTCCAAGTGAGACAAGGAGCCACTGGAGGGTTTTCTGTAGGAAAGTGACATGATCCAATTTACATTTTAAAAGGATGACACTGGGTGCTGGGTTGAACATAGACTTCAGGGGGCAAGGGTGCTACCTGAATACCAAGGCAGCTCTGTCTGTCTGCATCTCTTGAACAGTTTTGGCAGATTCTATTCCTCATCTCTCCACCATGGTCAACAGGTGTTAGTCCATTTTGCATTGCTATAAAGGAATACCCGAGACTAGGTAATTTATAAGGAAAACAGGTTTATGTTGCTCATGATTCTGTAGGCTGTACAAACATGGTGGTGGCATCTGCTCAGCTTCTGGTGAGGCCCCAGGAAGATTTTACTTATGGCAGAAGGCATGTCACATGGTGAGAGAGGGAGCAAGAGAGAGATGCCAGGCTCTTTTAAACAACCAGCTCTCATGTGAACTAATAAAGTGAGAACTCACTTATTACCGTGAGGACAGCATTAAGCCATTGGCGAGGGATCCACCTCCATGACCCAGACATCTCCGCCATGAACCACCTCCAACATTGGGGACCACATTTCAACATAGATTTGGAGGGGACACACATCCAAACCATGTCAGAGGTAAAGCTTTGCCCCTCCGTCAGTCCTTTCTGCTCCTCTTACTCACTCTCAATCATAGCACCATGTTTCTCAAAAGTTGCAAATTGGTTGCAGTAGTGGATTTGATAGTTGTGAGAATGTTGGCCAGAATTAGTTATGTCCGAATACCAGACCAGCCAAGCCAAAATGCCGCTATTATACTAGAATAAAGCAATTTCTACTTTACGGACAAAGTGGCAGAGCCATAACTCATTTACTCACTGACTCATTCACTCATTCTTTCAGCTCTCATTGAGCACGTAGTATGTGCATAAGCCACTGCATTAAGCCTCTGGAGAACTACACATTTTAAAAAAGCTCCCTAAGACATAAACTCTGCCCTTGAGCAAACTCTTAAACTAGTTACTAGCATTTATCAATCACTTTTGATGGGTAAGACTCTGGTTTAAGTGCTTTTTATGTATTGCCATATTTAATACTCAAAATTAATGTGATTAGTTAGGTACTATTTTACTATTTTAAAGATGAAGAAATCTAGGCACCTAGAAGTTAAGTAACCTGTTCAAGTTGGTTATTAGGTGAACTGTGATCTGAACCCAGATGATGTAGCTCTAGGGCGTAGATGACTGCTTCTTAGGCTAGATGGATAGCTAAACACATAATTATAATGCAATGTGATGAGTACTCACTAGAGCTACTGGGAACTTTTAACATTATTGAGGGGCAAGGCCCAAAGCCTTTTCAAATTTCTAATCCAGTTAATTTCGCTGTAGTATATAACTTCTCCCCATAAAATTCTGTGAAGTACAACTAAGATTTTTAAGTGACCCTTCCAGATTCTTAATACAAGATTAAAGTAATTTATAAAGCTATTTTCTGGCTAAGGACCATTCCATTTTTGGACTGTTTCACTCACTCATCATTTCCATCACCAGATGATAGTTTTTTTTTCCGTTGGGGGTGGGGTGGGCAGTCCATTCCTCATAAAAGAAAAATTAAAATTTGTTATGTTAAGCAGATGCCAACAAAGTTGGTTTGGGTTATGAAGTCTTGGGGGTAGGTGGGGGCTCGTCTTACTCACTATCTCATCTACTCCTTCTCTGTAGGGACTTCATAGCTGGCTGGAATCAAATTTGTGCCTCAGTAAAATGACAAATCAGTACAAGTTGGGGGACCTTTATGGTCTTTTGGGAACAGCTGAAACCACAAATCTTACATCCTAGAATATCAAGGGGGATATATTACTGGATTCCCAGTTGCTGGGAAAGCACAGACTGAGCCACAAACTAACTGCCTGGAGAAGACAAGGAAAGCTTCAGGGATTAGTTTAGATTTGAGCTGGGCTTGAAAAATATGTTGATAGTCAACAGCAATAAGGTGAGAGAAAGGTGTTCTAGTAAAGGAAAAGTTTGTATAAAAGATCTGGGGAAGTGTCAGCCAACTGGACTTTCTGGGATCATTCTATCCTGAAACACCGTCTTTTGGGTGGGACAGAATCTGAGCAGCAGTCTCTGTCACATTTTTTCCATTTTGTAGGATATTATAATGACACTTTTTTTTTTTTTTTTTTTTGAGACGGAGTCTTGTTCTGTCGCCCAGGCTGGAGTGCAGTGGCGGGATCTCGGCTCACTGCAAGCTCCGCCTCCCGGGTTCACGCCATTCTCCGGCCTCAGCCTTCCAAGTAGCTGGGACTACAGGCGTCCGCCACCACGCCCAACTAATGTTTTGTATTTTTAGTAGAGACGGGGTTTCACCGTGTTAGCCAGGATGGTCTCGATCTCCTGACCTCGTGATCCACCCTCCTCGGCCTCCCAACGTGCTGGGATTACAGGCGTGAGCCACCACCCCCGGCCCTTTTTCTTTTTTTTTGAGATGGAGTTTCGCTCTTTAGCCTTCCGGGGTTCAAGCGATTCTCCTGCCTCAGCCTCCCGAGTAGCTGGAATTATAGGCACTTGCCATCACGCCCTGCTAATTTTTTTGTATTTTAGTAGAGATGGGGTTTCACCATGTTGGCCAGGATGGTCTTGAACTCCTGACCTCAGATGATCCACCTACCTCGGCCTCCCAAAGTGCTGGGATTACAGGTGTGAGCCACTGTGACCGGCCTAATGATACATTGTATATTTACTCATGAATTCTCTCTCTCTGTCTCTTTCTTTTTTTTTCTGTCTCTCTAGCTTTATTGAGGTGTAACTGACATACAGTAAACTACACATAAAGTTTACCATTTCATGAGTTTAAAACACATCCCCAGAATCGTCTCCAAAATCAAGACAGTGAACATACTCATCATCCTCTGGAGTTTCTTTGTATCCCTTTGCCATCTGTCTTTCCTACCCACTTTGCCCCTTTCCCCCAGCCTCAGGCAACCACTGATATGCTTTCGGTCACTATACATTTGTTTGTATTTCTAAAAATTTTATATAAATGGAATCATATAATATGTACTCCTTTTTTCAAGAGTCTTTCACTTAGCATAATTACAGACTCATTCACATTTTTCTGCATATCAATAGTTCATTTTTTTAATTGCTGAATAATACTCCACTGTATAGATACACCACAATTTGTTTCTCCATTTTACAATGAATGGGCAAATGGGTTGTTTCTATTTTTTGGCTATTACAAATAAAGTTGCTATGATGAATCTTATACAAATCTTTTCTGAACTTACGCTATCTTTTCTTTTGGGTAAATACCTTGGAATATGTTTCGTATGTGTTTAACTTTTAAAGAAACTACCAAACTGTCTTCCAGAGTGGTTGTACCATGAAAGTTCCACCTGTTTCACATTTTTGCCAACAGTTGTATGGCCATTTAAAAAATTTTAGCCATTCCAATAGGTCTGTATGGTGCCTCATTATGGTTTGAATTTGCATTTCCTTAATGACTAATTATATTGAACCTCTTTTCATGTTCTTACTTTCCAACTATCTTCTTTGTTGAAGTGTCAGTTCAAACCTTTAGCTCATTTGAAAAATCGGTTGCTTTCTTTTGTTGGATTTTTAGAGTTTGTTATATTTTCTGGACATAAGACCTTTATCAGAAACGTCTTCTGCAAAGAGTCTTTTCAAGTGTGTGGCTTGTCTTTTCATTCTTTTAGCAGTGTCTTTCAAAGAGTAAAATTTTTAATTTTGATGAAGTCCAATTTATCATTTTTTTCTTTTATGGATTGTATTTTTGGTGCCTTAGCTGAGAAATTTTTACCTGAAACTCAAGTTCACACAAATTTTTCTTCTATTTTTTAAGAAGTTTTATAGTTTTAGGTTTTACATTTAGATCTATGATCTATTTTGAATTAATTTTTGTATGTAGTAAAATGTGTGGATTGAAGTTTATTTTTATTTATTTTTAATTTAATTTAATCTTTTTATCTTTGGCCAGCCTCTTAAGCCAGAGCATGCTCAGAGAGACTTCTTATTTTTATTTTTGATAAGATATCCAATAATTTCAGCACCATTTGTTGAAAAGTTATCCTTTCTCCACTGAGTTGCCTTTGCAATTTTGTCAAAAATCAGTTGTATATATATGTGTGGGTCATTAGTTCTTTTTTTTTTAAAGAAGACATGACCATTTCATAAACTTAATGAGCCATATCAGTTGTTCATTATGAAGACGTGATGCTTCGTAGTCTTGGATCCTTTCTTGAGGTTTGTGGTTTAATCTAGTTTCACAACTTGGACTAGGCACTGGCCTCAGATCAGGATAGAATTATTCCTATAAGGCCAGATAACTTTTTTTTGTTTTAGAGGGTAGAATTAATATTTGTTTGTCATTTATAATCAGATGGCAGCTGGGTATACAGTCTCCATACTTCATTTTTTTGGTAAATAAAAAAACTACAAGTTTTAAATAGCCAATGGCTCATTATGTTTTCAGACAACATGATTAGACCAATTTATTAATGGTGGCTTCAAGTTTTTCCTTATTAGCTCCAAAAACTGGAGCCCACCCACCTTTCATTCCTTTTTAAAAAACTGGAAGATGGCATGCATTTCTTCATACTCTGAAGCAAACATCCTACCCTGACAATCATCCACATCTGCCTTGAGGAACACCACGCTGGAATACTTTTCAGCAAGGGAATGAAAGAAGGGCTTGATCATTTTGCAAGGCCCACATCATGTGGCTGAGAAGTCAACTACAAGTTTATTCTTGTAGCATCCGAGCCTTCCTGAAAAGCAAACTTGCTCTTCTGCTTCACCACTTTGACTGTTGGGGTCTGATGACTGACTGTAAGAACCGATGGAAATGGATCCAAAGTGCTGGACCAAGCTTTGGCCAGAGGACCTTTGTCTTTTGGATTGTCCTCTAAGCCCTGATGTTGAACTCATTTTCTAACAGGAAGGACAGACTAGTATTTCTGTTTTCTGGTTGACTGATCTGTTCTCCTGATTGTCCTTAATGCCACATCTGGCTTTTCACTGGGTCACAACTAGCTGTGTTCTTTTCTCCCCTAAACGAAAGCTTCAGTGACTTTAGTTAATCTCGTCTCTGTCCTGAAGTATCTGAAATATGAGCCTCTTAGACCAAAGATAGGCAGTTTAATATTATCAAAGACCATGGACGTGGGGGGGAGGAAATCAGTCAAAAGTCACTTAATAAGCCACCTTAATTGAAGTGGTTTTGTCTCCTTAGGGAAATGTAAAATATTCAACTCAGCAGCTTAAAAATGTTTTTATTGAGATATAACTCACATATCATAAAATTTACCCTTTAAAGTTGCACATTTCAGTGATTTTTATTATATTCACAAAGTCGTGAAACCATCATCACTATCTAATTCCACCCTAAAATAAACCTTATACCCATTAAGCGGTCACTCTCCATTTTTCCCTCCTCCCAGCCCCAGGCAACCACTAGTCTACTTTCTGTTTCTATGGATTTGCCTATTCTGGCAAATTTAACATAAGAGGTATCATACAATATGTGGGCTTTAATATCTGACTTCTTTATTTAGCATAATGTTTTCAAGGTTCATCCATGTTGTGGCATGTATCAGTACTTCATTCTTTGTGGCTGAATAATATTCCATTGTGTGGATATACTTCATTTGGTTTATCCATTCATCAATTGATGAACATTTGGGTTCTTTCTACTTTTTGGAAATTATGAATGATGCTTCTATGAACATTTGAGTATGAGTTTTTATGTGGACACAAGTTTTCAATTTTCTTGGATATATACCTAGGAGTGGAATTGTTGGGTCATATGGTAACTCTTTATTTAACTTTTTGAGGAATTGCCAAACTGTTTCCCAAGGCAGCCATACTGTTTTACAGTTTTACCAACAATGCATGAGAGTTCCGATTTCTCCACATTCTTTTCAACACTTGTTATTGTCCATTTAAAAAATTATAGCCATGCTAGTGGATATAAAGTGATGTGTCATTCTGGTTTTGATTTGCATTACCCTAATGACTGATGATGTTGAACAACTTTTCATGTGCACGTTGGCTATGTGTATATTTTATTTGAAAAAATGTTTATTCAAATTCTTTGCCCTTATTTAATTGGCTTGTCTTTTTACTTTCTTTGTTATTATTATTATTTTAGAGATGGGGTCTTTCTGTGTTGCCTAGGCTGGCCTTGAACTCCTGGGCTCAAGTGATCCTTCTGCCTCAGCCTCCTGAGTAGCTGGGATTATGGGTGCTGGCTTATTTTTTCACTTTCTTGATAGTGTACTTTGAAGCACAAAATTTTTAGTTTTGATGAAGTCCAATTTATATATTTGTTTCTTTTGTTGCTTATGACCATCTGCTTTTTAAATTAAACTCAGAAATCCTAAAGCTTTTCCATTAAGCACAACAAATAATAAAACTATATATCTTAATTCCATGTTGTAGCAATTTAAGGGGGTGGAATTGACGTCAGGGAGAGGGAGAAGGTGGGGGTAGACTCTTTACTTGGACTTTAGACCTCAAAGTCTGAATGTTAGCAACTGCCTTTGAGCATTGAGCACATAATCATCAAGGATAACTAACTCTTTGGAAACTGCCTTAATCACTAAACCTTCAGTAGCTTTCTTCTGGAAGGGGTGAAGCCCCTGCTACCAAGAAGGAGCTCACTCTCTGCACTGCAGCAATGTTACCTAAGGACAAGTGAAAATGAAGATAAAGTGTCAGAAAAAGGGAAAGCTTTGCAGTCAGGCTGTTAGGAGTCTCCACTGGGTTCTCTGGAACTAGATGCTGCAACAGAGGTAGAAGTGCAAAGGGGAGGATCACCTGTGAGTGGAAAAGGGAGGAAGCAGTTTGGCCAGGAGGAGCTCTTGGCTTCTGATGCAGACTTGACAAAGCCTCTGCCAGTCTAACAGGGTGCTCTGAGCAAAAATTGCTTGTTAGAGGAGTTCCGCATTGGTAGAAGAGGGATGGGCCTTTGTACTACCACCTTGCTCAGCCATTGGCTAGGGGCTGCCTTAAGAAGAGAGTGACTGTGGCTTAAAAACTCAGGTGGTCCTTGAAGGAACTAATTGCTGGGGGCAAATAAAACCAACATTCTTGGTAGCAGGGGAGTGAGTCCTTTATTGAAGGGGCAATGTAAGCATGGCATCTCTGTGTCTGTCTACCACACAGACAAACATGAAGTTCAAATTCCAACAACATGTGACCTTAGGCAACCACTCTGCCTCAGTTTTTTCATCTGTAAAATGGAGAAAATGCTTTCCTTACAGGGTTGTGGGAGGATTAAATAAGACAAGAATGAACATAGTGCCTGATACAGCACAGGCATTCAATAAGTATTAGTTCTTCCCTTTCCCCCAGATGAAAATAAGCCAAGGGAACATTCTGTTCTGCAAACCAGTTCCCACCCTGCTCTTTCTAAACTTCATTTTCTTTCAATTTCCAGTAGGGGACCAAGCCTCTGCGGCAGTTTCCTGATCTTCTGGATATGCTGCCACGCTGTCCCAGGGCTGGTGGTGTCCCCTGACTTGTTCCTCTCCTGACTTTCTCAGCCTGGAGACTGAAAGCTCTCTTTGGCTGTTGGCCCTCCCAGGCAGAGTCCACTGGCTGTTAGGGTGAAATGGGGCTGATGCTTCCTGGAATCCACCAGAAGTATGCAAATTGCACCATCTCTTTCAGCTGCCTGCGCCTGCATTCCATCGAGGATTCCGGTAAGAAGAAACCATCCTGTTCCTCTTTCTAAGTGCCTCATTAAAGCTGGAGGACAAATTCCTCCTGCTTCTCTTGCCCTGGGAGGTGAGACAGCACCTGAATGGGAAGAGGAGGTTGTGCTCCGCGTGACATCATCCTTCATGGGGTACTCTGACCACAGGGACACTGGTGTCCAAGGCCCAGGTACTTCCTGTGTGCCTGATTCACTGGGGAGTCTCAACTCGTTGGGGTATAAACATGAAAAGATTTTATTTCTTCCAGTAACTGCCCTGGCTGTGCTGTGCCAGATCTCTCTTTCCTGCTGAGGAGCCGCTCCCTTAACGACATCTTGGTCTGGTTCCATAACTTTTCAGCCACTTTCGGTTACTATAACAGTCTCATTCCAGTAATTAAGACTCAGCCTCTTATATTTTTAAAACTTTCATTGCAAACTCGATTCAGAGCTCTTCTCTCCCCTTCCCTCCAGCACAAGTGAGAGTTGGGTCCTGGTTGTTTGGAGCAGTGGAGGGGAAGTAGGGCCTGGCTTGAAGATGCCTCACCTCCTCCCTCTTTGAGGCCTCAGCATCTGTATTTGGGCAGAGAGGAGGGATGGAGAGTAAGAGACCTCTTTACAGGAGTGTCCTTTTCCCCTTCCTGTTCTTTGTGGCTCTGTTAGATGCTGAAGATCTCACCCCACCCTCCTCCATCACTGAACACCACCCTTTCCCCCTCCTTCCCTCACACAGATGCACCTCTCTTTAGCCTCAACAGTGGTACAGGTGCCCAACGACCCTTTGTTGACTTGGCCATGGGTACCTGGGCAAACCCTCAGCTCCTGCCCTTCCACTGACTTCCGTGCATCTCCATGCAGAGCCACAGGGCCTGCAGGAATCCTCTCCCATAATCCTTCAAGGGCCCCACAGACCTGGGAAGGGAGAGCTGCCCCCATCTTCTTCCCAGTCATGCTGCCCCAGGGTCCTTCGAGCCCTGCCGGATGGGCTACTGTAGTGGGCCTCTTGCTTTCAGAATCTCCCAGACTCAGATGGATACCAGTCTCTACATTCAAGTGCAGTCCCAGCCCTCAAAGTAAGTTCATCAGGCATCCTGCTTTTCCTTCCCACAGTGGGGTAGGTGAACAACAAGGGCACTGGGCTGCAGTCCTAGGCTTCCAGGATGGCAAGGACTCTGACAGTGAGCTGTGCCTCTGAGGCATCAGGGAGAGTCTGGATTCCCTCTCCCCTCACACTGGGGCAGGAAAGCACCCTTATCATCTCCACAGGGGCGTGAAGGGTGACTCTTCCTTGATCTCTCTCAGTCCTGCTCCTGACTGGACGTGGGCTGGGTGCCGGTCCATTTAGAGGGTGCTGGTGCCTTGAACAGCAGTGTGTGGAGGTGGCTGGCTCCATCTGCTGGCGGCTTGCTGGTAATTCTGTGGGGTTGCTTGGCTCCTCTTGGCTGTGGGTCTAGCATAATGGGGACACACGCTAGGACATGCACAGCTGCAGGCAGTGCTATCCTGTCTCTTCTCTTTTAACCTGTGTTGAAGTTGTCCTTCCTCCTGAAAGGATTTCTTGATTAATTCCCACCATTTGACATGCTCCTTCACTGCACAACCTCAGCGCTGAGACTCTCAATTGGTAGTAAGTTCATGTGCCCGCAAGTGAAATGTCTCTTGAGTAGTTTTCATGTGTTTTGAGGATAGTTAGTGTTTATTGAGCTCTTCCATGTGCCATCTACTGTCCCAAGCACGTCACATACTTCATCTCATCTCCTCACACCACAATCCAATGAGCTAGGTACCGTCACTGTCCCCATTTTACAGATGAGAAAACTGAGATAGAAATGTTAAATAGCATCTCTAAGGTTTATAGTCAGAAAGTGATGTAAAGAGGCACGCTGAACTCGGAGCTTCTACTCTCTACCGATACTCTGTTCTGCCTACTTGGTTTCATACTGTGATCCCTCTGCCTCCTCACCTCTCCTCATCCCTTACCCTGAAAGCCTTAAATAAGTATATGTGGTTCACAGTGAAGTACTCCCCATAATATTTTTTTGTTTAGACTAACGGAATCTTCCCATTTGGGGCTTGTGCAAGAGCTGAACTAGCCCTGGTGAGATTGTGGTCAACTTACAAATGGGCCAAGCTGTGTGGTCATGTTGAAGTCATTAGCACAGAGCCTTTGGACACAAGGACAAATCCTGCTCTAACATTTTAGATTAATTTTTTCCCAGGGAGGCCTAGAATCTTGACCATATACTCCTGAGAAATACTTTTCATCTGAAAAATGAGAATCTCTATTGTTTGCATAGTGCATTTACTTTCATTGTCTCCTAGATATATTTGCAACCACTCTGAGCAGAGGGTGTTAATATCACTCTTGTTTTATGGGTGAGGAAACGGAGGCATGAAGGTTAGCAACTTGTCTGAGGTTACACAGCTTGTATGTGCTGGAACTGGGATCCACAGCCAAATCTTCTGCCTCCCCCCTGTCATGCCAAAAGGGTACCCTTACTGCCATTTGCCAAGAGCCTCAGGCTCCTGACTCCTTGCTATGGGCTCTGTTCCTCAGTGGGCATTTCCTTTCTTCACTTTTAGCCATGTCCATGGCCCTTGATCCTATCTCTTCTTCTAGCCTCCCCCCACTGGTTTTACCCACATCCTCTTCATCTTTCTCAAGGGCTGGTAGTGCCCCTTGGAGTAGGGGGACCCGACCTTGAAGCTTTCTCACTATGTCCCCCAAGGCCCTGAAGGGGCTGTTCATTGCCTTTATCGGCTCTAGTCATGGCGGATGTTATTTATTGTCAGATAAATGTATTTCCAAACAAAACAGAAAACGAACAAATAAACACAGTGACAGAGCTGTAAAAAACCCTGCCGGCTCGCTTACTTGTAGAAAAGCCTGCACAACTAATTAACCCGGGTAGACCTCTGTGGTGTTTGGAAACAAGCTTGGAATTAATATCGCCGTTCTCAGCTGCTGGAACCAGCCTCTAAATCTTTATTGGGTAGTAGCAAGAGAGAGACACAGAGAGTTATAGAGACAGTAAGAGGCGAAGATGGAAGGAGATAGAGTGACAGAGGAAGATAAACGCAGCTAGCCATCTGCCTCCATACCCATCCATATCACCTTAGCTATACTCTGGATCCTAGACAGACAGATGGAGAAACAGACAGATTGTGTCTCCTAAGAGCGAGAGATAGGAGAAAACAGAGCCTTTGTCAAGTTCAGAGTACATTTTGCTTCCCTATCATTGAAGTCAGAGAATCAGAGGCTCCTGGACTGGAAGGGGCTTGTGAGAGGTCATCTAATTCAGTGGTTTCAGAATTATTTTTAGCAGCAAAACCTTTTCCTGAAATGAAATCATACACAGAAGTGCCGTGTATAAAGCAGATGAAAGTGGAGCTGCCCCATTTGGAGCTTGCTGCTCCTCCAAGCCCCTCCCCTCTCCAAGCACAGGGCAGGCCCTGTGTCTTCTGGGTCTTCAGGGCTCAGGAGAGCACAGCTGGAAAATTAAAGCTGCTTGGCCTCTGGATGGCAAGCCTTTGGGAGTGTTCCTGGTTCTTCTCTGGATTCAGGCTTAGCCGAATTTGAGAGTCCCCCAGAAAGGGGGTGTGGTAGAGTGGATATGCCAGTTGGTGAAGGAGGTGGGTTACCCAAGGGAACACCTACTCTCTTGCCCTGAACCTGTTGGGTTCTTGAACTTTGATATTCACTTTCCCTGGGGATCTTTTTTGGCAGGAGCTGAGGTACTGGCTTGTTGACCTTGAGGTAAGGATGGCCTCTCAGCTGGTGGGCTTCAAGAGTCAACCACCTGATCCAGACTTTGCCTGGAGGAGGCTTGTCATAGCTCCACATCAAGTTCAGGAGGGGAGGCCAAGAGTACAGGAAGAACATCTCCCTTCTCTTTAAGTGTGGAAGGTGGCCAGGGTGGACTTCCCTATAGACCATTCGGTTATGCTCTACAAGCATGACTGGTGAGCTACTGGGAAATTGTACTTCGTACCTTTTTTCTTGTAGAGGAAGGAGGGGCAGTGGCCTGAGGCTGGAAAATCCCCCAACTGAGTGGCACTGTGGGGATTTGTCTGGCCTCTGCTATTGGAAGCCCTGTTCTCAGCCTCAAGAGCAGAGCCCTGAGGCTGGGTGGAAAGGCCCTTCTCTCGGAGTCAGTGGTGGATAGGGAAGGACAGGGGAAGCAGACCAGGCACTGTGTTAGGAGCCTTCCTGTCTCCGATTAACCCTGTGTGTCCTTGGCTCAGGCCTAGACATCAAAGGGGGCACAGCAAGAGGAGAAACACAAATCAAGAAGTAATGCTTTTTTTGAAGGAGAAATTATAAATTGCAATTTAATCACATAATCACTTTGACACTCTCAAGCAAGCTAATTTCTTCCCTTGCCTCATTTCATCCACTCGGTGAGATGAATCTTAATGAATAATGTCCTATGAATATTTAATTTTTGATCAATTTGAATTTTCTCTGGCATACCTGCTGGAGACATAAATCAGCTCCTTTCTGCCCAACAGAGTGAATTTGGACAGCAGCCTGAGCAGATCTCTGCCCATGGCCACAGAAGATGCCAGCCTGAAGTTTTTGATGTTCTTGTTTGCCACCATCTCAACACTGTGACTTGGACCTCCCTCAGTGCCATCCCTAAGTTGTGTTTTCTAATACTGCTCTGCGAGCAGAAGCCTGAAGCCAGTGGTTGTCTGGGCAGATAAGATGCATCTGAAACTGACTTTCCACAGGTGGCCCCTTTTCCTTCATCCTTTTTCTTCAATGACTTAAGCCTCCCTTCTGACACTAGCTTTATCTTTCCTGGACCCTGGAGACAACTGTTATGGTTCAAAATATGAAAAGAACCATTCTCAGTTGCCTGAGAAGGCTTCTTTTATGAGATAATACTTGATATTTGTACAGTGTGTTACAGTTTGCAAAGTGACTTCACATACATCTTTTCTTTCCATGTCTTAAAACATCATTGTGTTTGATCTTTCTTGTGAGGTGAGGAAATGGGGCTGGGTAAGTTCTTTCTTACCCTGGGTTAAGAAGAGCTAGTACTGGAACTCACAAGCTTGAAGAATGGCTAAGTTCAAAGCTGGGACAATGGGTCCAAACTGAGCTGTCTATAAAGAGGGATTTAGTAGCTGGGACTAGGGTCTGGAGGAAGCGGGAGGGTATCCTTAATAGACAAGTTGGAGGTGATCTCATTGAAGAATTGATGACAATAATGGTATTTTGGAGAAAATACTCCAATTGCTTAAGGCAATAGACAGAGATAGCATGTTTAAAATGTATTTTGGATGTGTATCCATATCCTGTACATTTTGTTTTCCTGGGGTTCTCCACCTATGAAAGCAATAGATTTTAGTGCTTTAGGAAGGGCAGCAGCCACCTCAACGCAGAGGTTATTGCTCAGTTTAAATCTCAGTGCCACATTCTTGTTTTTGAGTCCATCAAGACAAAACAGTCTTGAAAGTAAGATTTTGTGTAGAAAGCAAATAAATTTCTAAATTCAGCAACCTTCCAATAATATGATCATAGAATTTCCCTGTAAACAATAGGGTAGAGATAATTCAGACTATGGTATGATGGAAGTCACTTGGGAAGCTCACCCCTTCTCACCTGAGGGGCATGGAGAAAGAAGGGAGAGGTGGAGGAAGGACAATGGAGTCGGAGTGCTGTGTCCTCATTTTTATTCCCGTAGGCCAAATCACTGAACACAGTAGAAACTTTCAGATAGAGGCCGGGTGCAGTGGCTCATGCCTGTAATCCCAGCACTTTGGGAGGCTGAGGCGGGCGGATCACCTGAGGTCAGGAGTTCGAGACCAGCCTGACCAACATGGAGAAACCCTGTCTCTACTAAAAATACAAAATTAGCCGGGTGTGGTGGTGCATGCCTGTAATCCCAGCTACTCGGGAGGCTGAGGCAGGAGAATCGCTTGAACCCACAAGGCAGAGGTTGCGGTGAGCCAAGATTATGCCATTGCACTCCAGTCTGGGCAACAAGAGTGAAACTCCATCTCAAAAAAAAAAAAAAAAGAAAAAAAAAAGAAAAAGAAATATTCAGATAGATATGAAGGAAGCTAAGAACATGGCGGTTAATGTCTCCAGCCTTACATTCCCCTCAACATGGCACAGGAACTAAAGTGAAAGGAGACGGGTAATTAGATGAGACCAAGGCAGTGCTCCTGTTCTCCATGGCCTGGGAATGTTGTGCACTGGAACTTAGGAGTTCTAATGTGCCCTGGTTGAGGTGCTGGGAGAGCTTGTAGTCCAGCAGAGGCCTGGGGATAGAACAAAGTGTTCAGTGAATAGGGGACTTCGCAACTGGAAAGAAAGGACCAAACCTGTGGTTTTTAGTGGTTGGGAGCTCATGCATCATTCTGACAAGTCAGAATCAGTTATGAAAGAGTCTAGGAAACAGACTAGACGAATAACCCAGGCAGACATCAGCTTGGACCAGAGGTTAGTTCTCTCCCATTACCACAAGGTGAAGTAGGATCCATGATGTGCCTGCTACCATTAAGGAAAAGTCAGGGTAGTGGTGGAGTGCCTAGGGAGGAAATTTGGAAGTCTGAACATTTACCCTGGAGAAACTGAACTATCTGAAAACATGTTTATGTCAGTGCTAGTAATTTTCAAGATTAACTTCTTGTCTTAAGCCAAGTTTTGAGAACACAGAATTTGAGATAAAGATTATATGCTAAAGCTTTACTGAATGGTGCAGGCCTAGGACAGCAAAAATAAGGGAAAAAACAAAAGTGAGGCAGGGAAGGGGAGAAGTAAGCCATAGTCTCACAAAAAGCCCATTTGGTTTCAGACATATGGGACTTCCTCCAGATGGGCCATGAGAGATCATCATACCTCAAAACAGTCTGTGTGGGGAGGGGTGATTTGAATTTTTCTTTTGCATTCTCTTCTTTCTTGTCTTTCAGTGATCATCATTTGCCCCATGGTATATTAACTCTATTACACTGTGAGGTTATATAACCTGTTCCCTATGGTAGGATTCTGAAGAAGTTAGAGTTCCAATGCTCAAGCCATATTCCTTTACGGTAGTTTTAAAATATTTTCACAAATGCTTTCACAATTCTCTCTTTAAGAGGTGGAGCTTAATTCCCCTCTACTTGAGTGTGGGCTGGTCTTAGAGACTTGATTCTAACAAATAGAATAAAGTGAATGTGACATTGTGTGATTGCAGAGATTAGGTCATAAAAAGCACTGTGTCTTCTTCCTTACTCTTTAACAACAGCTGACCCTTGAACAACATGGGGATTAGGGGTGCCAACCCCTGCGTAGTCAAAAATGCATGTATAATTTTGATCCCTCCCAAAACTTGACTACTAATAGTCTGTTATTAATCAGAAGCTTTATAGCTAGTATAAACAGTTGATTAACACATATTTTGTATGTTATATGTAAGAAAATTGTAAGGAAGAGAAAATATATTTACTATTAATTAAGTGGAAGTATATCATTATAAAGGTCTTCATCCTTGTAATCTTCACCTTGAGTGGGCTGAGGAGGAGGAGGAAGAGGAGGGGTTGGTCTTGCTGTCTGAGGGGTGGCAGACACAGAAGAAAGTCCACATGTAAGTTTATCCTCTTGGTTCAAACCCATGCTGTTTAAGGGTCAACTGTTCTTGCTTTGGGAGAAGCCAGCTTCCTTTGTGAGAATGCACAAGCAGCCCATAGAGAGGTCTGCATGATGAGGATCTAAAGCTTCCTGCCAACAGCCATGACAGTGAGGCATTTTGGCAGCGGATCTTTCAGGCTCTGTCAAGCCTTCAGATGATTGCAGTTCTTGTCAACATCCTGACAGCCATTTCATGAGAGACCCTCAGCCAGAAACATCCTGCTAAGCCACTCCCAGATTCTTGACCAACTCAATCTGTGAGATAATCTTTATTGCTTAAGCCACAAGTTTTGAAGTAATTTGTTAAAAAGCAATAGGTAATAATACACCCTTTATCTGAGTCTGGAAGTGGTGAGAGGAACTTGAACCTTCATAAGTCCTGTTGAGTCAGACCTGAGCAATAGAGCCTTGTCTTCTGCCATGGGAGACCCACAAGTACCTGCTGAAGCCCTCACCATGGAGAAGGCTGAGATAGATACAGTGTCAGTAGATGAGGCTGTGGTGGTAGTTGCTGGGACTATCCATTGAGTATGTGGTTGAGGGGAGACGCAAGTGGAGCAAATCTGGTGAGACCCATATACTTTGTCTGGTACAGTAGACTCCTATTCCATAGTCCTGTACTTTCCACTAGGATGGAGACTCAAGAAGCACAATTAAGCATGTTACAGAGAAACAAAGAAGTCATAAATGTTTTGTATATTTGCATAATAATATGAGTAGAATTGGGACAATGGGATTTGTTAAACTAATACATTCCCATTACAAAAAAGTAAAACAATATGGAAAAATAGAAAGACAAAACAAGCATCACTTAACCCATAATACAGAGAGAACACTGTTATATAACTTGATTTTTTTACATTCACTCCTTATATTGACATCTTCCCTTGCCAATAAATATAATTAAATTTATCTTTCCATGAAATACAGTAGACTAGATGTTCTATGAAACTCCTCCAGGGACAGTATGCCTCCAAATGATGGTATGTGTGTATATACATACATGTATGTATAAATAGAGAGAGAGACTAATACACACACATATACACACACATATATATATATTCCTGCCCCACCTTTAAAAATACATGAATGCATGTTTGAGTTGGCACAAAATTTTATTTATTTATTTATTTATTTATTTTAGAGACAGGGTCTTGCTCTGTCACCTGGGTTGGAGTGTGCTCATAGCGCACCACAGCCTCAAACTCCTGGATTCAAGCGATCCTCCCACCTCAGCCTCCTGAGTAGCTATGACTACAGGTGCATAACAAAGAGAGGCATACTCTCCTGCCTGGCTAGTGTTATTATTTTTGTAGAGTTGAGCTCTTGCAATGTTTCCCGGGCTGATCTTGAACTCCTAAGCTCAAGCATTCCTTCTTCCTGGTGTTGAGATTACAGGTGTGAGTCACCACACCCAGCCAAGGGGAATAGGAAACAAGAAAAAAAAACATTAAATGAAAAGAATAAGTGAGCTGTAGAGCTAGACTTTGTCTTGGGGCCTAATTGGGTTTCAGTAATTGGGTAATATGGGTCACCTACATGAGAGATGGGAGATATAGTCCAGGGATCAAGCAGGTTGAATCCATATACAAAATTGGGATCTCTGAGGGGTGAAATTTTCAGTAGATGAAGTAGAAAAAACACACCCAGAGGGAGAAAGAGAGTTAGTGAAGATATTTGGTTGTCATCCTTGACTCTTGATGGAATAGAAGAAAAAAACAAAGAAAAGTCTTTCTTGGAGAATTTCTAATCTTAAACTTAGACACCATTAGAAAATTTGAAGTCTCCTAGATTTGTACTGTCCCTAGGGCTCCAATAACAGCAGCAGCACATTTTTCCAGACAGAACATAGTTTAAACCCTGGTCTCAGAGAATTCTCACAGATAACGTTCCAGAGGACATGGACTTCCCAATCAAAATTCAACAAATGCATAAGAAAATAAATTACCCTGAGTGAGAACAGCATGTTTCTGGAAGACTGTAATGACCTTGATTTACTTATCCAATATCAAATACAAAATAAATATATTTAATTTGTTTATGCAATAAAAGAGAGTACTGGAAGTATAATGAGGAGACAAAAGACTGAGAGTAACCTAGTTAGATATAATAAAGAAATAAATAGAACTTTTAGGAAAAAAATCATTGAAATTAGCAACTCAATAAATATGATAATAACTTAGACACAGCTGAAAAGAGAATTGGTGATCTGGAAGTTGCTCTGAAGAATGACCTAGAATACAATAGAAAGACAAAGATATGAAAGATTTAGGAGATATAAAAGACATAGTGGGGAGATACAGCATACATATAATCAGAATTTCGAAGAATGATGGTGAGAGTGGGAGAGAAGTGTTTGAAAAGATAATGACTGAAAAATATCCAGTCCTAATGGAAGAACAGTCCTCAGCTCCAACAAGCTCAGTGAATCCTAAGTGGGATAAAGGAAAAGAAACCCATATTTTATAGAAAAACTGAAAACATGGATTATAATTCATTCTACTATAAAGACACATGCACATGTACATTTATTGCAGCACTATTCACAATAGCAAAGACTTGGAACCAACCCAAATGCCCATCAATGACAGACTGGATAAAGAAAATGTGGCATGTCTACACCATGGAATACTATGCAGCCATAAAAAAGAATGAGTTCATGTCCTTTGCAGGGACATGGATGAAGCTGGAAACCATCATTCTCAGTAAACTAACACAGGAACAGTAAACCAAACACCGCATGTTCTCACTCATAAGTGGGAGTTGAACACTGAAAACATATGGGCACAGGGAGGGGAACATCACACACTGGGGCCTGTTGGGGGTTGGGGGGCAGGGGAGGGATAGCATTGGGAGAAATACCTTATGTAGATGATGGGTTGATGGGTGCAGCAAACCACCATGGCACATGTATACCTTTGAAACAAACCTGCACATTCTGCACATGTATCCCAGAACTTAAAGTATAATTAAAAAAAAGGAAAAGACAAACTGAAAACACTAAAGATAAAGAGAGGATCTTAAAAGAAGTCAGAGAGAAAAGATAGATTATCTACAAAGCTATAAGAATTCAATCCACTGCTTATCTCTCAACAGTAGCCAGAAGACTATGGAATGGCAGCTTTGAAATGTTAAGTGAAAATACCTGTTATGCTAGAATTCTACTCCCACCAAAATTATCTCTCAAACATGAGGGCAAAATAACGACAATTTAAAAATGTTTTTACAAACAGAATTGGTACAATTGACACTAAGAGACACTAAAGAAATGTATAAAGATACATAACAGGAAGAAGAAACGTGTTCCCAGAAGGAGGTTTGAAGTGCAAGAAGAAATGGTGAAGAAAATAGTAAATGTTTGTATGTATAAATAAATATTGATTGTATAAAATAATAATAATAATACCTAATTTATTATTATTAAACTGAAATTATTAGAGTGAAAATCAAGTTAGAACTAAAATCGTGGACAAAAGTACACAAATCGACCATATTTGAATAGAGATCAAAACAGGAACAACGAAACTTCTTCTTTTTTAGATATACATAGATGTGTGATTAAACTATAAAGGAAAGAAAGGAAACGATTAGTACAAAATTGGGGTAGTGGGTCAGGTGCGGTGGCTCACGCCTGTAATCCCAGCACTTTGGGAGGCCGAGGCAGGCAGATCACGAGGTCAGGAAATCAAGACCATCCTGGCCAACATGGTGAAACCCCGCCTCTACTAAAATACAAAAAATTAGCTGGGTTTGGTGGCCCACGCCTGTAGTCTCAGTTACTTGGGAGGCTGAGGGAGGGGAATTGCTTGAACCCAGGAGGTGGAGGTTGCAGTGAGCTGGGATCGTGCCACTGCACTCCAGCCTGGCAACAGAACAAGACTCCATCTCAAAAAAAAAAAAAAAAAGAAAAATTTGGAGCATGCAGAGGGCTTGGCTTTGAAGTATATTAAACATTCTGTTTCTTAAGGTGGTTGCTGGGTACTGACTGCTTATTTTTTTCATTATGGGTATTCTTTTTTTTTTTTTTTTTTGAGATGGAGTTTTGCTCTTGTTGCTCAGGCTGGAGTGCAACGGCATGGTCTTGGCTCACTGCAACCTCTGCCTCCTGGGTTCAAGATATTCTCCTGCCTTAGCCTCCCAAATAGCTGGAATTGCATGCACCCACCACCATGCCCAGCTAATTTTTGTATTTTTAGTAGAGATGGGGTTTCACTGTGTTGGCCAGGCTGGTCTCTAACTCCTGACTTCAGGTGATCTACCCACTTTGGCCTCCCAAGTGGTGGGATTACAGGCATAAGCCACCAAGCCCAGCCCATTATGGCTATTCTTTTTCTTTTTTTTTGAGATGGAGTCTCACTCTGTTGCCCAGGCTGGAGTACAGTGGTGCGATCTCGGCTCACTGCAACCTCCACCTCCTGGGTTCAAGCGATTGTCCTGTCTCAGCCTCCCGAGAAGCTGGGATTACAGGAGCACCACTACGCCCAGCTAATTTTTGTATTTTTAGTAGAGATAGGGTTTCACTATGTTGGTCAGGCTGGTCTCGAACTCCTGAACTCCCGAACTCCCGACCTCGTGATCCGCCCACTTTGGCCAAAGTGTTGGGATTACAGCGTGAGCCACCGTGCCCTGCCTATGGTTACTGGCCTATTATATATGGCTATTCTTTAAAATGTAAATATTGATTATATGTACTTTTTCTATGGTATAATAAAAACAGACAAATTACAAATGATGTTGTGATGACCATTGTTGCAGCATGTATTATTTCACATACAAAGTAAATTCCTAGAAAGATTTTGAGGAAAAGGGTGAGTGCAGTAAGTTTACTTTGAAACTTTGTCACCTATCTTCCCAAAGGGTGCACCAACTTATACTTCCACTGACAATGCCTAACAAGGCCCATTTCCCTACACCCTTTCTGTGCATGTTTTCTAAAATGTCCTCCAATCATGTATGCCAGCATGGTGAGCTAGGCTTGTTTGAAGAGACTGGAATGAGATGAACAATTTATGAAGCAGGAGTTATAATTAATCCCACTTTACTTATAAGGAAATTGAAAATCACTGAGGTTGAGTGACTTGTCTAGGCTCACACTGTGGTCCAGGCTCACATTGTGGTCCAGGCTCTTACCTCTATGTTCAGTGCATGGTCTTTTTGCTATATTTCACTGCTGGCCAAACTTCATTGAACCTGTGTGTTGCAACAGTGTGCTGCTGCACATAAAAATCTTTCCTAGTCTAGCCATGTCAGAAAAGAAGGCAGGAAGAATGTGCACATTGTGGGTTGCTGGAGGTGGTAGAGTTGGGTGGAGAAGAAAGGTTTTCAACATTTATATCCTCAAATCTGAGGACCATTCCCTTCCTTGGACTTTGTTGCTTAAGCCCGTGATTATAAACTTTGGAGACAGAATGTTGGATGCCTATTTAATCAGCCTGGTGTCTGGCACGTGGCAAGTACTAAATATTTGCTGGCTCTCGAGTAAACTCTGGTTGATATTTTTGTCACCAAATATGGAGGGAAAACTGCCCCTTTGGCTCAGCCAGGCTTCTTTCACTGCATGAAGTGAGTCTGGTCCAGGGCGGAAGAAGAGATGAATTGACCTTCCAAGGTCTCTTCCTGCTGAAAAGACAAGGATTTGTCAGCAGACACTGCTGTGGAGAGCAGGGCCCCATTCCTGACTCCCTCAGAGGTACATTGGCTTTCTTTTCTCCAAGTGATTAGCAGGGAGATTGGCAGGCAGTAGTGGCAATAGAAGTTTAATGTTCTGGAAACCCAGTCTTTTTCCCTTTTCTCTGAGGTTTTCCCTGGTGAGCCAGGGAAAGGTCTTGCAGCTTAACAGGCAGACAGGGATGGGGCCCTGGAGTTTTACCATCAGAGAGTGAAATTTATCACTGTGACACCTACCCCAGGCATGACTGCATTGGTAGGGGAGAAGTGGCAGGTTAGGGGGAGGAAACTGCTGTCCTGCCCTGGGGACGCTGTCCCTGGCAGGGCACTGAGACCCTGCTGTGATCCTGAGATTTGACTGACCCATCCCTCCCTTGGGCCCGTTCTGCCCAAGGCAGGCCAGAATACTTTTCGCTCATAACCCCCCACTGCAGCTAAATAAATCAATGGATCCTAAAGCACTGAGCTGGTACCCAACACTTGGTGGATCCTGAGTCCTTATGCCTGTCTAACAGAGGACTCGATGTAGTGGGGAGAGCTGATAGCCCTGCCTGCCTCCCTGCCTCTTTTCGTCTGCTGGAGGCTGCAATACACAACATCTTCCCTTTTCTACACTTGCCCTTAATATATGTGAAGAAAGCTGTCAGGTCCCTTTTTAGTTTTGTCATCTTCCAGCTAAATATCCTCAACTGTTTGTTAAATCATATGACATTGTTTCCAGGCATCTCAACATCTTGGCCTCCCTTTCCCAGATGAATTGTTGGTTAATAACTCCCTGATGTGATGCATTTTGTGTCTCAGGCTCAGTGCTTGAGATGTTATGAATCTCTGTTGGCGGTGTACTGCCATGATTTAAGGGCACAGGTTTTGCAGTTGGGCTGAACTGGGTTTAAATCCTGGCCCTGCCCAATTTAATAGCTGTGTGATTGTGGCCGATTGCATTCTCCAAAGTTGGCTACCACAATACTTCCTATCCCGCATATTCTTCTTACAGTGTAGTAACACGCATCCCATCAAGTGGTGGGGTCTATGTCCCTTCCACTTGTACCTGGGCTGACCTTTGTGACTACATGGCCAGTAAGTGATGGCAGAAGGGGTGCTGTGAGGCTAGGTCATAGAAGTGCCATGCACTTCCACCTTGTCCTCTTTAGTTGTGTACCCTTGGGACTCAGTCACTGTGCTGCGAGGAAGCCAAAACTGACCCAGGTGGAGAGAACCCATGGAGAGCCACATGTGGGTGTTTTGGCTAATAGCCAAGCTGAAGTCCTCATCTATAGTTAGTGTCAAGCACTGGACATGTTGTGAGGAAATCACTGAGATGGCTCCAGCCCTAGCTGCCATCTGACTGCAACATCATGAATGACCTCAGGCGAGAATCACCCAGCTGAGCCCAGTTAGCCCCAGAATAAAATAATCGTTTTAAGTCACTAAGTTTAGGAGTGATTTATTGCGCAGCAATAGATCATCAGAACAGCGATCTTAGGCTTTGCTGGAGCTCTCAAGCCTCAGTTTTCCTTATCTGTGAAATGAGGACTATGAAGTCTACCTTAGAGTATTACTGTGAAAATTAAAAGACAATGCATAAAAAGTAGTTAGCATGTGCTTGCCACACAATAATTAGGCAACAAATTATTAACTATGATTAATGACCTCACGAGTGAGATAGGAAGGGTGATCTGGATTGAGACCTTAGGTCTAGGTAGTGGCAGAAGGATGGGAAACTGAACTTGCAGTGGGACAGCCTCTGGGGGAATAAGGTGAGAGTCAAGCCACAAGTGCCAAATGTGCAGTGAGCTGCAACAAGATTCAGGCAGTATCTAGTGTGAGGAAGACCAGTCCAATCTGGGGAAGCTTCTACTTCTTGGTCTGCGCGAAGCATGCAAACTGTCAGTGTTAAGACGAGATGAAAGGCAAAACCTGGTAAATCCTGGAGCTGGCTGCTAGGAGAGTGTGGGCAGCACACAGGAAATGTATTGGCGAAAGATTAAGCAGTGTTGGGGATTTGGCCACTGGGGTGTGCCACAGAAAACTCTGGAGGTGAGAGGGATTTGTGTGAATATCCCAGGAATTTGAGGTCACAACTGGCAGAGTTAACAAAGCAACAAGGTGGGGAGCCAGGGAGGATGCCTGATGACATTCTTGTGTATGACGTTTTCTTGTGGTTTGGTTCCCTGCTTCAGAGGGTCTCAGGATGTGAAAGGTGTAGTTTGCTGAAGTAGGCGTCTGCACAATTCAGGCAGCCATGAACTGTTAAATCTTACAAAGCAAAACTAACCACATCCTCCCCAAAGAAATCCATCATCACAAAACCTTATATTCTACCTCCACAAACAATACGTATGCTCATTGTAGAAAGATTAAATGATATGAGAAGGAAAAAGAGAAAAATAAAAATCTCCCAGATTCCTACAGCCCAGAGATATCCTCTGTTAATATTTTGGTATACATATATAGCCTTCCAAAATGTATACAAAAACAGAACCATATTGTTTGGTAACCTGCTTTTATTGCTTAATGATATGCCTTGGACATCTTTGCATGTTATGAAATATGCATCTGTAATTCTGAGCTTTTCAAATGGGGACATGTAGCAGTGTGCCAGGGTTTCTAACAGCTGCAGGAAAATTGTTGTTCATCACACTAGAGCATCAATTTTATTCAGTGCTAAGTTGCTTAAAATATTATTTTAATATTAAAACCAACCCAGTTATGGTATGGAGTAGAGTACAAAATTTACATGAATTTTTAGGAGAAAATATGAGACTTCAAAGAAATATCCTTTGACTCATTCTTTTGTATTTTTTTTTTATGGCAGGTAGCCATTAACTTATGGGGATCATTTGAATAGATTGTGTGCAAGAGGAGGTGGGAAGAGTTAAGTGACAATTTAGAGGCAATAAGGGCACCCAGAGTCCTTCCTTGAGGCACAGAGTACCTTGCAGCGAGATGATATGGAGAACAATGTGGGCATCTTGAAGTCTTGGCTTGGCCTTTAGAACCTGGGCCTAGGTCGGTGGCTTAATCACAAGCAGTGCCATCCCTAACATCCTCCTCAGCCTGTTGGCTTAGAACAGTTGAAGGCAGGGGTGACACCAGGGTAGGGAAAGTATGGCTGTACCTAGCATGGTACTCAGAACTAACCCAGTAGCTCAAGGTGAACCATGCACAGAATGAAGCTATTCAGTCCTAGCTCTGCTATTCACAAACTCTGTGAATACAGGCAATTTACTTCTCTTTGCTTCAGTTTGGCACACCTGTAAACTGGTGATAAAAGTAGCATCTCATAGGATTATTGGGGGTATTAAATGAGTCGAGTACAGTACTTAGAGTATCACTTGGGACATAGTATGTGTTCAATATATGTTAACTATTATTACGATGTAATATATAGTTACACAGCTTCTCATGGTAAATGTGTCCCATTCTTGTTTCAAACTGAGCTCGTGGCTAATTGAAACTCTTTGGTCTTTTTCATTGGAATTGTTATCAAGCTTGCATTCTCCATGCTATTGTTAGTTTTTAACTGCATGGCTTATTAATATTCATTGCCTTGATTCTGATCTAGTATTCTAGCCTGTGGTAGTTATCCAACAACTAAGTCTTCCTTTTGATAGTCAGTTGGGTTTCAGGTTCTAACGACATTTGTAATTCTATTGCCCCTGTTTTGCAGATGACAAAACTGAGGGAAGGAAACTATGACCTCTTGAGTGAGTCCTTTGTGCCAGATTTTGACAAGGGCCTCTTGGTTAATCCTCAGAGCAAGCTATAGAAGCAAGATTTATTATTTCCATTTTACACATGCAGAAACTGCAGCTCAGAGTGGTTCAGCAAATCACCCAAGGTTGCTTAGATGGCTCAGCACTTTCCCCCTACATCACACTACGTCTTAGTTTTGGGTGTCCTGTAAACCTAACTGTCATGGTTGAATTTAAGCTGCTGAAGTAGATATTTTACAGGACAAAGCCAAGGACAGAGACAAATCACTGGAGAACCCCTTCTAGGTAGATCTATGGCTCTTATGTCAGTACCTAAATCAATAGTTTTTATAGGGGATCATTCAACCACTGGAATTGGAATCAGATGCTGCTATTGGAAACTGAGGTCTAGAGTGTGTTAAGAAGTCACAAAGAAATCTCCTTCCTTCATTTCTTTAAGGGAAGCACTTCCTTGCCCCAGCTCTTTCCTTGTCCCCTTTCAGCAGGAATCTGGATGCTTATAGAGTCACATGTCCTAAATCAATCCCAGAAAATGTTGCTTTTCAAGCTGTGTGTGAGAAGCTTTACAGAGCATCCTGGGAACAGTCAGCATCTGCCTGTATTTACTCTTGTTGTTTATTAAAGCCGACAGCTGGAGCACCAGCAGCCGAGGCTGTAGTCACAGGACTGCTGACAAGAGGGGAAAGAGTCAATGGCAGTGGCTAGACCAAAGGAAACCCGGTCCCTTCTTTCCCATGATCAAAACCCTAGACTTGACAGAAAAGGAGTCAGGTCAAGGGAAGAGGAGGAGGGTCATCTAAGGCAACTTTCTCCCAGGATGGAAACTTTCTCTGCCCCATTTTGAATGGAGATAAGCAGTGGCGTAGATTTCCATGAAGGCTGGTGCCAGTGGGCTCCATGGCTGTGGCCAGAGGTCAGTGGGCAGCGGCATTAATGGCACTTTCCCTAGAGGATGATGAAATAGTGGTGCCTGGAGCCTTGGACACTCTGATTAACTCTCTGATCCCCACTGATTCAAAGATACCTCAAGCAGAATGAGAGAAAGGCGAGTCGAGAGAGGGTGCCCCAGATCACTGCTCATGGAATGAGGTACCTATTCGAGTTGGAACTCCTTAGTTCCCATCTCTATGCTACATGGTGGCAGGTGTAGCGCAGTGGGATGCTTGGATGTGGAATAAGCCTGCACTTCCAACTCCTCCATATGGCCCTTCTGGAGGGGGATGATTAAAGTAGCAACCCTGTGTCTTCTGTTGCTGTCCTTCACAGAGCTGCTCAAACTCTTCCAGGCTCCCCATCCCACTGAGAATGAAATCCAAAGTCCTTACCAAGGCCCATGTGACCCTGTGTGCTCAAGCCTCTGCCTCCCTCTCCAGCCTCCCCTCCTACCACATGCCCCACAGGAGCCTCCATGCTGTGCTTTGAATGTGCCACGCATGTTCTTGCCTCAGAGTCTTCACACTTTCTGTTCCCTCTCTCCAATGGTTGCCAGATTTAGCAAATAAAAATACAGAATGCCCCATCAAAATTGAATTTCAGAGAAACAATGAAGAATTCTTAGTATAAGTATGCTCCATGCAATATTTGTTCACCTGAATTTCGAATGTAACTCGGCATCCCGTGCTTTGTCTGGCGACCTTGAGGGCTCTCTGGAATACTGCTCCCTCGGGTATGCATGTGGCTTGTTCCCTCTCTCCCTCCAAGTCTTGGCTCACCTCACCAGAGGACTCGCCTTCCATCCCATTTACAATAGCAATCGACTCTCTTATCCTGCTTTTTCTCCTTCAGAGCTCTTACCAGTATCTGATGCGATATGGTTTGTTTATTCATTTATTTGTTGACTTTATGTCTCCTTGGCAATTGTGAGCTCTACCAGCATGGGATTTATCTTCTTTTTATTTATTTATTTATTTTTTATTTTATTATTATTATACTTTAAGTTTTAGGGTACATGTGCACAATGTGCAGGTTAGTTACATATGTATACATGTGCCATGCTGGTGTGCTGCACCCATTAACTCGTCATTTAGCATTATGTATATCTCCTAATGCTATCCCTCCCCCCTCCTCCCACCCACAACAGTCCCCAGAGTGTGATGTTCCCCTTCCTGTGTCCATGTGTTCTCATTGTTCAATTCCCACCTACGAGTGAGAATATGTGGTGTTTGGTTTTTTGTTCTTGCGATAGTTTACTGAGAATGATGATTTCCAATTTCATCCATGTCCCTACAAAGGACATGAACTCATCATTTCTTATGGCTGCATAGTATTCCATGGTGTATATGTGCCACATTTTCTTAATCCAGTCTATCATTGTTGGACATTTGGGTTGGTTCCAAGTCTTTGCTATTGTGAATAGTGCCACAATAAACATACATGTGCATGTGTCTTTATAGCAGCATGATTTATAGTCCTTTGGGTATATACCCAGTAATGGGATGGCTGGGTCAAATGGTATTTCTAGCTCTAGATCCCTGAGGAATCACCACACTGACTTCCACAATGGTTGAACTAGTTTACAGTCCCACCAACAGTGTAAAAGTGTTCCTATTTCTCCACATCCTCTCCAGCACCTGTTGTTTCCTGACTTTTTAATGATTGCCATTCTAACTGGTGTGAGATGGTATCTCATTGTGGTTTTGATTTGCATTTCTCTGATGGCCAGTGATGGTGAGCATTTTTTCATGTGTTTTTTGGCTGCATAAATGTCTTTTTTTGAGAAGTGTCTGTTCATGTCCTTCGCCCACTTTTTAATGGGGTTGTTTGTTTTTTCTTGTAAATTTGTTTGAGTTCATTGTAGATTCTGGATATTAGCCCTTTGTCAGATGAGTAGGTTGTGAAAATTTACTCCCATTTTGTAGGTTGCCTGTTCACTCTGATGGTAGTTTCTTTTGCTGTGCAGAAGCTCTTTAGTTTAATTAGATCCCATTTGTCAATTTTGGCTTTTGTTGCTATTGCTTTTGGTGTTTTAGACATCAAGTCCTTGCCCATGCCTATGTCCTGGGGATTTATCTTCACTGTGGTATCTTCAGTCTCTGGACTTGTTGGTGCTCAATAAATGTTTGCAGAGTGACTGAATGACCTTACCCCAGCTCTCCCTTTGTGGTGTAGATCCCTCGATCTCTCTGATCTCATCTCAGGCCACTCCTCTTCCCACAGGGCATGAGCCATGCTGGTCTTCCAGCTGACCCTCAGACGTGCCAAGCCCATTCCTGCTTCTAGGACTCGGGACTTGCTGCCTGGCACAAGCCTCCCCCTGTGTTTGAATGGCTGCTCCTTCTCTTTTGCTGGGTTTCAGAGAGGGCTTTTCCAGCCTCTCTGCTAACGTGAGTCCTCTGACCCTGGGCCTTTCTTTCACGTGACAGTTTTATTTCCCTTAAATATCTTATTGCTGACCCGGCACAGTGGCTTATGCCTGTAATCCCTGCACTTTGGGAGGCCACGGTGGGCGGATCACTTGAAGTCAGCAGTTTGAGACTAGCTTGTCCAACACAGTGAAACCCCATCTCTACCAAAAATACTGAAATTAGCTGGGTGTGGTGGCACACACCTGTAATTCCAGCTACTTGGGAGGCTGAGGCATGAGAATCGCTTGAACTTGGGAAGATTAAAAAACATCTTATTGCTCTTGGAAATTATTTGTTTAATGATTTTTTTTTCTTTTTGAGACAAGGTCTTGCTGTCGCCCAGGCTGGAGTGCAGTGGTGAGAATGAATGAGCCCCTCTGCGTTCCCTTTCCCCTTCTGTGGCTTGCTGCAGTTGATGACAAGGCCCAAAGGGCTGGTGATAGCCACAGTGGCCTTGGAGGTTTCTGTGGAGGATTGTGGAGGATTGAAGCATTCTCCCCGGGCTGTCACATGAAAAATAAACCAACTTCTTGTGTTTTCAGTCACCAAACTTTTGGTGTTTGTTACCAAAGTTAAGCCTGCACTAATTAATACATGGTTGTATCCACTGTGTCTAATATATAGAAAGTGCTCTATAAATGTTTTGTTGAGTTCCCTGGTGAGGAAGATCTGTTTATTCCTGCAAATGGAACAGAATTGTAGTAAATAACTAAAGGGAACCAGCTGCTTTCCCTTATTTGCCCAGATAGCACTCATGTTCTTCTTAACTCCCTAAGGTCATCAAACTCACTGTGTGTGAGTCCCTCTTCTGGGTTTATCAGGGGTCGAACTTGCAAGTCACAAGCAAAGAAGAGTCTGTGAGAGATCCCTATGGTCAGCAAAAGGCAGCCATGATGGTCTTCCACTTGATCTGTGTTGCCCCTAAGACACCCTGGAGATAGATGCTACAGCACAATTGGCTGCATCTGTAAAAGATTCCTGTGATGAATTTCTAGGGACTCTTTTGATGGAAATTCATCTTAGCAGGTTGATGCCAGATCTTCCTGGCCCAACTGTTTCACGCTCTCTGTTTTTTTTTGACATATCTCCACTCTCAGACTGGTTTTCTGGCTCCTCAGTGTTGAATGACCCTTAAAATTTCTATAGCCTGGGGCTTAGTTGCACACTGTTTATTCTGTTTCTGTTAAGAGTTTTTGCATGAGACTTAACAGTTTTTTTCTTGTGGAGTCTTCATTTATCCTTAAAATGAACCTTGATCTCACTTTCATTACACGTAGGCACTATACGTAGGCATGGACAAAATCCCTCTGTGATGCAACCAAGCCTCAGCTTCCCAAAGTGCTGGGATTACAGATGGGAGCCACTGTGCTGTGCCTGGCCTGGATTTTTTAAAACAGAAATTTTACTTTGAAATCAAGGAAACAAAACAAATTTAAAAGTTGAGACCTGAAAGGGTTTAGAGAGCATTAGTTCCTGGTTGGCATAGCTTACAGTCTACCAGTTCATAGAAGAATCACTTAACAAGTGTTTACTGAGCTCCTTGTGAGGCACTGCACTAGGCGCAGGGGATTCAAAGATGAACACAGTGAAGACTTCGGCCTCAGAGAACTCCTGGTGTATACAAAAAACAAGTGGGAAAAGTTTTACAATATAATGTGATAAATACAATCAGGGAGGCATATAATGGTGGGATTTTTTTCAACACAGTTAAGAAGGTTCTAGATTCTTTCCTCTCCTAGGCGCTGTCTGAGGAGCCCTGCTCCAAAATCTCCTTATTCAGTTTTGAACACCACATTCCTCCTGTTTCTTTCTTTGTGAACCATTGCAGGGAAGAAAAGATTACAGAAAGGATTATGTTCTTTAGTACCCCTGGCAGCACTACACACTGGATTTGGGGGGAGTCCTACATCTATGTATAGCATTATTCTTTTGAGTAAATGTGATTCAATTAACAGATAACTTCATGTGATTTAATTTGTATACCTTTATAGGGATTTGCATATAAACAAATATAATAAATGAGAAAAAAATTCCCTTGAGTAGACTATATCCCCTTTTTTGATTTGGAACATCTGGCTGCTCCTATATGTGAACAAAGATAGAAAGTAGCCTCGGCTGGGCACAGTGGCTCATGCCTATAATCCCAGCACTTTGGGCGGCCGAGGCAGGTGGATGGCCTGAGGTCGGTAGTTCGAGACCAGCCTGGCCAACATGGTGAATTCTGTCTCTATTAAAAATACAAAAATTAGCTGGATGTGGTGGTGCATGCCTGTAATCCCAGCTATTCGGGAGGCTGAGGCAGGAGAATCGCTTGAACTCGGGAGGCGGAGGTTGCAGTGAGCCGAGATTGCACCACTGCACTCCAGCCTGGGTGACAGAGCAAGACTCCATCTCAAAAAAAAAAAAAAAAAAAAAAAAGAAAAAAGAAAAAAAAAGAGAGAGAGAGAAAGAAAGTAGCCTCTACCCTGGAACATTTGCTTACTCCTGGGAGAATCTGTGCCTCTAGCTGTATTTAGCAGTTCCCACCGTGCCCAGCCCTCAGGTTCCGTGGGAGGAGCGCCAGGTTCTCGTGAACACCAATGTTCTCCCCTAGCGGCTGTTCTCTGGCAGAGGAAGAGAGGAACCCCGATCAACTTCAGAAGGGATACTTCCTTCCTGGTCACCTTCCAGAGAGGTCAGAGAACCTCATCAAAAACAGCATCATCGGTCTTTGCTCTCTTGATCCAATTCTGATTTGAAAGAAAATAAAGAACAGCAGGATTAGGAGAAAGAGACATGGAGGGGCCCTCGGCACTGGGGTGGGAGAAAGTGGAGTTGGCACTGCAGGGAAAGTTGTTTCTGGTCCGGTGCTCTTCTGTGGAGGCCACAAGGGGGCCTGTGAGGTTCACAGACCGTGGGGAAGACGGAGCTGTCTTCCGTGTCGGGTTCTGCTTCTGTTCTTGTTCTTCTGTTTTCTGGTGGCTTTCTGGAAGAATGATCAGGATAAGGCAGAGGAACTGTAGATGACCTGGGAATGGGAAAGCTAGGGCTCTCTGGGATCAGAGGAGATCTGTTTATTCCTTAGGTCGGGGAGATAGACGAGGAAATCTCTCTAGAAGCAGATTCTCAGGATTAGCTCTTGACACCATGTGTGAGGAGGGAAGGAAAAAGAATTGAAATAAGCTATCCATTTTAGGAAGGACCCTGACGGGGACCCTGAAAAGTCCCCTGTGGTTGCCCTCCCTATAGTACCCCTTCCTGTCCTATGGACAAAAGTCCCAGTGGAAAATCCCTGGGTTTTAGAGTCCAGGATCTGGGGTTGAGTTCTAAGTCCTGTGGCCTCCTAGCCAAGTAACTTAACTTCTCTAAGATTTGCTTTCCTTTTCTGCAAACAAAGGAGTGAAATAAGATAATGTGTAAAAGTGCCTCTAAATATTAGTGTTGTGTAAGTGACAGCTAACTTTACTGCAGGTGTTGGGCCCCACGTGGAGATATTATCCTTTGGTTTTGTATCATAATACCTTGGGAATCTGTCCAGACTATGACCTTCTTCAAGGTCTCCCATCTTCCCAGGCTTCCAAAAGAACCAGGAGGTAAGAAGGGGCCTTGGATGGAGCCTTCCGGGATTCTCCTTGTCAAGGACTTACCTGAACATCTCCTTTCCCCTGTTTGTTTCTGTGCAAATGCTCTTCCCTGGGCTCTGGTGCCTCACCTGTCTTGTCTGTTAGGCTATTCCCGACTCATGGCCCAGGACAAACATTACCTGTTCTCTGTAACTTTCTCTGACTCTCTAAATAAATCAATTTCTTGCTCAGAGTGTTCCTGTACAACACTGTAGAGGCCTCTGTTATTGTCTAATCAAGACTAGTTACAGCTTTTCTAACATTTCCATCTATCTCATTAGACTGTGAGCTCTTCTAAGCCAAGGCCTCTGTTATTGTCTAATCAAGACTAGTTACAGCTTTTCTAACATTTCTGTCTATCTCATTAGACTGTGAGCTCTTCTAAGCCAAGGATGAGTACAGGATCAAAGATGTAGATGTGCTCAAGCATCTTTATTTTCATGGCTATGTCAGTAGGAGAGGGCTGGATCCCACTCCTATAATGCAGGAGAAGGAAGGGTTGTTTGGGAGCGAGTGGAAGGGAGGTATTTAGTGATGTTTCTCTTTGGCTATTCAAATGCCTGGAGGTAAAGAGAAAAGGAGATGACATGGCAGGGCCTGGTCATTCTTAAGACTCAGTAACTTGCTCAGCAACATGTACCCACAGGAGGGAGAAATTCTGCATGAATTAAAGAATGCATCAGAGCTAGAAGATTTGGGTTCAAGACTTGGGTTCAAGTCCATTTACTAACAGTGGTGTCTTGGGTGAGTCAAGCCATAGTTTCCTGCTCTGTGGAAAAATACTCATCTAATGGTTTTATAGCAAAGACAGTGCAGTACTACCTGTTTACCAAATGTGGTCTCCTTTGTTCCAAGCACCCAGTCTCCCTCAGGATTAAGTAAGCGTGTGACTAAGTTCTGGCAAATGAATGTGGGTGGAATTGATGTTCCCCATTTCCAGGCCTGGCTCATAGAAACATCCCCCGGGATCTTCTGCTCTCTCTTTCCTGGTCTGTGCACTGTGAGAAAAAGACATAGAGGCTCCGACTTTAAGGAAGACTTGGGGGATGGCAATGCCACAGATGAAGGAGCCTGGGTTCCTGATGTCTATGAGGGACAGAGTTTCCTCTCCTTTCTACCTACCTATATTGAATTGTGATGAAAACCAGAAATACTTTCATTATGGTAAGCCACTGAAATCTGCAGGTCATTCTTTACAGCAGTTGGCCTACTCTGACAGAGTTTAAATGGATAAAATGTTTCAAATTTCAAAATGCTACTGGTTATTCAAAATGATACTGGTTGTTACTACAGCTTTTTTTTTTTTTTTTGAGATGGGGTCTCTCTCTGTTGCCCAGGTTGAAATACAGTGGTGTAATTACAGCTCATTGCAGCCTCGAACACCTAAGCTCAAGTGATCCTCTTGCCTCAGCTTCCTGAGTAGCTAGGACTACAGGCATGTACCACCATGCCCAGCTAATTTTTATTTATGTTTTATTTTTGAGACAGGGTCTCACTCTGTCACCAAGGCTGGAGTACGGTGGCACCATCCTGGCTCATTGCAACATCTTCCTCTCAGGCTCAAGCATTCCTCCTGCCTCAGCCTCTCAAGTAGCTGAGTCTACAGGTGTGTGCCACCATGCCTGGCTAATTTCCCTATTTTTTGTAGAGATGGGGTTTTACTGTGTTGCTCAGGGCTCAAGTAATCCACTGGCCTTGGCCTCCTAAAGTGCTGGGATTGCAGGCGTGAAGCACTGAGTCCAACCTAACTTTTTTTTTAATAGAGATGAAGTCTCACTATGTTGCCCAGGCTGGTCTCAAACTCCTGGGCACAAATGATCCTCCCACCTTGGCCTCCCAAAGTGTTGGGATTACAGCCATAAATGGCCACTGCACCATTTACGGCTTTCATTCTAGAAAACTTTCCGTGTGCACAGTTAGGGATTTTTTTTGGGAGGGCTCCATATAGTCCCTGCATTTCCTCAAGGATGGAGAGGAGAGGCCACTGGATAATATGCAGTGGTCTGACTGTACATACGTGTGCATGAGTGGGTGTCAGGGGAAAGACTCCTTGCAGGAAGAAGAGCCCATTCGTGGAGGAGTAGCCATATCTCAAAATAGGTACCGGGTGGCAATATCCAGCACCGGGGGCCATCAGAAGAGCCTGGGGCTGGCTATCTTAAAAGTGACTGCTTGAGGGCTGAGCTACACCAGGACTAAAAAAGGGAGGTGAAATTGGATCAATTGTTAACAGGACCTGGGAAGCCTTGTTGATCATGTGAGCCACCCAGAGTTCTGTTCTCATGATACGTGGCTGCTCCCAGTGTTTGATCACACTTGACTTTTAACCATAGCCTTCTGGCCTGGCCTAGCAGAGGTCTGGTAGAAGACACAGAACACCCTGGAGATACTGACTTGTCCTGTGATGTGGGCGAGGAGTGGGGTGTGACATGGATGGATCCAAACACCAGTCTTCTGGGCCATTTCTCCAAGGAAGTCACGAAAAATTAGGGGACCACACTTTTGAATCACAGAAAGAAGAGGGAAGGAAAAGGGCTGGGCTCACTTTATTGATCGCCAGTCATGGGCCATAACACTTTATCTACATTAACTCTTTTAATCCTTGTAACAACTCTGAGATAGGTATTATTCTCACTCTTACAGATAAAGAAACTGAGGCCAGGGAGGTAGAGTCACTTGCCCAGGACCACACGGTTTGTAAATATTAGAGCCAGGATTCAAGCCTCAGTGTCTCTGTCTTAAAGGCCCGTGTCCTGACACTGTATCTTGCAGCCTTCCCAACAAGGTAGAGATACAAAGAAGAGGTCAAGGCTGAGAAAGACCCCCTGATTCAGCCCTGGGCTTCCTCATGGTGTTGGCTCTTTTCACTAGCAAGTCTGTCTACTGAGAAACATCTTTTTCTCCTGAGTTTGGGAGAAACTCCTGTCTGTGAGCATTTGAAGCCTCCGGTGAACAGGCAGAGGTCACCAGACTAAGGGAGTAGAGAGGGAGTCAGGGGGGTGTTGGGGAGAAGGAAAGTGGAAGGAGTGAAGGGGAGAGGAAGAAAAGGAGAGATAGGCAGCAGCTAAGATGGTGCAAAACACAGAAAGGAAGGGAAAAGCAAGGGGTGGGAGGAAGACACTTCCCCCCTGGAGGTTTTTATCTTGAGTTGGGTGTTTTCTCTGTGGGAAGGGAGGTGGTGGGCTGCCCCTGGGATGCCTGGGTGTCTTTTAGCGCCTGAGAATAGATGAGGATTTGATGCCTCTCTGGTACATAGCTGCTTCCCAGTTTAGCCTCGCCCAGAAACTGAGAACAGTTTCAGCTGTTTTCACCTGAGCAATTGATTATTCAAAACCTAGCCCTCCTCTGTGTCTTTTCTTGGGCCATGCAAGCCACACCTTCAGCATGTCCCTGCTTTTTCTTGGAATGTGTGCAGGATGTATCCGGAAGAAGTCATTCATTCTAGTTTGGACACGCCTGGCCTGGGAGGCCACTGATGGATGCCACCACATGGTTTTCTGGTATGCCTGCTGTGGCCATCTAACCAGCTCCCCTGAGAGAAGCCTGGCATAATAATGTTATATTTGTCTCTTTCCAGCTGTCATTCCATTAATGTTTGTGTCTAACCCATAAAGCTTTCAGCAACAGCCATCACCACTTCTCTGATCCTGTCTGAGGGGAGAAATATATTAAAAAGCAAATTACTTCTCCAGTCCTAGGTCTCTGGCTCAGGAAGGCTCTGGGCTAGGTCAGAGAACAGCGAGAGTCCTCCCAGGAGCTTCCCCATGCTCCAGCCTCCCTGCCAGTTTTCCCAGAGTCTTCTGTGGTGATGAGCTCCAGGAAAGGTAATGAGGATTCTGGCTAGTGGCTTGTGGAAAAGATGCACTTTGTGTATTTTTCTCAGAATTGGAATGAAGTAGGAGGAATAAGCAGCAGCTGGGCCTCTAGAAATACACCCTGGTGACCTAAAGATCTGCTAATGTGTTGGCGCTAGAAAGGGAAAATTCTTTAGGCAGAGTCTCATTAAACTTCCTTATATGAGAATTCCCCTGTCATGGAAAATCGAGATTTTACATGGTGTTTTAAAGTTAATCTGTTAGAAACACTTGTTTATTTTACTTTCAAAATAACCCATTTTTAGGGAAGGAATGCCTTTAGTCATGCTCCTAATTTTAAGAGGCTCTGCCGAGTCGTTTTCACTGGTTGAATTATAACAAGACTAGGGAGGTCGTAGTCAGTAGATTAATGATGGCAAGGCTGGTGAGAAAATTTAACCTGCTTTGATAAACACAGCTTAGCTACTTTCAGGGAACAATTTTCTACAGCAAATATTTTAACACATGTTGTCTCCTATAGCAAACTTCAGTGGTCTACTAGTTAATAAGTCAACACATCTTAGAGCTCTTAAACCATTCAATACTGTAGAAAAGTTATTTGCATTTTTTTAAGAAATAGACCTAGATGGAAACTCAACAATGACAAGATAGAGAAAAAGTATGCATTTAACCTAAATTTTGTATCAGATATGTAAATATGTTCTCACCTTTTTCATCTGTCTAAGCAGTCCCATGCTAGCCTGAGGTTTCACATCTTCAAAGCACTTATGTCAACAGCTTCTTTACTTCATGTTTGTTCTGAATGTTTTTTTCATTAGCTGCCATTTAATCATGGCTGAATAGAATAATCTGGGGCTTATTGTACACTATATATATGGAATATATATGTGGAAAAATATATATGGAAATATATATTTCCATATCTATTTGTAATATTTGCTGAGAGAGCTGCTCTGCAATCTAATGGGGGTAGGTTTGGAAAGAGCTGGAAGCTTGCCTTGGAAGCAAGAAAAGTAGTGGGGCAGCTTTACTCAAATTTGATCCTCTCCTGCGTACCACCTGAGACCTAAATTTGGAGGCCTTCCTTGCAAAGATGCAAACCCTAGGAGAACATCAAAGCATAGCATCGAGAATTAGGAGGAATAGTATGGTGTTTTTTGTCTAATCCTTGTCCAATGTGTGATTTTGTCTGAGCCATATCCGTAGCATGACTCCCTGTGAGCACAGCACTCACTCTGGACCTGGCCCATAGTGAATGCTTATTGAATGTTGAATGATTAGGTAGATCAATGAGCAACCCACTGGGTGGAGGCAGAGTTCACCGTCTCCCAAGCTGCCTGCAGTGTCTAGGTCCCAGAGAACGTATTGATTCCCTCTTTTAGGTGGATCCTCTGACTGTAGCTAGCTATGATTCTTGCCAGCCAATGCCTGGTGTTTCTCCCCTGGGCTTAGGCACTGAGTGATAGTGGGAACAATTAGGAGCAGGCTGCTCCCGAGACATCCTGGCTGGCCATCCTGGAGGTGGAATGGTAGTTGGATGAATAGGCTGGGCATACTCTGGCTGTGTTTCACTGGGACTCCTCAGACTAATGAGCTCAAGGTGTTGTCTCTACCATCACCTCATGTGTCCTCCTGATGTCCCAGGGAAAGGCAAGATGGTTCTATTCCACTAGATCAGGAGTTGCAAAGTTTTTCTACAAAAGGCCATATTGCAAATATTTTAGAGATTTGTGGACCATACAGTTTTTGTCACAACCACTGAATTCTGCCATTGTAGTATGAAAGCAGACATAGATAATAGGTAAACAAACAAGCGTGGCTGTGTTCCAATAAAGCTTTCTTTATAAAAACAGGCAGTGGACCCGATTTGGCCCATGGGGCATACTTAGCACTAGACTGTGAGGTCCATGAAGCAAGGAGTGTGTCTGTTTTTGTCTGAGAGGGAGTATACAATAGTGGTAAAGAGCATGGTCTGAGACCAGACAACTTGGGTCCAAACCCCGTCCCACCACTTTCTAGCTGGGTGACTATGGGCATTTTACTTAATTTCTCTGTGCCTCAGGGTCCTCATCTGTAAAGTGTCTACCTCTTAGGGTTATTGTGAGAATTAAGTGAGATAACATAAGCAAAGTGCTTAGAACACGTGGAACTTTTATGCCCACACATAAAAAGCATGTAGCTATTATTAGTTTGATCTCCAATACTTAGCACAGTTCCTGTCACAATGAAGATGCTCAATAAATATTTATGTCACGAACCAGAGGTCCAGGAAGGCAAGACATACCGTGAGATGCCTCCAAGTGAGGAGCGACAGAGAATCATGAAGTCACATGGCTGACTTCTGAACTCCTGTCCTGTCTTCCTCAAGCCTTCCATGGCACAACAAGTCCTTGTTAGGAAGACTTTAAATTATTTATAGTCTCATCATTCATAGGACAACTTTTGTGTAGGCTCATTGCCTTCACTCTCCCATCCCTGAAAATTCTGAAAATCCTAAAACCGCCTTCCCTAAGGGATGGGGGTTAGGAAAAAACCCTTCAAGTTCTAGGTTACTCGTGTGTCTGCGTGTGTGTGTAGGGGGGGCACATGTGTGCTCCCCCATCTCCTCCAGTGACCTCAGCATCAGTCTTTTCCAAGGCCTGACATAACAATAGTGACAGGGCAATGGGATGAAGTTTGGGTAATGGGGCGAAGGTTAGGAGAACAAAGAGGTGCGTGGTAGAGGAAGGGGGAGTCTCCCCCTAAGTGAGGATTTGCTGGCCTCACCTGTTCTGCCTCCTTGGCTGACTGGGCTGGGGCACCCAGCATGTGAAGACTCCCACTTCTGGAAGACATGGAAGGATGAATTTCACACCCCATTTAACTTTCCAGGGCTCACCAGCTTCGCACCTGAGTAGCTGTTGATGATCCTTTCCCCTGCCATTCTCAGTTACTGTCTGTTCTACAACACTTCCCTCCCCTATCCTCAGCCACCGCAGCCACAGGGTTGGGGCAGAAGGTGGGTGGGTGGGCTCTGCCCCTCCTCTGGTGGGCTGGTATTTCCTAGGCCTGGGGAGACTGGAGAAGCCTCAGGCAGCTGACAGATGGGGAGAGGGGAGGAGAGGGAGGGAGCCCAGAGCTGAAGATTGTGGGGCAGTGGAATCTATTTCTAGAGGGAAAGGGGTGGTGTGAATGCCCAGGAGCCATGGGAAGGACTTGGGTGAGCTCATGGAGGCTGCATGTGAATGGTGCTGAAGAGAAAGAGGACTGTGTGTGAAGACCAGGCCCCAGTGTCCACACTCAGACCTCCTGGAGGTGGTCCCTTCATCTCACCACAGGGAAGGAGCCACTCCAGCAAGCGTGACTGCCACCACCCCAGGAGGGGGATGGAGAAAGACCCTCTCCTCAGGGCTCCCAGCCAGCTTCTCTGGGGCTCTGTGTCAAGTGATAACAAGGTCCCTGCTCTCTTTCCCATGTGGGAGCTGGACTGTCCTCACTTTCAAAGGTCACCAGAGGTGGTCTGAGAGCTGGTGAAATGCCAGAGAGCTCTGCTTTGAGGTGGCTGTGGTTGGTACAAACCAACTCTATCTTGGTTGGGCCAAAGTTTTCTACCCTCCTGGCAGCTGACTCTTTCCATAGATGGTGAATGCTACTGGCCAAATGTCTCCTAGATGGACTTCTCTGCAGAGCCCAGAGAGTGAGTGTCCCCTTACATTTTGCACCATGAGTTTTTTACTCACCTTGCCCTAGCCCTAACCTGCCTCCTGTGTCAACCACGAAGGCCCCAGACAGCAAGCCCACTGATGGCCCACTAGGAGGCCTTGTGGGGCAGAGCTGAGAGGGCGGTGCTGCTGCAGCGGGAGGAGGACTGCATTTCTTTATTTTCTCCCCAAATCTCAAAAGAGCAAGGTGCTGACAAGAGAGTGGTCTCAGGGGCTTTGAAGATCAGAAATTGTGAATTTGGGTTTTTCTTTGAAAAGAGAATGCCTTTAACTTTGCTCCTTAGTGCCCTGCCTGATTGCCTGTTAGCAGCTCTGTTCTTTCTTTTATTCTTCTCCAGCAGGGTCCCTTAATTTGGTGGCACCAAATGTTGGATGGGCTTCGGGAAGTCTGTGAACACCCTGAGAGGGCATGTAAGAGTGTGGGCTTATGTGTCTATACGCATTTTAATGGGGATGGGCCTGTGGCTTTGATTAGATTCTCAGAGAGGCCAGTGGGCCCAAAGGTGTTGAGAAATGCTAATCATTTGTCTATTGGAACAAAAAACTGTTTTGAGGAAGTTTGCCTGGGGAGTTCCTTATCTAAGGATGGAGCTTTTAATCAAGGTGTGGATGAATGGAAATGAAAGACAGGAGTTGGGGGACTTGTGAAAGACATCTGCACTCTGTCCCTAGACCTCAGGAGAACTTCCACTGTGAGGCCTTTTAGAGTGCTTGTAACATTCACTTTCACTAAATATTTCTTATTTTTCCCTTTGTCTCTTTGCTACTAAAACAAAACAGAAGAGAAAAAAACATTAGAAATCAATGAACCTTAAGATAATGAGAAAACAAGTCATAGACTGAGAAATATTTGCAAAAGATATTTCTGATAAAGGACAGTGATCCAAAATATACAAAGAACTCTTAAAGTTCAACAATCGGAAAGCAAATATGGGCAAAAGACCCACACAGGCACCTCAGCAAGGAAGATGTACAAATGACAAGTAAGCATATGAAAAGATGCTCAACAACATATGTCATTAGAGAATTGCAAATTAAAATGATGAGCTGCACTACTGCGTATACCTAGTAGAATGGCCAAAATCCAGAACATTGACCACACCATATACTGCTGAGGATGTGGAGCAACAGGAACTCTCATTCATTGCTAGTGGGAATGCAAAACGGTACAGCCATTTTGGAAGACAGTTTGGTGGTTTCTTAGAAAACTGAACATACTCTTAACCATATGATTCAGCAATTGTACTCATTGGTATTTACCCAAATGAGTTGAAAATTGTGTCCACACAAAAGCATGCACATGAATGTTTATAGCAGTTTTATTCATAATTGCCAAAACTTAGAAGCAACCAAAATATCCTTCATTAGGTGAATGAATACATGGGTACACTCAGACAATGGAATATTATTCAGTGCTAAAAATAAATGAGCTAGCAAGCCATAAAAAGATGTAAAGGAATCTTAAATGTATATTAGTAACTGAATGAAGCCATCTGAAAAAGTTACATACTGTGTGATTCCAACTGAATGACAGTCTGTAAAAGGCCAAACTATGGAGAGAGTAAAAGAATGGGTGGTTGCCAGAGTTCGGGGTAAGGGAAGGATGAACAGGCAGAGCATGAGATTTTCAGGGTAGTGAAACTACTCTCCATGGTACTATAATGGTGGATGCATGCCATTCTACATTTGTCAAAACCCATAGAATCTGCAACCCCAAGAGTGAACCCTAATATAAACTATGGACTCTGGGTGATAATGATGTGTCAATGTAGGTTGATTGATTAAAACAATAGTGAGCAAGGCTGTGCTTGTGTGGAGACAAGGGAATACATGAGAACTCTGTACTTTCTGCTCAATTTTGCAGTGAACCTAAAACTGCTCTAAAAAACAATCTATTAAAAAAACAACCAGGCTGGGCATGGTGGCTCACACCTGTAATCTCAGTACTTTGGCAAGCCAAGGCAGATGGATTGCTTGAGCCCAGGATTTCAAGACCAGCCTGGGCAACATGGTGAAACCCCATCTCTACAAAAAATTAGCTGGGTGTGGTGGTGTGCGCCTGTAGTTCCAGCTACCTAGGAGGCTGAGGTGGGAGGATCACCTGAGCCCGGGTGATGGAAATGGAGGCTGCAGGGAGCCATGATTGTGCCACTGTACTCCAGCCAAGGCAACAGAGTGAGACCCTATCTCAAAACAACAACAACAACAACAACAACAAAAATCCAAAAAACATTAACTTTTTGAGGTTACATGTTTTCTTTTGGAATAGGATGGATGGGGTGGAAAACAGAGATGCTGTGATGTTCCTAGGTGGGTTAGGCTGAGGAAGCTCTGGTGACCACTGGAAGCCGGCAAGCAGGCTGGCTCTTTGCCGCAGAGGGAAGGAAGACAAGAAAGGGGAAATTGGCCCAGGGCAGAACTGTGCATCCAGAGGTTGCAAAGAAAGTAAGAGACCCCCAAAATAACATCAAAGTATCTTCCACCAGTCAAGTGCTTTCTTTATGCCAGGTGTTCTGTTTTGCACCCTACAGGCATTATTTATTTAATGCCCACAACAACCCCATGGGATAGGCAGACCTCATATGGTATAATAATGGGCACTGACCAAACAGAATGGAGGCAGCTGGAGCAAGGTCCTGGAGCTTGCTCTTGTGCCAGGCGCTGACTTTTTAGTTGCTAGATTGTCAGGAGGTCAGGGTAATCCTAGGGAGAGGCCAAGGTGGAGAAATGGGGAGACCACTGGGGTGGGGGTGGGGGAGGCTTGACCAGGTGTTCTCAAACTTTAGTGTGCATCAGAATCACCGAAAAGCTTGTTACAACATAGATTATGGATGATGAGGAGGCTTGAATCCACTCTCTCTGACCCTGAAGACCCAGCTGTTTCCCTCAGTTTCCAGTCTGCTGGCACCCTCAGGGCAAGTAGAGATCTTGGCCAGGGCTGGAGGTGAAGCTAGCAGCACGTTGGAAGCTCTGCCTACTCCTGCTGGGGCTCACCTTCTCTCTGCTGGCCTGGGGAATGCTACTGAGATTCCTGAGTGGCTTGGCGCTGGCTTCCTTGGCCCCCTCCCTCCCAAGTAGCAGCTGTGAAGTTGACGAATTACGCTAAACTGTGATGCCTCCTCGGGAGCCTGTTCCAGGACGTGCCGTGATGGCTTCCTAAGAAGGCGACAGGCACGTGGTCTGCAAACGAGCCGCTTGCTCTCTCGCTCAGCACAGCAGCTGCTCAGAGGCAGCGTGGGCTCTGAACGGCCCGCCAGGGGAGCCTATTAAGAGCCACAACACTGTGAAAAGAACAGCAGAAACGCTCCATTAAATCTGGTGGGGGGCCTCCTTAACAATGGGACCTGCCCCAGGAGTCATCACTCCACTCAAACCTGCCTCAGTCTCCAGCCTGGCTCTCCTCTCTCTGCCCCTGCAGTCTCTTCCCAAAAGGGCTTCGGGCTTGAGAAACTCGAGTTCCTGGCTGAAGCTGGTAAAACTGTGGCTGGAAGGGTGTAGCAAGGGCCCAAGCAGGCAGCGAATCCAATGGTAATGTTCTCTACACTGCCTGGGATGGGAATGAGAATGCTATTGGGTGTAGGGCATGATGTTGATGAGGATGCTGACAGCAAGGATCTGGGCATAGGGACCTCTGCTTTGGACCTGCCCGCTGTAATCCCCTTCCAGCCATATTCCTCCCCAAAGGGCAATAAATCCTTAAGGCCAGGAGGATACACCCACCCAAGGACGGTGACCCTCTTTCTACACCATACTTCAGGTACCTGAGAACCTGCAATTCCCTGCCAAATGGCTCCACACCTGCTCCTGAGTCTGTGTAAGCTTCTTCTCAGTACTTCCTTTAGAGAATGGACTGTCCCACTGGGGTTGTGGACAGAGCTTGGACATGCGGGCTGGGTGTCCACATGTGTGTGAGGTCCCTCAAGGGCAAGACAGAGCCCAGTGTGGGAAGAGGTGGGGGGCAGCCTGGGGGTGGGAAGTCATCCTTCTCCATAGCTCCATTTGCCAGTGCAAGCTCCCAGGAGCCTGGAAATTCTAAATTTAAACTTCTCAGGCTTATGAAGGTATATTTATCAAGGTAGGAGGGTAGAGTATATTTTTCTTAACAGTTTGTTAACTTGATTTATAATTTTAACCATCGTGCTCCTGGCTAAGTGTTTGGGGTGGGCCCAAGTGCAGGTGGTGGTGAGAGCAGGCTCTATTTATCATCTAAGTGTCTCAGAGAGGCCAGGCCAAGGGCCATGCTTTCAGACTGGCAAGCCAAGTGCCCAGTGAGGAGGCAGACACTGCGTGCTTCTCCAGGCCCTGCAGAAAAGGCTCACTTGTCTTCTGGAATCTTCTGCTCTGGGATGATAATGATAAAGATGAGGGTGCTGGTGAGCTGGCAGGAGCCCTGTAAAGAGGCACTTGGGTAAGCTATGGTCTTGTGAGGAAAGGGCCCTCTTCCAGGCACATCCTCCTTGACCTTTGACCATGCCCTCGACCTCACCAGCTTGTTGGGGGAGAGACAGACATGCTGCTCTTGCCTTCTCATGCTGGTGCTTCTGAGATCGCATCTCTTCTTCTTCCTACTGTTTATCTCTATGTGTCCCCTACTCCCATCCCATCACAGATACATCATGAAGTAGTGCAATAACTCTTAGGAGGGAACAGACCACTAGGGGAGGAAGCCCCTTCCTTGAGGGCTTCTGATAAAGACCTCTGTTGGACGTGGCAGTGTTTCCCCATGAGCAGTGCTACTGGAGGGCTTGTTTGGGAAGGGACTTGGAAAGGAGAATCACCTTTGTGATTTCCAAGAGGCCTGGCTGCTACTGGCAGGAATGGGAGGAGAGGAAGAGAGTAGAAGACCCTTCTTACATTTATCAGAAACCAAAAATTTATTTGAAAGACTTTCCTGGATCTCCTTCATCTATGTATCTGTCACCTGTCTATCAGTCAGTCAACCTATCTATCTAATCTCTCACCCTCCCTCCATCTGTCTATCATCTATATTTGTTGGTTTCTTTTTTCCAAACATGAGTTTTTAACATAGTGACCACGGGCCTCTATTTTCTAGGCTGTGAGCCATATTATTACCTTGTTTAATCCTTGTGAAAACCCTGTGAAGTATTATCCTTATTCCATAAATGGGGAAACTGAGACTTTCAGAGGCAAAACAAACAGCCTGAGGCCACATAGGTCAGAAATGGCAGAGTTGGGGCCTAAGTTCATGTCATCTGACATTGAGTTTTTTGCTGCTTGCACTGAGTGAAGATTATCTCTAGGCAAATTCTTTCTTTTTTTCTTTCTTTCTTTCTTCTTCTTTTTTTTTAATCTGGAAGAGAAATGCTGCCTTGAGTGTTTGCTTATCTCTCTCCAGCAGGTTCCCAGGGTCTTGGTTTCGGCTCTAGCCCTGAGGGGCCTGATGGGCATCAGCACTGACCTTTCTGTGTGGCTGCAGGCTTGGCCCATCTGCTCACCAGAGCGCCTTGCCACTAGCATGCTGTCTGGGTGTGCCTGGCAGTCAGAGTGTGCAGGCCGGCTTTGACAAAGTGACAGAAGCTGTAAAAACAGCTGTTTGATATTCCCTGCTTTTAAAAACAAAACAACCACAAAGAGGTTGAATGAAATAGAGAAAATACCCTTGTTTCATGCGTATATTTTTACTTACAGAACATTTATTTTCTCCTTTCCTTTCTCTATTCCCTGTTTATCTACCCAATCATTTGCTTCCCTTCCTCCTTGCCTCCTTTCTACTTCATCCTCCTTCCTTCCTTCTTTCTTTCCAACTAAAAAAATCTTCCTGCTTCTGTTTCTATGTCTTTTTTTCATCTACATTTTCTTCTCTTGAAATAACTATTAGCTATTTCTCTTTGTTTTCCATTTTCACATCATCCAAGCCTTTGTATATTAATTTGTCTCTAGCTTTGGGTTCATACCATCCCAAATGTGTAGTATGATGAACTCCAGTATTAGTTATATGACAGCCCATGGTGTCTTCAATTAAACCAAGGTGCGGACAGGAAACTCTAACACAAAATGAAATAATCTCTCCCTGCCAAACCATCATTTAATTTAGATAACTAAAAGTATGCATAAAAGAACAGGACATCTGGCAGTAATTGGCAGCCCCAATGGCCACCTCCATCACCTCCAGCTACAGAAACTTGGAGAGTTTTGTTGTCATTTTTAGCTTTAATTTTGAAATTGTGACTGAGCTCTGCACTGTGGTTTCATCCAGGTTCAAAAGCATGCTTCTGTTCAATCAGCTGTTCATTGTACAAACTCCTTCCTTATAGTGAGAGGAGCTCCAGGTTTCAAGGCATGCACAGATAGAAATAGGTATATTATATGCATTCAACTTAGTCATTCATTAGATGCAGTTTGACCAAGCTTAACATAGATTAACTTTTACATCCTGCAGTCATTCTTGGCCCTTAAGATCACTAGATTCCAGGCCTTTACTCCTATGCACGTTATCTGCATTTTCCAGAGCCCTTTTAGGTTCTCTTGTACCTAAAAATCCTTTGCTTCACGGCCTACTTAAATTCCACTAATGCTATGTCCCCTACCTACTATCTCCCTTTCAATCCCCTTTTCCTCTACTCTATCCAGACAAAGCTATTTCTTTCAACTGCCCTCGAATGCCCTTTACAGTTTGTTCCCCATGTTTCGTCATCCCTTGTTCTAGTTATTTTCCCTCCTAAACTGATAAGACATTTCCTGTCTCCTTCCCCTTCTCACTTCCTACTGTCTTATTCTCCATCAAAACCCTCGTGGCTTATCTCAGACTTGGCATTGTGGAGCTGCCGGTCCATTTCCACATGCAGAAGATGACGCTGGGTCTGCAGCTGGAGACAGCTACGATTGCTGTCAGATCTGTGGCCACATACAGGCTTTCTACTTCATCCTCCCTGAATTGGATCTACAAATATATCATTCACAGAATGGAAAAGTTTTGAGCCTCCCTCTAATCCCTGCATGGACCTAATCCCCACATGGAGGAGAAAAGGTGATGGCTACAGGCAGGTAGGGTTTATAAGATGCAGGAAGGGCTGAGTTATGCATTCACAAACATTTCTCCAACTTCGCCAATAAGATAGGTCATTTCTTCTCCTTTGGGGAGAACCAGAGGGAGTGGAGAGAGGATGGAGAGAGTTTTACTGTTCTTTCCCTGGGAATGAAGTGGCATGCCCCTTTCCCCATGGAAACATAGGATGTAGGGTATGGCCCCCTAATATTTGACTTTTGGACAGGAAATAGAAAGGGGCTGTCACAAATCCCAAGGGGTTGGGATTTTTGGTGACCTCCTTAATATTTTTACTACGGTCCAGGGAAGGGTGGAAATTGAGGTCCCTCCACCCCATCTCCTAGCCCTTTCCCTTGCTGACTTCAACTCTCACCCATCCATCCTTTAAGGCCTTTACCCACTTGTCCAAGCTATGTTTGTACAAGTGGGTATGAGGGGTGTGCATATTTTTGGCACTGACTGCCCTTGGAAATATGGACCTGTGGAAGTGGCCTGTGAAGGGCAGGGAATTCCAGTGTCCCAAGTACCCAGAGTGTCATCTACAAGGGAGTTCATAGGCTCTTGGAGGGCATGTTTCTTCACCTGTGGACTCATCACCCTTGAGGAAGGGATAAGAGGGAAGAGGGGTGGGCCACAGGGGTCTCTAAACTGTGGAGCCAAGGGCAGAGGTCCTGGTTACCCAGGTCCAGGGTGGTACTGTATATATGCCCTGCAGCTTTACCGTATACCCATTAATGGGTTTTGCTGACTTCCTGTTCCTGGAGATGTTCCTATTAGAAGATGCCAAGGGCAGAAGTGCAAGCACAAGTGGAATTGCAGACCTGGGACCTTCTCTTTAGTTTTAACACCTTTCTGATTCCAGCCAAGAATGTGTCGTGATTCCAAAACACACTCAACAACGATGTGTTAGGTCTATTTTGGTTTCTGCATTGATTCACAATGAATAAAAATTAAGTTGGTACTAAATTTTATGGACTCATTTTTTAAAAATTCCTCCCTTTTGAGCATTAACTAGATAGTGCCTGTGGAAGCTGAAGACAATTTTAATTAGCATATTATCACAGCAAAGAGGAACCCTGATAATTGCTCGGCAACCTCAAGTTGCAGCCTTCTCTCACCCGGCAACACTCCTCCAAGTACTTGTCTCTGTACACCCTACCCATCCTTTAGCACTCCCAAGACTCATTTTTATTACAAAGTCATCTCCAGTCACAGTACCCCTATCTTTTGCTTGTCTAAACTTCTAGATATGTGCCAACAGGACATTCCCACCCTTACCCCATCCCAGGTTGCTTATATTAGTAATGAACTTCCATGTCTATGCTTTGTCTTCCTACTAGGTTCTCCTGGTAAGTAACTGGAAGGTAGGGATAACATCTCAAGGAGGTTCTTCCTAATAACCAGGTGACTTTCCTTATATTCTAATGAGTTCCTAAGTAGAAATGAAAGAGAGAAGTGAGAGAATAAAAGCACTAAGTAGCAATTAGTCATGTAGCTCACGTGCTGTAGAGGAAGACAGAGCTGTTTTCTAGGGTAATGGTTTTTAAGCGTTACTGGTCCTTAGACTCAACTGAGAAATGTGTACAAAATGCAGACACCCAGCCCTCCTGCCTCAGAGACTCCCAGTAATTCTGATGCAGATCAAGATTTGAAAACAACTTCCCAGGGGTATGACTTGCAAAACCAACCCTACTGACAAGAAATATCACATGAATTTTTAAAATACTGTTTTTTTTTTAAAGAATAAGAAGTCTCCTATGAAAGTTGACAAAGTACAAATAGAATAAGTTCTCTTTGCACACACACCTATAAAAATGATACTAACAAATATACATGTCAAATGCAAAATTGGCTACTTCATTTGAGCTGGTAGGTTTAATTCACTTATAATTAATCCTAGGTTTATTTTCAGCTCTGACCAGTTTGCATTTGACCTTCTTACCTGTCCTCATGCTCTCTGTTGTTTCTGTAGTTTTACTCATTAACTGTTGGATTTGATAGCCCTAACGCGGACTCCCAGGTCAGGCTTGCTCACTGACATGCCCAGCACAGAGTCCTGCCTTCCGCCCACTGCCTGAGTGCTTGTCTTGACATGTAGGAACATTCTTTCACTCCATTGCTTTAATCAGGGTTTAAGACATAGAAGAAACATTTTAAATTGTCATATTCTTTATGCTTATTTAAAAATCCAAAGTATAAAGTAAACGAATAAATGTATAGTTTATTTCATCTCTCAAATGACTCAAAATATCCTCTAGACTTCAGACACACAGTTAGAAAACCATCCTTTGAAGTTGAAAAATGAGAACGAGGTTAGAATACATATAACTAACCCACTGTGAGTTTGTAAATGTATTTTCAGTGAGTTTAGATTAATTTGCAAATCTTCTTAAGAAACAAAGATGTCTCCCACGTCTTTCCAAATTAAAATGTGATGTGAAGAAAAGTTGTATAATTAATTGTAACATGTTTGAGGTGATGTTGTCAAACAGAAGGTTGGGTACTGTCTTGAGTCCAGATAAAAAGGAACACCAATAAACATTTGCCAGCACATGCACCTGCGATTTCCATCTATTTCATCAGTATATTCTTAGAACAGAGAACGGGTATGTTCAAACAGAACATATGTTCCAGAACAAGACAACATTTTTAATAGGAATACTCTCAAAGTTTCAGTTCTATACTTGGCTTCTTAACCTGGCCTTATGGGTTTTCATTCACTTATATTTTGTCTCAGATTTCTTGTTTCTTACTAGTTTTTTTTTTTTTTGGCACTTTTATAATATTCTGATGAACTGTTGCTTTAAACTTCCATTCTAAGATTGGCTATTGAAACCAGTTTCACTTTCCACTAAGACCTTATATTCCTTTTGCCCTGGTTCTACACTTGCCACTAGGGAGCTTTTGGCCTAGCCACGAAGAGGGGACTCCTGGCACTCTTTCAGGAAGAAGGCAGGGTGGGCAGTTTTACCTTCAGTTCCAGAAATGCAAACCTCTTGAGAGCTGAATGTGTTCTTGCATCCTCAAAGCAGTACCAGGAGAAGAGCCATATTTGGAGGCAAGTGTTGGGCATATCCAGCCTGGGCAGCCACTTCCTGAGCCTCTCTCCAGTCACCAGGCAGTAAATGGTTTATAGACACAGAGGGACTGGTATGTCTAATTAGAAGACAAGAAGCTAAGGGTACACTGCCAGCCAAACAATAAAGTGGTAGCAAGCATTTAATAATGATAAGTAATAATGACTTTTTGTTAATTATGATTAATGGTTCATTATTTAAGAATATCTAGGCATTATTTTATGCATTTTTACATCTAGAATTTTATTTCTCAAAATAACCCTATGAAGCAGGCATAATATTATCATCATTATAGAGATAAGGAAACTGAAGCAGAGAGTAGTTAAGCAACCTTTCCAAGGCCACACAGCTAGTAAGTAGCAGAACTTGGATTCCAACCCCGTCTGATTCCACGATGAAGATTTTTTGACCAGTGTGTTATACTATCTTCTGTGTATTACAGGGTAGGGGACACTGACATTCAGAGTTGTAACAAGGCCTGGGGTTAATTAACCTGGACTCTGGGCTTAGAGTATTATGACCCATGCCAGGCCCCAACAAGTGCTGGGCTTGTGTTGCTGAAACGGCTTCTTGCCCTGGTTAGGATGAGTCCTGGAACCAACGAGGCCCGAGGCCACAGAAAGAGGATGGATCTGGGAAAGACATAAGCTGACAGCCTCTTCATTCCCTCACTTAATTTCAACTTTGTACAAAACAGCTGCTCTTTATAGATGTGTTGTTTAATTGACTGATTGAAACTAGAATTCAAAATGACCCAAGGACAGTGCCAACATTTCTCCAAAGGAGGGGCTTAACAGATGACAACTGGTTGAGAAAAGAGGAGGCAGGCAACGGAACTGGTCTTGTAGTTACTTTGTACAGTCAACTATGGTTTTGTTTTAAAAAGTATGTTTATTTGGGGTAGCTTGGGAGCTGATGGAGATTTGGCAGGAAGAAAGAACCTTCTCTGAGACATTTCCTGGTTCCGCCTCTGGCGAGTGCTGAATGTGGATGTTATTAACATGTTTGTAAGTTCAGTGGCATCCATGTACATGTGGTGTAATGGTGTGCTGGCACCCTCGGATATAGAGAATAGCTGGGCACTTACAGCTCCAAGTGGTTTTGAAAGGCAGGGGCACGGCTAGTGTGTCTGAAACCTACCTAACTGAGAGCCGAACAGGAAGAGCTCAGGAATCTGCACTCTGGGATAGAAGTGTGCTTAGTTTAGTGATCAAGAGTGGATAAAATTCCATTAGAGGTAAATGTTGTCAGACAGCAGCCTGGAAAGATATATTTTAAGCTGAGAAATTACTTAATAAATTCAGACCAACACTCTGTGACATTTCCCACAAGACTTTAATGCTGTTTACAAATTCCAGAGAACACCCTGAGTCGTTTCTGGCATGGGCTTATGATTTATTTCAAAGGAAAATGGGACAGAGTGTGTGGGTTTGTGTTTAATGTGAAAAGGGATTTGGAGATGAAAAGTCAACTGGCATGAAAGATTGCAGGGCAAATGCAAAGCAGCGGAGCATGTGGGTGGCCTTGGAGCATATAATAGGGTGTTGAGAAGGGAAGGGGCCTCTCACCACTCAAGCACTAATCAAATAGTTGCATTTGCACAGGCCAGTAATGCATTCAAGAGGGTGAGTTGGAGGCAATGATAGATCCAGGGTTTCTGAAGCACTTGAATCCCAAGACTTTCATATGAAGAATAGGCAGAGCTTCCACCCTAAGGAGGGAGGGCAATTATATTTCATTCTCCACAAAAGTCAACATTTAGAGGGCACGACCTTCATCTGCAATGAGACGGACTTCAGTTAGACCAAAGGAAGTTATACAGAAAGAAAATAAGACCTTGGGCTAAGAACGTGAAGGAAGATCTTCCGGCAAGTTTTTCATGTCTCATACCCTGTGTTTCTTGGAAACAGAAGGATGGATTAGGTGACCTTGTGACTTAATCTCCTTATGGACAGAGGCCATTCAGGGGTCAGGGAAGGGGATGTAATCCCTGGTTGGCAGCTGGAGTGGTCCGGGGGACAGTGGGTTCAAATACTGGGTGACGAGGAAAGCAGCAACGTGAGGACAGGCTGGCAGGGGGAGGAAAAAGTGAAAAAGAATTTTTTTCCTCCCTTTCCGTCTCTGCCCTCTCCCCTGGAAACTCCAAGTCCCATTCATCTTGTTTGCCACTGAATATGTGGTTTGAATGGGAAATGAGGACAGTGACATCCCCCATCTCTCTTGGGGGAAAAAAATGACATTCCATTTGGTTTTGGAAAATACACAATATTCCACTTATAAAATATTCAATCACTGTCATTAATCCTCCCGCCTGGGCTAGCCCTGCCCCACTTAGGCATGAGCTACGGACTTGGGCTGTGGCCACAGGCTCAGGAACCACTCAGGCTTCTTTCTGCAGACAGTGTAATTAGAGCTCAAGGGTCCTCTGGTCTTAGAGTTGAGTTCTCCAGGGTAGGAATCTGGGTCTGCTTGGTGCTTCCAAAGCAATCGCTAGGCTTAGAGTCGAAGGGCTCTAATCAACATGGGACCTCTTGCAACCAGGGCTGAGGCTTTACAGAGAAATTTTAGGCCTTGAAAGATTAATTCCTCTTAGTGCAACCAAGGGCACTATCCCACTCTCCAAAGCTCATCTGCCTTAAAAAGTGGCCAATTCTCCCCACTCCTCTGCTATCTTACTGTTTTTTTCCCTCAAACTTTTCTTTCTTACCGTCCTCTTTTTGTCTCTTCTCTCTGTTTTTTCTTATTGTTTTAAATTTTATTAAGGTATAATTGACAAGTAAAAATGGTATATATTTATTGTGTACAATGTGATGTTTTGATATGTGTACATATGATGAAATGGTTAAATCAAGCAAGTTAACATGTACATCACCTCACATATCATGTTTTTGTGATGAGAACATCTAAGATAGACTCTTTTAGCAATTTTCAAGTATATAATACATGATTATTAACTTTAGTCACTATGCTGTAAAATAGACCCTCAGAATTTATTCATTCTGCCTAACTGAAACTTTGTACCATTTAACTAACATCACTGTATTCCCCCGAACCCCCCCACCATTTCCAACCCCTGGCAACCACCATTCTACTCTCTGCTTCTGTGAGTTTGGCTTTTTTAGAGGCAAGTATGTGAAGAAAGGGTAATTCTTGTACATTGTTGGTGGAAATGTAAATTAGTACAGTTATTATGGAAAGCAGTAGAGAGGTTCCTCAAAAAAATTAAAAAGTAGAAAAAATTTAAAAATATATGATCCAGCAATCTCACTACTGGGTAGATATCCAAAGGAAATGAAATTAGTTTGTTGAAGAGATATCTGCACTCCCATGTTCACTGCAGTCTTATTCACAGTAGGCAAGGTATGGAATCAACCTAAGTGTCCATCAACAGATGAATGGATAAAGAAAACGTGATCTATGTATGCAATGGAATATTATTTAGCCCTAAAAAGAAGGAGAAAATCTTGTCATTTGTGACAACATGGATGAATCTGAATGACATTACGCTAAGTGAAACAAGCCTGATGCCGAAAGACAAATTACTGCATAACATCTCTTTTATTTATAATAATCACAGACTCTCAAAATGTCAGAGCTAGAAGGAACTTGAGGAACTCTCAAATCCAACTCCTTTATTTGACAGTGGAGGAAACTCAGGCCCAGAAACAGGAAGACACTCTCGGATCCCTCAATAGATGTTTTCTTCGAAACCTGAAAGCAACAGCTCCCTCTTCTTCTCCCCACTGCGCTCCCTCTAGAAGAGTAGGCTATTTGTCAGCTTTCTGCGCACCTTGGCTGGAAAGAACTCTGTGATGTGTAGCTCAGCCTCCTGGGGATTCTCTTGACCTGGTGTACTCTCAGAGGATGAACTGAGGGCCTAATGTGGGGCAAGCTGGCAGACGGCTATTCAGTTCTAACTCCCAGGGCACAGTTTTCTGTGTATTGCTCTGCTTCCTGCTAAAATAATCTTCTTGTTGCAAGCGTTATATTTCTGCCCAGATGCTCCCTCACTCTGGGCATCAGACTCTTGTGCCTCCTGAGCCCCCTTGGCTTCCCATCTTGGGCCATCCTAGGATGCAGGACTCACCCCTGGGTCATGCTCTTCACCCTTGGCCGGGTGCTCTGTGCTCTTGCCCTCCCAGCCCCTAGAACACTCAGCCCTCTCTCCGCATTCTCTTTGCCTACCAGAGACGCCACTGGACATCACCAGAACTCCAAATTGGCTTGGATTTGGCATTTGGCGAACATTCCTCAGGACTTTTTTTTTTTTTTTTTGAGATGGAGTTTCGCTCTGCCATCCAGGCTGGAGTGCAGTGGCACGATCTTGACTCATTTCAAGCTCTGCCTCCTGTGTTCATGCCATTCTCCTGCCTCGGCCTCCCAAGTAGCTGGGACTACAGGTGCCCGCCACCAAGCCCAGCTAATTTTTTTTTTTTTGTATTTTTAGTAGAGACAGGGTTTCACTGTATTAGCCAGAATGGTCTCGATCTCTCCTCAGGACTTTTTAGGAGGCAGCCTCCAGCCTAAAAAGTAGGGAGAGTGGGGAGGGTAGTTTTTTCTTCTGAGAGGTAAACCAGCTACCAGGCAAGAATGGCACTTTGGTGCATCACACTCTCCTCCAGCCTGACCCCAGACCCTGAGGGGAGGTTGTTGATGTTCTTGCTGCTGGAACATTACATTCCTTGCCAGAAACTCACTCCAGCTTGTGAGGCATCTGTGGGTAACTGTCCTTAGCATCCAGCTGTTGGCACCAGGCTCCTGCTAAGGGTGGGGACATGGGCCTCAGGGCAGGGTAGACAGATACCTCTGCTGCTCCCCCTCTCCTCACCCCTTCAGGTCCCACAAGTCACCACCCAGGCCCAGGAGACTTACGGCCCAGGGGAGAGGGCCACCCAGAATCACAGAGTGGAGGAGCTCTTAGGAGACGTCACTCCTTTTGTCTAGGAGGTTTCGTCTAGAAGTTTCCCCAAGTCCCATAGTTTGTTAGTGACAGAGCCGGAGCATGAGCCATTGCCCTTGCTTTCTGGGATGTGAGGTGCCATCACCAACATGGCCACCATGAGCTCCCCAACAGCTCTGACAGTTCAACCAAATAGGGAGATCACCAATCACCCTTTTTCCCCAGAGGTAGAAAGAGTCCTGCCCGGTGCTCTGATATCAGGCTTCTTGGTCCTCCTTGGGTTTGCAGTATTCCTTAGAGGGGTACTGGCAGACACCAACCTGTGCTGGAGACCAGCACTGCCAAGACCTTTCTGGGGATAGCCTGTCTGTTCTGGACTTCACTGTCTCAGCTACTCCAAGGGTATACATAAGAAGTGGGTGGCTAGTTCATGGTGGCTGGGAATTACAAAGTCCTTCCAGGTGTGCAGAGGAATGAAAGTTGCATTTTTATTCTAAACATTTTTAGACATGCTTGGAGATGAATAGGAGAGGGGTGGTTTGGGTCTGGAGAAGGACCTACCCCAGATGCTCGCGATGCTAACTCTTGTTCTGTTTTTCTCCTGTTCCTTTCAGCACTGCAATTTCGTGATTCTAAATGAAACATTCTGCGATGATAGCCTTTCTAAGGAAGGGATTGAGCTAGTGGCTCCAAGGAAAAAAATATATCCTAGGAGCTGTTTGACTCTGAATCTGCATCTTCCTCACCTGAGGTTGGGGCTGGAAAAAGTGGCTGAGCTCCACAATCCACCTGGGTTTGATTCACTGAAGCAGCCCACCCGCTGGTGGCTCAGCCAGCCCCTGGAGAGTCACAAGTGGTCTTAAAAATTCCAACAAGAACAAAGCTAAAGCTAAATAAGCTGCGGCAGCCAGAGCAGAGGTTCTCTCTTATCACAGAAAAATAACTGCTGGAGCTGGCTCCGTCCTAACGTAGTGGGCAGCCTCCTCTCACAACATCCTCCACCACCAGGATGTTCTTTAATAATGAAAGGAACAATTCATGTAATCCTGCTAACAAGGGCTTAGGGATTGATGGGTGAGGGCAGAGCTGGACCTTCCACAGTAAACATTTTCCTTCTGGAAGCAACTCCTGTCCGAATACCGGCTCTGGGCTTCCTGTGATGCCCGTTCATAGATGATTCAGGCCCCACTTTTTGACAGTATTAAAGCTCTCTTTCTCTTTCTTTCACCTGGGAGCACAAACAGCAGTCTGATGCTGGAATTTAATACCCAGTAAAGCTTTCAGGTTCAAGAATAAAAAGGCAGCACTGTAAACAGCATACAAATCTCACGTCCAACCAGCAACAGCTGCCACTGTGGCCGGGGCTGAGGGGAGGTGGAGGAGTGGGAACGGAAGTGCCATTATGTCTCCATCTGGGGAGCTGTCCTGCATCATGCCCTTTGCAGGAGCTGCAGCATGGAGCGGCTCTGTGAGGCTCCCAGGATGCAGACTCCTTGCTTCTCCAAGAGCCTAGGAGCCAGCTGGTTTGATCTCTTCTCAGGAAGGTCAGTCACCCTCCCCAGGGCTAGTGTTCCCAAGCCGAGGCCACCAGGAAGAATGTGCCACAGGTTCCACTGCCCACAGTTTGAGGGGAAAGCAGTGCAAGTTCTTCCAGTTCTAGACCAATGTTCCCCTGCCCACGAGGAGGCTAGAGTCCTGCGTCCCTGGCTCCTATTCGTCTGAGACAACATCTCTTCTCAGTGCCCCTATGATTCTTAGCAACATTTCACCATCCATTCCTTCATAAAGCGATTCCAATACTCCAGCCCAGTTTTCTGAAGTCTAGTAGTAGTAAATTTCCATAACCAATAATAATGATGATGATGATATAGTGAGGATAATAATGAGAATAGCTAACATTTACTAAGTGCATACTTTGTGCCAAGCTCTCTTTTAAGTACTCTTTTGTCTTATGCAGTCTATTCTCACAATAGCCTTATGAGGTAAATAATAGCATTGTCCTCATTTTGCTGGTAAGGAAATGGAGGCACTGTTTGGTTTTGGTTGTGTGTGTGTGTGTGTGTGTGTGTGCGTGCATGTGTGTGTGTTAGTTCTCCTCCCCTATGCTGGGCTCTCAGAGAGAAGGGGGTGTGTTACACAATGTGGAGAGTGAGTGTTGAAGCCCACTAGGCAGGATCTGATGAATCCTTGCAGCAGCTGTGTGAGGTAGTCAGTATTCTACCCCATTTTCAAATGAGATTCAGAGATATAGAATGTGGGTGTCTCACATCTTCCATAATCTGGTGGTTGAATGCACAATATTATTACCACTTACTAGGTGTATGGCCTTGGGCTTCACCTCTCTGCACTTTAGTTTCATTATCTGAAAAATGGTAGGAAGAAGTACCTACCTCTAAAGTTGTGGAAGGGATGGAATGAGATAAATAAATGCATGTCAGGAGCTTAGAACAGGGTCCCTGGCACACAGTAAGCAGACAATAAATATTGGTCAGCATTATCATGGCTTAATGGAAGACAACAATCATTTAATGAGTGCCTGTGATGTGACTTAGGACCAGAGACTGTACTGGGTGCTTCCCTGTTTTTATTTCTCTTCTGCACTCTCCACAACGCCTTGAAAAGCATTAAGTGCATAGTAGCTGATCAATAAATACTTTGTGACTGATTTCTGCAACAGTGCTTGGGGGTGGGTCCCAAAATAGCCCTTCTGATTATTATTGTGAATGTCTTTCTGTCAGTCTTTATCTTCCTTTTCCTCTCTGCCATCCCTAATTTGGAAGAACCAGTAGCTGTGTGATGGTACAAAAGCCTGGTTCTGGGAGCCAGAACCTGGAAGTCTGCTTTAGATTTTACACTAAGTTTGACTTGGTTAAAATCTTTGGGCCTCAGGACCTTGGCTTAGATGATATCTCAGGTCCCTTATACACTTCAATTCTTAGAGAAAGTGAGTATCAAGAAAGGGGAGACCTTGCAATGATCCCCAACTCCTAACACTTGGATCCCAAATTTAGAACTTGGCAGCTATTTTAAATTGTTTTCAGCCAAAAAGTGTAGACTAAATGGTGTAAGAAACTCTCAGTTGTCAGGGCCAGTCTATATCTCTACTCTTATCCATGGCCGTGCCCCTGCTGGCCACACTCAGCATGCCCCCTTTCCTTTGCTAACTTCTGCTCAAGTCAAGGAAGGATTCTGTGTATATGTGTGTGCACACTTGTCTGTGCATATGTGCAAGGCAGCTACTTTGGGAAAAGTCCAGTTTCTTAAATGGCCATTGGCACCTTTGGCTGCAACTGTTGGGAGGGAAGAGGCTACCATTTGTAAATGTTCAGAGCTTCTTGTTTAAACTTTTGCTAAGTTGGTTAAATTTGATCAACCTGTTGGGCTGCCTTCTAGGGACCTTGGTACGTTAGTGTGTGGGGTGTGGTGGAGGGAGTAGTCAAACCACATGCTTCATCTGAGAAAATGGAGAAATGAAGTCTGGTGCGATTCTGGAAGTTGAGTGGAAAAATTAGGTCAGAGAGGGACATTGCTGGTGTCCTCTCCATCCTAGATAAGTGGGGTTTGCCCATCAAGTACATACCCACAGAGGGAGGAAGCAGAGCCAAGGCAAAACTCTTCAGGAATTGTTGCAAGACCCCACAGGTGCAATGCTTACCTGGGAAGCAGGAGTTGAAATCACTGGACTGGAAGAGGGAGAGCATGAAGTCATTCTGGAAATTCGAAATAAATTATCTGACCTCCTAAATTCTTTTTCAGCTCACTTGGGAGTTACTAATTTTCAGTTCCCTCTGGAATACTTTCTACAGACAAAAGATTTGCTCTTACTCTTCAAATTAGCTGCTACCAAATCCTTGGTAAAGGAAGTGGATGCACCTGGCCAAAAATGAGAGAAGAATGTGGGGGAAGAAGGCTGGGGAGGAGCCCACCTCCTACTTCTCTCTGAGGGCAGGAGCATCCCAGGGGCAGCCGGGCCCTCTTGTCTACCCAGGCTGGATTTGTACTTTATTTTAAGACTCTGTATATTAAGGAGTGCATTGAAAAAGAATGCCTCTAAAAGTTGCCTGTTACCTGCCAAAAACATGGTACTGAGTTGGCAGGCCAAAATTCTGTTGTGGAAATCCGTGTCGAGGAAGGCTTTAATTAAGATTGCCATGTTCTCTTGTAAAGTGCCTTGAGTACACCTTGCGCCAGCAGGTAGGGCCTGGGGTGTGAGCCAATCACAGGGTCGCAAAAGGAAATAGGTGGGAAGACAGCCAAAGTACAGTTAAGAAGCAGCTGCCCGAAGTAGCTGCCCCACACAAGTGCACAGCTATGTGTGCCCACACACATTCACAGACTCCTTCCATGAATTTGTGAACTGGGTGAGGAGTGTGGGCTAGAACATCCAGGGGCAGCAGACCAGGGGCAACTTCTGAATCAACTCCGTCCGACAAAGTCAGCCACACAAAGAGGCCCTAACACACTCCTTCTCTGGAAACCTTCCAGAAAGCCTCAGTCTTGGCCCACCCTTTCACTCACTCTACATCGCCTCATCTCAGCCCTTACTATATTGGAAGAAAATTACTTGTTGACACTTTGTCCCTCTAGATAGACTGAGAGACCCTTGAGGGACTGTGTCTTCCTGGTTCTGCACTTCTGTGCCTGGCCAATAACAGAGGGACAACACACGTTGGTTAGTCAATCAATAATCAACAATAGTAGGAACAACATAAATGCCTAACTTCCCTCCCTTCTGAGTATTGTCACATTGACTTTTGCCTTTGAGAATGAAGATTGCTTACTTTGCAGAAGTAAAACTTTCCAGCCCCTGTTGGTTTCCAGCTATCCATCTTTCTTTCCTCCCACTTCCCTCAGTCACATCGCCTAGCCTCAGGGAATACAGGCTTTTATGTTAGGCCACGTATTAAGGTTAGGCTTAACTGAGCTCAGCATACCTATGCTCCACGTAATAAATCCCTGAGAGAGGGAGAGAAGGGATTTGGGGATCATCCACTTTGGACGCTGACCCCACAGCTGTTCCCTCATTAGTATGCATTGCTGAGAGCTGGCTGTGGAGTCCCACTCCTGGGCCCTGCTTCCCTTCCCCTTATGAACCCCAGCTCAGATGGAGAAAGGCAGAGCCACTCAGCTAAGAAATTATCTCTGCTTCCTGCCAAGGAAGGAAAGCAGGAACAGGAGCCTCTTCCTTGGGGGCGAATTATTTAATCACTTGTCTTTCCCCTTGAATCAATGCAACTAATGAACAACTTTTGCCTCTTCCTCCTTTTCCCTCTGCCTTCCCCCTCTGCCATTAGCCTCTTATTATTCAAATTTCCTCTTCCTGCTTGTGCTGTGTGTCATCAAGGGTTTTACCTAGGGAAGGCTCTTCTTTGCAACCCAGCTTTTCTCTTCCTCTTCTCTTCATCTGTCTCCCATCCCAGCCTCTCTTCCCCTCAGGGTCACAATCAGTCTGTTCTGGAATGAGACCATCTCTAGGGGATTGTAAATGGCAGAACCTGCCACTGCCACATAAAGGAAAGGCCCTTGAGCTACCTCTGAGAAGGAGACTTCAGAACAAGGCGGTGCGGGTGAGAGGAGGGAGACAGGAGCAGCAGTCATTTGTCATAGCTAAATGGAAATTTATTGCTAGAATCCTAGGGCTATAGAAAGGCTTCAGCTAGGCTAGCAAAGGGAAGAGAAACTCCAGCAATTGCTAGAAAAAGCAAGTTACGTCCCTAAATCAATCTGGTGGCTGGTGGTTCTTATCTCAATCTGATGGCTGGTGGTTCTTATCTCCAAGGTGTGGTGGCATCAGGGCTCCTGGCAGCTCTGAGGCATGGGAAGCCTGAGGTCAGATGGCATGAACAGGAATGCCCATTTCTTTACAGCCTGGAATATGTTAGCTCTGGACAGTTGCTGATTAAGTTGAAGTGTGAGTTCATCTGTCTGCCTTTTCCCTTTCCATGTTGTATTGGGATAGATACTCTTGGGACAGCCTGCTTACACTTCAGGAGAGCTCAATTAACAAACCCAGATAATACTTACTAAGTGCCTATCATTCCCCTAGGCACCACAGAGGATGTAAAAGAGTATGGTATTTCTCTGTCCCTTAAACTCTCTGTAATCTAGTTGAGGAGGGAAAACCAACACCCTGATTCAAGTGGAGAAAACATAAGTGCTTGATGTTAAGTATGCATGGACAGGAGTGTGGAAAAGAGAGAGCTCCAGTGAGCCAGGTGTGAATTAATCTCTCTTTCCTTAAATTTGTGCCACAGTTGACAAAGTGCTTTCATACAGAAATGTATCTTATTTTGGAGTTTTGAGTCTTATGCCAATATTTCTGTTGTGGGCAGTTATTTCACCATTTTAAAGATGGGAAAATTGAGGTTGCGAAAATTTAAGCTATACATGGACTTGAACATGAGTGTTCTGACTTTGGGTTCTTTATTCCTTTTATTATAAAATGTCAAGGATTTAAAGAAGAGGAGATAAGACTCATGGTAAGCAGGATTTCTATTAGTGAAAAGTAAAGAGAATGTAATTTTAGGTAGAAGAAATAGCATGAACAGGATACCTGCTTGGCACATGGTAGAGGTTAAGAGTGTTGGGTGAATGAATACATATGCAAATGGAGTCAAGAATGCCCCATGTCCAGGGACCGTGGGAGATGGATCAACTTGTATGCAGGCCCTGTACTGCAGAATGGTGGAGAAGAAGGGTGAATGAGTAAGGTATGGCTAGATTATGGGGGCCTGGGGATCCAGCAGAGGAGTTGGGTTGATGTGATAGGCTTGGAGAGAGCCACTGAAGTTCTGGAACAGGGGATTCTCTCCTGTATATGTCAAGATGGTCTACCCCAAGGGCACAGATACAAGGAGGGCAGAGCACTGTACTAACATTCAGAAGAGGACAGTTCTGAGCCCGGATCTGAAGCTTCTAGACCCTGGACAAGTCTGAGAAACTCTCCAATTGTCAGCTTCTCCATTGCTTCAGAGCTCAGCTGAAACTTTATTGCCCTGTTATTCTGATTAAATTAGGTTTTCTGTCATACTTCTTTATGGCACCCACTACTTTCTTGTGGTGCTTGTCACAGTTGTAATTAGTTGTATAGTATATATCTTTGCTGTGGGTCTCTAAGCTCCACAAAGGAAAGTGCTGTATCCATCATGTTCAGTGTTGAATCCCTGGCACAGAGCATGGAACTGAGAAGTGTTCTCAAGACCTATTTTTTTAAAAATGAATGAATGGATTTTCAAATGGGTATAATGTTAGCTCACAGAGCAGTTTATAGGATCAGGGTCACTTTGTAAGTTCGTTGTAAAAAAGTAGGTAAATGGGAGAGATTATTGTTATTGGTAATGGGATAAAGACCATTTAGAGAGTACAGAGGCAGGGCCAAGCTCAGCATCAGTCATCCAAAGTGATGTGAGAGTGGCGAATGTCAGAGATGTTTGGAAGAATGACAAAGCACAGTGCCTAGCTATCTATATACAGAATGGAAGAGAGAAAAAAACTCTTAAAAGATTTCCAGCCAGAAATATGAAGAGAATGGAAATGTCTCCAAGGGCGATGATAAGGTCTGCCAGGAGAGCACCCCGTTTCTCAAGGGTTCTGCTGGTCTCCCATTCTCCCTCTCCAAAGCTTAGACTAATGTTCCTCTGTCTTTTCCTTCTGTACACCCTCTGTCCCATGTATCTCTCAGCCCTGCCTTCTTTGCTTCTATCTCTGACCCTCTGTAATTCAGTTTTTGTTTTTCTTTGTCCCTCTTTACATTTTTTAGTCCTTGGCCTTCCCTGCCTCTGATCCCACCCTGCACCCTCTGTTCTTATCTCGTTTTTCTTCTTCAGCCTCTTTCCTTTATCTTTAGATCACTTTGGCCCTCTCTTTTCAAAATAGAGATAAGTCTCTACTTTTCTACTTTGCATGTTTATCTCTTCCAGCCTTTCTTTCCTACCAGCTGTCTGCTGACTCCGTTGCTTGCATCTCAGATGCTTATTGAGATCTGCCAGGGGGATCAATACCAACATTGAAGGTTTCTTTTGGTCCTTCTTCTCTCAGCCTTCCCAGCCCTGCTGCCTGCTTCTGTCTCCCCTCAATTCTTCCTGGATTCACAGACCAAACAGGTGCTCCTGATGGGTAAAGATGGCCCCTGTAACTGACTCAGTCCTGCAGCCTCTTTTATGTTCCTTTCTATATATTTCCTTGTCCAAATTGAGCAAGCTTGAAGCTTTCTCTTACCTGGGATTCAGCCCTTCACTCTCCACTTAGAATACCCTCAGCTGTTTCCTTATCAGCTGTTTCCTTATCCTTACCTAGCTCTTGATAACGAGGCAAATATCTGACTGTCTCTTCATGTCTTAATTTAATGCCCTGTACATTTGTCTTAACATCAGCATACCCATCTAGAAAGCTATCAGGGGACGTGGACCTTACTGGTATCTCTGCTTTTGTGTCTAGCTGAGTGTTACACAAAAGCAGGCTCTTTGTAAACACTTTTTGATGCTAATGTTTATGATGTTGCTGATGAAGATGATAAGTGAGATAAATCACTGGCAATGTTTCTGGAACTGTACCTGGCACAAAATAGGTATTCAATAACCAGTAGTAGACTTCTAATCAGAATGATAATGTTAATTGCTTTTCAAGACTCCTTTTTTGATTGCAGATAATAGAAAGAGACTCAGAGGAGCTTAAGGAAGAAGGAAACTCTATGGGGCGGAGATGAGCCTAGACCTAAGGGCAGGACATAAGGCTCAGCTTCATTAGAGTCAAGAGCCAGGAATTCGAAAGTTATCAGCAACTGGGACAGCTACTGTCCAAGTTACGTGGTCTCATCTCCTTTCCCCTGTGCACCTGTTTCATTTTCCTCTTTCTTGGCAGATGAGTTTTCTCTGCTGTTTTGTATATATGGCAGAATATGGTCAGCCTTTCCCTGGCATTAATCCTCTCTCTAAGCTCCAGTGGCGCCAAACTATATTCCAGTTCTTCATGTCCACATTTATAGAAGACAAGCGTGATTGGCACAGCTGAGGTTAAGTGCTCACTCTGGTCCATCAGCTGCCAATAGGGGACAGGGTCACATTCCACAAACACAGGCACATGAGTGCTCCTCTCTGAGTGACAGGGCTGATCCTTAAATGAGTGGCCTGTGATGGTGGAGGAGTGGTGGGGGTAAGGCAAGTTCAACAGGAAGTGCCTCCTACACTAAATACAGAATGAAGAACGAAGTCTGGCACATCTGATATCCCCATGTCATTTCACCTGAGCTCTTCATCCCATTACTTTGGACTTGTACATCCCAGTTGGGGATCAAAACCTCATGGGATCCATGAAGTCTGGCCCTCAAATTGGAGCTGAACTCAGCTTGTCTGGTGTGAGGAAAGCGGCACCAGAACACCCCTAGATTCTCCACCATGACAGGATCCTGTGGGCCCCGGCCCTTGCTGGGCTCCCCTAGCCAAGCCTGAGTGTCAGCTCCTTCACAGAAGCTGATTACAAAGGCAAAAGCTCTTCAGCTCTGGTAAAGATAAAGAAAAGCATCTTCCCACACTGGCTGCGCGACGGATGGGTTTGCTCTTCTGCAAGTGATTACTTTGGCTCAGATAAGGCGTCCAAGTGGCTGGTGAACCAGCAGATTTTCTGTAATCTCCTAAGATTTGAACTCAAGCAACCTCAATCACCCTCCCCATCAGCCCCAACCCCTTGTAGTATCTACTTTGTTAACTCTTCTGAGAAAAATCAAATGTTTGGTCCTCTTGGAAGGGCTTGGAGGCTCTGGATGCTGGGAAAAAGCAAAGTTCTCTTACTAACGAAAGATAGGGGTTAAGAAGTCAGGCCTGGAATAGACAGAACTGAATTTGTATCCTGGTACATGACTCAATCGTTAATGAAGTATTTAAAAACATTTTATTTAAAACAATCATGGGGAAAGAAAGAACTTTGCGGATTTCTTTACATTTACTTTATGATCTATTTTGGTTTGTCTTTTGCATAATATTTGGGGGAAATTTCAGTGCCTTGGAGTTTCCCAATTCTAAATTCTTCATTTATTAATCATGTGATCTAAGTCAAATTCTTAACTTCTTTAGTTTTAGGGTTTTTCTAAGTAAAATAGGGCTAGTTATATACCAAATCCCATTGGCTGATTCTGAGGATAAAATGAGATAATTCGTGTGAGCCCTCGGCCTGGCTCCTGGCACTTAGTAAGCACCCTCTGAATTGTAGCTATTTTCACTACTTTCTAAAGTGACCATCAGCTCTAGGAAGAGAAGGACTTTTACAAATATGGGCCCAGAGCTGGAAAACAGACACATCCTGATGAGAATTGTCCCACAGGTATAACCAGTGTGGACTTTGCTTCAGGGTAGGTCCTGTAGAATTGTCACTTGATGAGAAACTCCTGACATTTTGGATGGGGTTGGGGTGCGGGAGCAGGAGAATGATGGGGGTGGGCCACTCTGATTTTTCTAATACTTCAGCATCTGGTTAAGTATGTTAGAAAATCAAGTGCTAACATCTTATATTCCACTTAGATTGACGCTTTGCTGTTAAATCTCTCATTGTTTTAGGATTCCAATGGCAGATGCCATTCTATTCATCTCCCTGCTTCTAGGAAAGGTGTTCCTCTGGACCTGGCCTTACATTTAGGAGCCACTTTCTTAGAGCTGGCATATCCTCCCTCACTCTTCATTCATCTATTTCTTATTTTACACAGTCAAGAAGTTCTTTTTTCAAGTCTCTCCTAAGGACTGGGGTTCTCTCAGAATCTCCTAAGATATGGTGTATTGGGAAACATTCCAGATTCTTTGTTACCTTTTGGCAAGATAATTATTTTGTTGATTTGTTCATTATTCCAGCTATCCTTCTTGAACATTACAAAGGGCAGGGATCTGTGTTGGGCAATGGGCATCCAGACCTTTATGAGACACTTCATCTGCCATGACCCATGAGTTGCTCTGGAAAGAGGCCTCACACTAAAGTCTTTCCTCTCCAGATTGCAAGGGGGGACTCCACACCTCACATTCATTCCTACTACTAATCCCACTGGCTGATTCTATAATTGAAAAGTTTGCACGCAGAGTAAGTTTTCTCAATATCCTCAGTGCTGCCTGGCTTTTTGGGCAGGGGTTAATATCTCTTTGTATGCTAAACGGCTCTCCAGGATCATCCACATTCTCCAGCTTCTCAAATGTAACTCAACCTGGAACCTCTTCAGCGAATAGAATCCTGGCATTTGCATAAATGATTATATCTGGTCTTTTCAATTTGGCCAGGGTGCTTCCCAGCTTGCTCAGTCCCTCCATCCTCAGGGAAGTGTCATTGCAGGCATGATGAAGAGCAAGGGCCTTTGCCCCCAGGTCCGTAGTGGGAAATAGGCACAGGGTTAGTTAGAGGTTAGTTAGGTTAAGAGTTCTGGCTTTAAAACTCAGTCCCAGCTCTGTCATTATTATCTGTAAAGCCTTGGGTAAGTTCCTAAATTCTTTGTGCCTCAGTTATCTCATCTGCAAAATAAGGCTAATAGTTCTATGCTATTGTAAGAATTAAGTAAGCCAATATGGGTAAAACACTGAACATGGTGTCTGAGCCAGAACAAGCACTTGATAAATAATAATAACTGCAGTTGCCCGGCGTGGTGGCTCACACCTGTAATCCCAGCACTTTGAGAGGCCGAGGTGGGTGGATCACTTCAGGTTGGGGGTTCGAGATCAGCCTGGCCAACATGGTGAAACCCTATCTCTACTAAAAATACAAAAAATTAGCTAGGCATGGGGCATGAGCCTGTAATCCCAGCTACTCTGGAGGCTGGGGTGGGAGAATCACTGGAACCTGGGAGGCAGAGGTTGCAGTGAGCTGAGACTGTGCCACTGCACTCCAGCCTGGGAGACAAAGCGAGACTCTGTCTCAAAACAAACAAGGAAACAAACAAAAAAACAAAAAAACCCAAAAAACTGCAGCAATACTTATTATTATTAATTCTGGGTTATGGGGGTGTGGCACAACAAGAGCCTGGAAACTCTGTTTAGCTTTCTGGGATTTGTTGGCAGGCTCCAGGAAGGTGACTATCTCATGTGCTATAGTGGTAAGAAGAAAAAAGGGGAAAACTGCATTTATTAAGACAGACATGGTGCTAGTGCAGTATATAAATATCCTCATGGGGTGGGCATTAGGATCCTCCTTTTCCAGAGAAGTAAACTGCCAAAGACAGTAGTAACTTGCCCCTGGATCACATAGCCAGAAGTGGCAAGGAGTATTTGAAACCATGCCTGTTTGACCCCAAGATGCATACTCCTATCTAGAGTCATAATGACCTCATTCTCTATTTACCCCATGGAAGGAAGATTCTTAAATGCTAGCAGAGGAAAAGAGAAGAGTAGACATGCTGATTGGCTACTTGGGCCGGGCCCTGTACACATATCATCTGCCTTAATTGCCCAAGTTGTTATTATTATCCAGTTTTGCAGATCAAAACAGTAACACTCAGAGCTTTACTGCTCAGAGAAGCAAATGGCCGTGGGGAAGAGCAGGGATGGGTCCTGGGTCCATCTGCCTGCTAGTCTGGCATTACCTCCCAGGTGGCTGGAATCATCCTGCTGTGTCATGAGCTGTCATTGTGACCTTGGGCAGGTGACTTGACTCATCTACCCTCCTGCTTCCTTACCTATAAAACAGAAGAAAAGAACATTTGCTCTGCCTGCCTCTTAGAGCTTCACAGAGGCTCAAATGAGGTAATGGATATGAGAGGGCTTTATAAACTGGAAAGCTCTGTATAAATGGAGGGGTTATTACCATCACTCCATAAAACCTCCCACACGCACCATATCTTCCATTTTCCCCCGACACTGTTGCCCAGCTTTAGTGCTTTTAGAGTCTGCCAGATCGTCTTTCTGTCTGCTGGCACCAGAGAGAAAGGTCCTCAGACCTCCGCAGCCCCCATGCCTTAGTGCACCTCTCACAGTGGAATGAATTGTGGTGCTTTGACCTCGACCCTGGGCTCTTCATGGCTGACCATGGGGGTCAGTGGGGCAGCAAACACCATCCCAGGGCAGGGCTCTGCTGGGACCTCATAAAGTGCCACATGTGCTCCAAGAAGACCCTGCCTTTTCCCACCCAAAGCACTCAGACTTTCTGTTTCAAGTTGCTCTCAGTGGAAGGCTCAGAAGAAATAACCTCATTCACTCTAAAGACTCATTTTAAGATAGTTTCCTTCAACCCTCTTTTCTCCTCTTCTTCCATGCCCTCCTTAAACTGCAGCCACAGCTGAGGCCAATCCAACAGCTTGGGAGCTGATCTAAGCCTTCTCCTTGGGCTGCTTCCCTTTGAGAGTTCATCTGAAGTCAGAGCCATAAGAGATCTTAAACATCGTCTGGTCTGACTTTGTCATTTTACAGATAAGGAAACTGAGACCAGAGAAAAGCAGTCTTTATTCAAGTACATTCAGCCTGTTAGCTTCCCTTATCCTTACGGGATGATTTTGATGGGGTGTGTTGGGAAAGGGTACAGGAATGGTGGGTCGGAAGGGTTTTCAGAGTCTTCTCATTTGAGAGGGTCAGATTCGATTGTCCTAGCTGCCTAGCACCACCCCCTACCCACTCCAAATATCAAGAAGAAATGGGCTGAAGGCCAGCAATGGTTCAGGTGGAGTGGGGACTGATGCTAAAGAGAGAATTCAAACTGAGTGCAAGCTGTGTTCCAAAATGACCAGCAGAAGAAATGTAAGACCTGGCCATACCCCTTCTTTTCTGCAACATTTATGGATACTCTTATCTAAAGGCGTAAGTCCTGAATAAAATGAACTTGATAAGTTTGACTTTCACTGAAACAATTTCACACCTGTCTGCGAATTCAGTTTCTAAGCTGGGGAGAGGTTCCTCAATGCCTGGCAGCTTTTTGGCACTCAGGAAAAGTTAAATAACCATTACCATCAGTGGCAGCAGAAAGGAATAACCTGCATGAAATTCCATTTTCCTACCTGCTCCCATGATCAAAGAGACACAGCAAATGAGATTATATTCTCCCTGCCCAGAGACAATCTCATTGCCTCTGCTCCATCAGCCACATAACCATGAGCAGCGGTTATTGCCATAGCTTATAACAGATGTGAAACAAACCTTAGGAGATGGAGCAGAGTTGCTGTTCAAACTCAGTTGCGAACTCTGAGGTGAAATGAATCACAGAATCAAAGCCTTCTTTATCTCTGCCTCCAGGCTGAAGGCTTTTTCTCCAACCCAGTGTGGGGAAGACAAAGGAAAAGTTTCCTTCAGCTTTTCAAAAAGACGCTCAGGTCTCTACTATTCCAGGCCCTAAAGTAGGTAAATGGGACAAAAAACAGAAGGAGGGCCCCACCTGCACTAGGACTCTATGGACACAGCCTGCTATAAGCAGGGCCAGATTTAGATAGGGGACCCAGGCAGAATCATCATTTGGTTCCCTTCCAGTCGGCTCAATTATTTATAGGCAAGGCTGAGAGCTTTGAGGGGAAGGGTGGAGCAGGAACTTCTGGTGGCTGGTCCTGCCTCTCTTCTCTTATCCCCAGCAATTCAGTGCTGGCCCCAAACTTGCATATGTTACCTAGTGAAATAAAAACCCCACAGGAAAGGGGGGATGGTCTAGCAAGCATCTATCATCAGGACATTCTCTGCTTTTGCCTCCTTTATCTCCGAGTTCTCTTCTTATTCTCCAACCACCCCCAGCCCCCACCCCAGTCTCAGTGAGGCATAGCAAATTACCCCACCAACTCCTACAGTCCTCTTCTTGAGAGGAATCCTGGCAAACACTTTCCAGCTTCCTACATCTCCAGGGATATTTTGATTCTCTTTATAGATGGCATTTGGGGTGGTGGCCTGGCTGCTCCATCCTTGATTCTGTTCAAAGTACACGCCTTGCACCTTGCTGGGTCTGCTCAGGAATTCTAACTCCCATTTTATCTCCTGAGACTGATGACAACCTGCTTTTAGCCCTAATTTGTTCAATTCCTTCTTTTCCTATCTCTGTTTGGCTCTTCTACCCACCCTCTTGGCACTGGCCTCCCAAGGGCTCAGGGTGGTTCAAATCTTTGTCCTCCTATTCGGATTGCTCTTCCTCCTGCCACTAAATACCCCTTTTAACCACAGCTCATCTCTGGCCAAATGGAGTAACTAGGCTGCTGGCTTCTCAAGGGTTGGTGCTCTGCTGCCCCCTGGGGGTGCACATTCTATAGGCTAATTTGGGAGATTCCATACCTAGTATAAACCAAAGGAAAGCTTTGAATTTAACATTTTTCCATTACACACTTCCCCTTCTTTCCTCCATACCTCCTTTCTCCTCTCACAGCTGCTCCTAAGCCCACAGATGTTTTTTCCATCTGCAAAGCCTCTTGTGGTGGCCAGGTGAGAATGCCATGGTTTTCCTTCCAGGATGGGGGAATCTCCATCCCCCCTTTCCCTGGGGTTGGGGGTCTGTGGAGAGAAGGCTGGTTCTTAACTGACTGTCATTCTTTTTTTTTTTTTTTCTATGGAGAAAGGAATCATTGTAGATTTGCTCCAGCGTGGGCTCTGCTAAAACAAACACACATGTGCACGTAACACCCACATGCCAAAAATTCAATTTCAGCAAATAACCAGACCCTTCTAATTAAAGTGTCTAATCCATTTAGATGAATGCAACAATTAATTTAGCCAGACAGTAATTGTGCAATTTGAATACTTTTCCTTTTCATTCTCATCTAGTTGGATGGAAGATTCATTTCCTGGGTGGGGGCCACACCTTGTGATCTTTGAAATCGAATTCCTTGCTCAGCTTCCCTCCAATGGAAGACGTCCAACCTCACTTGTCACCAACAAGACTGGCCCCTGCTTTCAGGAAACCTTGGTGTATTGGACTGTTTCTGGTTCAAGCCATGCTGATGGAGAAACACATGGCATCAGTCAGATTTATCCCCTCCCTGAAATGCTGCCTAATGCAGAGAACTGAATTCTCTGCCTGGGGTGGGAAGATTTGGGGCTATGATTGTCTCCCATGTTCTGGTCCTGCTTCAAAGACTGCCATATTAGCCCTATTAGCATCAGGGCCAGAAAGAGGAGAGAAAGATAGTGCTACGATTTAAGTTTGTTCCCACCTAAACTCCTGTTGAAATTTGATCCCCAATGTTTTGGGAGGTGGGGCTTAGTGGGAAGTGTTTGAGTCACAGACGGGAATCCCCTATGAATGGCTTGGTATTCTCTGGATAGTGAATGAGTTCTTGCTTTCACTAGACCCGCTTAGTTCTCACAGCAATATTCCCTTGAGAGTGGGTTGTTATAAAAGCAGGATACCCCTAGGGCTTGCTTTTCTTCCTCACACATGTCCACTTCTTTGACTTTCTTCACTTTGTTATGATGCAGCATGAAAATCTTCATCAGAAGCCAAGGCCATGCCCTTGAACTTCCCAGCCTGCAGAACCATGAGCTAAAATAAAACTCTTTTCTTTATAAATTACCCAGCCTCAGGTATTCTGTTATAGCAACACGAAACAGACTAAAATGAATACAAAGTAGAGAGACAAAAAGAGAGTAAGGAATTGAGATACATGGAAAGAGAGAAGGAAAACTTTTACCCATGCAATTTCATTATACAAAAGATAAACATCAGAGACATATTGTGCCATGACCAGGGTGCAGGCCCAGGAGTGAAGGGCTCCCTCCTGCCCCTCCACTTGGTCTACTCTTTGTCTTCTGGCTCCACGAGGCCTTTCATTTATTATGTGCAATGCCACGTAAGGCCCTGAGATGGTTGCTGGAAAGAAATAAAACAGGAATGTGAATAAATATAATGTAAGTAAACAGTGATGAGTGCTGTGAGAGGGGTATGAGGAGCTGCAGCTGTGGCCTAGGACGCCCACAGAGAACGGCATTGGTGAGTCATAATTTGACAGAAAGAGGGGCAAGGGCACTCGAAGTGGTGTTTGCATAGCAAGAGTACTTTTCTTACTGAAATTCAATGCAGATCCAGGTTTTTTTGGGGTGATCTGATGCTTATTAATTGGAAGGGAGCTTATTTAAGAAAAAGAAAACAAAATTGTGAAGACAGGATTTGGTGTAAAATTGAATATTTATTTTAAATAATAAAATATATCATTGTAAATTATGCATTCTAAAAGCTGACAATACCACAAACATCACAAAATCCAGAATAATAATGGAATTTAAATGCTAACTAGCTGACTGACGTACTTCTATAGCACTTTCTTCCTACATTTATTTTATTTTATTTTTATTTTTATTATTTTTATTATACTTTAAGTTCTAGGGTACATGTGCACAATGTGCAGGTTTGTTACATCTGTATACATATGCCATGTTGGTGTGCTGCACCCATTAACTCGTCATTTACATTAGGTATATCTCCTAATGCTATCCCTCCCCACTCCCCCCACCCCAGAACAGGCCCTAGTGAGTGATATTCCCCTTCCTGTGTCCAAGTGTTCTCATTGTTCAGTTCCCACCTATAAGTGAGAACATGCAGTGTTTGGTTTTCTGTCCTTGAGATAGTTTGCTGAGAATGATGGTTTCCAGCTTCATCCATGTCCCCTACAAAGGACATGAACTCATCTTTTTTATGGCTGCATAGTATTCCATGGTGTATAATTGGCACATTTTCTTAATCCAGTTTATCACTGACGGACATTTGGGTTGGTTCCAAGTCTTTGCTATTGTGAATGGTTCCATAATAAACATACGTGTGCATGTGTCTTTATAGCAGCATGATTTATAATCCTTTGGGTATATACCCAGTAATGGGATGGCTGGGTCAAATGGTATTTCTAGTTCTAGATCCTTGAGGAATTGCCACACTGTCTTCCACAATGGTTGAACTAGTTTACAGTCCCACCAACAGTGTAGAAGTGTTCCTATTTCTCCACATCATCTCCAGCACCTGTTGTTTCCTGACTTTTTAATGATCGCCATTCTAACTGGTGTGAGATGGTATCTCATTGTGGTTTTGATTTGCATTTCTCTGATGGCCAGTGATGGTGAGCATTTTTTCATGTGTCTGTTGGCTGCATAAATGTCTGCTTTTGAGCAGTGTGTGTTCATATCCTTTGCCCACTTTTTGATGGAGTTGTTTAATTTTTTTCTTGTAAATTTGTTTGAGTTCTTTGTAAATTCTGGATATTAGCCCTTTGTCAGATGACTAGATTGTAAAAATTTTCTCCAATTTTGTAGGTTGCCTGTTCACTCTGATGGTAGTTTCTTTTGCTGTGCAGAAGCTCTTTAGTTTAATTAGATCCCATTTGTCAATTTTGGCTTTTGTTGCCATTGCTTTTGGTGTTTTAGACATGAAGTCCTTGCCCATGCCTATGTCCTGAATGGTATTGCCTAGGTTTTCTTCTAGGGTTTTTATGGTTTTAGGTCTAACATTTAAGTCTTTAATCCATCTTGAATTAATTTTTATATTGTAGGGATCCAGTTTCAGCTTCCTACATATGGTTAGCCAGTTTCCCAGCACCATTTATTAAATAGGGAATCCTTTCCCCATTTCTTGTTTTTGTCAGGTTTGTCAAAGATCAGATGGTTGTAAATGTGTGGTATTATTTCTGAGGGCTCTGTTCTGTTCCATTGATCTATATCTCTGTTTTGGTACCAGTACCATGCTGCTTTGGTTACTGTAGCCTTGTAGTATAGTTTGAAGTCAGGTAGCATAATGCCTCCAGCTTTGTTCTTTTGGCTTAGGATTGTCTTGGCAATGTGGGCTCTTTTTAGGTTCCATATGAACTTTAAAGTAGTTTTTTCTAATTCTGTAAAGAAAGTCCTTGGTAGCTTGATGGGGATGGCATTGAATCTATAAATTACCTTGGGCAGCATGGCCATTTTCACGATATTGATTCTTCCTGTCCATGAACATGGAATGTTCTTCCATTTGTTTGTGTCCTCTTTTTTTTTTTTTTTTTTTTTTTTTATTGATCATTCTTGGGTGTTTCTCGCAGAAGGGGATTTGGCAGGGTCATAGGACAATAGTGGAGGGAAGGTCAGCAGATAAACAAGTGAACAAAGGTCTCTGGTTTTCCTAGGCAGAGGACCCTGCGGCCTTCCGCAGTGTTTGTGTCTCTGGGTACTTAAGATTAGGGAGTGGTGATGACTCTTAAGGAGCATGCTGCCTTCAAGCATCTGTTTAACAAAGCACATCTTGCACCGCCCTTAATCCATTTAACCCTGAGTGGACACAGCACATGTTTCAGAGAGCACAGGGTTGGGGATAAGGTCACAGATCAACAGGATCCCAAGGCAGAAGAATTTTTCTTAGTACAGAACAAAATGAAAAGTCTCCCATGTCTACTTCTATCCACACAGACCCGGCAACCATCCGATTTCTCAATTTTTTCCCCACCCTTCCCGCCTTTCTATTCCACAAAACCGCCATTGTCATCATGGCCCATCCCCAATGAGCCGCTGGGCACACCTCCCAGACGGGGTCGTGGCCGGGCAGAGGGGCTCCTCACTTCCCAGTAGGGGCGGCCGGGCAGAGGCGCCCCTCACCTCCCGGACTGGGTGGCTGGCCAGGCGGGGGGCTGATCCCCCCACCTCCCTCCCGGACGGGGCGGCTGGCCAGGCGGGGGGCTGATCCCCCCACCTCCCTCCCGGACGGGGCGGCTGGCCGGGCGGGGGGCTGACCCCTCCACCTCCCTCCCGGACGGGGCGGCTGGCCGACCACCCCCCGCCGCCTCCCTCCCGGACGGGGCGGCTGGCCGGGCAGAGGGGCTCATCACTTCCCAGTAGGGGCGGCCGGGCAGAGGCGCCCCTCACCTCCCGGACAGGGCGGCTGGCCAGGCGGGGGGCTGATCCCCCCACCTCCCTCCCGGACGGGGCGGCTGGCCGGGCGGGGGGCTGACCCCCCCACCTCCCTCCCGGACGGGGCGGCTGGCCGGGCAGGGGGCTGACTCCCCCTCCCCCCTCCCGGACGGGGCGGCTGGCCGGGCCGGGGGGCTGACCCCCCCCACCTCCCTCCCGGACGGGGCGGCTGGCCGGGCGAGGGGCTGACCCCCCACCTCCCTCCCGGACTGGGCGGCTGGCCGGGCGGGGGGCTGATCCCCCCACCTCCCTCCCGGACTGGGCGGCTGGCCGGGCAGAGGGGCTCCTCACTTCCCAGTAGGGGCGGCCGGGCAGAGGCGCCCCTCACCTCCCGGACGGGGCGGCCGGCCGGGCGGGGGGCTGACCCCCCCACCTCCCTCCCGGACGGGGCGGCTGGCCGGGCAGAGGGGCTCCTCACTTCCCAGTAGGGGCGGCCGGGCAGAGGCGCCCCTCACCTCCCGGACGGGGCGGCTGGCCAGGCGGGGGGCTGATCCCCCCACCTCCCTCCCGGACGGGGCAGCTGGCCGGGCAGGGGGCTGACCCCCCCTCCCCCCTCCCGGACTGGGCGGCTGGCCGGGCGGGGGGCTGACCCCCCCACCTCCCTCCTGGACGGGGCGACCGGCCGGGCAGAGGGGCTCCTCACTTCCCAGTAGGGGCGGCCGGGCAGAGGAGCCCCTCACCTCCCGGACGGGGCGGCTGGCCGGGCGGGGGGCTGACCCCCCCCCACCTCCCTCCCGGACGGGGTGGCTGCCGGGCGGAGACGCTCCTCACTTCCCAGACGGGGTGGCTGCTGGACGGAGGGGCTCCTCACTTCTCAGACGGGGCGGTTGCCAGGCAGAGGGTTTCCTCACTTCTCAGACGGGGCGGCCGGGCAGAGGCGCTCCTCACATCCCAGACAGGGTGGCGGGGCAGAGGTGCTCCCCACCTCTCAGACGATGGGCGGCCGGGCAGAGACGCTCCTCACTTCCTAGATGGGATGGCGGCGGGGAAGTGGCGCTCCTCGCTTCCTAGATGGGATGGCGGACGGGCAGAGACGCTCCTCACTTTCCAGACTGGGCAGCCAGGCAGAGGGGCTCCTCATATCCCAGATGATGGGCGGCCAGGCAGAGACGCTCCTCACTTCCCAGACGGGGTGGCGGCCGGGCAGAGGCTGCAATCTGGGCTCTTTGGGAGGCCAAGGCAGGCGGCTGGGAGGTGGTTGTAGCGAGCCGAGATCACGCCACTGCACTCCAGCCTTGGCACCATTGAGCACTGAGTGAACGAGACTCCGTCTGCCATCCCGGCACCTCGGGAGGCCGAGGCTGGCGGATCACTCGCGGTTAGGAGCTGGAGACCAGCCCGGCCAACACAGCAAAACCCCGTCTCCACCAAAAAAAAACGAAAACCAGTCAGGCGTGGCGTCGCGCGCCTGCAATCGCAGGCACTCGGCAGGCTGAGGCGGGAGAATCAGGCATGGAGGTTGCAGTGAGCCGAGATCGCAGCAGTACAGTCCAGCTTCGGCTCGGCATCAGAGGGAGACCGTGGAAGGAGACCGTGGAGAGAGAGGGAGAGGGAGAGAGGGAGAGGGAGAGGGAGAGGGAGAGGGAGAGGGAGAGGGAGAGGGAGAGGGAGAGGGAGAGGGAGAGGGAGAGGGAGAGGGAGAGGGAGAGTTGTTTGTGTCCTCTTTTATTTTGCTGAGCAGTAGTTTGTAGTTGTCCTTGAAGAGTTCCTTCACATCCCTTGTAAGTTGGATTACTAGGTATTTTATTCTCTTTGAAACAATTGTGAATGGGAATTCACTCATGATTTGGCTCTCTGTTTCTCTGTTATTGGTGTATAAGAATGCTTGAGATTTTTGCACATTGATTTTGTATCCTGAGACGTTGCTGAAGTTGCTTATCAGCTTAAGGAGATTTTGGGCTGAGAAGATGGGTTTTTCTAAATATCCAATCATGTCATCTGCAAACAGGGACAATTTGACTTCCTCTTTTCCTAATTGAATACCCTTTATTTCTTTCTCCTGCCTAATTGCCCTGGCCAGAACTTCCAACACTATGTTGAATAGGAGTGGTGAGAGAGGGCATCCCTGTCTTGTGCCAGTTTTCAAAGGGAATGCTTCCAGTTTTTGCCCATTCAGTATGATATTGGCTGTGGGTTTGTCATAAATAGCTCTTATTATTTTGAGATACATCCCATCAATACCGAATTTATTGAGAGTTTTTAGCATGAAGGGTTGTTGAATTTTGTCAAAGGCCTTTTCTGCATCTTTTGAGATAATCATGTGGTTTTTGTCTTTGGTTCTGTTTATGCTGGATTGCATTTATTGATTTTCGTATGTTGAATCAGCCTTGCATCCCAGGGATGAAGCCCACTTGATCATGGTGGATAAGCTTTTTGATGTGCTGCTGGATTCAGTTTGCCAGTATTTTACTGAGGATTTTTGCGTCGATGTTCATCAAGGATATTGGTCTAAAATTCTCTTTTTTTGTTGTGTCTCTGCCAGGCTTTGGTATCAGGATGATGTTGGCCTCGTAACATGAGTTAGGGAGGATTCCCTCTTTTTCTATTGATTGGGATAGTTTCAGAAGGAATGGTACCAGCTCCTCCTTGTACCTCTGGTAGAATTCGGCTGTGAATCCATCTGGTCCTGGACATTTTTTGGTTGGTAGGCTATTATTTCCTCAATTTCAGGCCTGTTATTGGTCTATTCAGGGATTCAACTTCTTCCTGGTTTAGTCTTGGGAGGGTGTATGGGTCGAGGAATTTTTCCATTTCTTCTAGATTTTCTAGTTTATTTGCGTAGAGGTGTTTATAGTATTCTCTGATGGTAGTTTGTATTCCTGTGGGATCAGTGGTGATCTCCCCTTTATCACTTTTTATTGCGTCTATTTGATTCTTCTCTCTTTTCTTCTTTATTAGTCTTGCTAGTGGTCTATCAATTTTGTTGATCTTTTCAAAAAACCAGCTCCTGGATTCATTGATTTTTTGAAGGGTTTTTTTGTGTCACTATCTCCTTCAGTTCTGCTCTGATCTTAGTTATTTCTTGCCTTCTGCTAGCTTTTGAATGTGTTTGCTCTTACTTCTCTAGTTCTTTTAATTGTGATGTTAGGGTGTCAATTTTAGATCTTTCCTGCTTTCTCTTGTGGGCATTTAGTGCTATAAATTTCCCTCTACACACTGCTTTAAATGTGTCCCGGAGATTCTGGTATGTTCTGTCTTTGTTCTCATTGGTTTCAAAGAACGTCTTTATTTCTGCCTTCGTTTCATTATGTACCCAGTAGTTATTCAGGAGCAGGTTGTTCAGTTTCCATGTAGTTGAGCGGTTTTGAGTGAATTTCTTAAACCTGAGTTCTAGTTTGATTGCACTGTGGTCTGAGAGACAGTTTGTTATAATTTCTGTTCTTTTACATTTGCTGAGGAGTGCTTTACTTCCAACTCTGTGGTCAGTTTTGGAATAAGTGCGATGTGGTGCTGAGAAGAATGTATATTCTGTTGATTTGGGGTGGAGAGTTCTGTAGATGTATATTAGGTCAGCTTGGTGCAGAGCTGAGTTCAATTCCTGGATATCCTTTTTAACTTTCTCTGTCGTTGATCTGTCTAATGTTGACAGTGGGGTGTTAAAGTCTCCCATTATTATTGTGTGGGAGTCTAAGTCTCTTTGTAAGTCTCTAAGTGCTTGCTTTATGAATCTGGGTGCTCCTGTATTGGGTGCATATATAGTTAGGATAGTTAGCTCTTCTTGTTGAATTGATCCCTTTACCATTATGTAATGGCCTTCTTTGTCTCTTTTGATCTTTGTTGGTTTAAAGTCTGTTTTGTCAGAGACTAGGATTGCAACCCTGCTTTTTTTTTGTTTTCCATTTGCTTGGTGGATCTTCCTCCATCCCTTTATTTTGAGCTTATCTGTGTCTCTGCATGTGAGATGGGTTTCCTGAATACAGCACACTGATGGGTCTTGACTCTTTAACCTATTTGCCAGTCTGTGTCTTTTAATTGGAGCATTTAGCCCATTTATATTTAAGGTTAATATTGTTATGTGTGAATTTGATCCTGTCATTATAATGTTAGCTGGTTATTTTGCTCATTAGTTGATGCAGTTTCTTCCTAGCATTGATGGTCTTTACACTTTGGCATGTTTTTGCAGTGGCTGGTACTGGTTGTTCCTTTCCATGTTTAGTGCTTCCTTCAGGAGCTCTTGTAGGGCAGACCTGGTGGTGACAAGTCTCTCAGCATTTGCTTGTCTCTAAAGGATTTTATTTCTCCTTCACTTATGAAGCTTAGTTTGGCTGGATATGAAATTCTGGGTTGAAAATTCTTTTCTTTAAGAATGTTGAATATTGGCCCCCACTCTCTTCTGGCTTGTAGAGTTTCTGCTGACATATCCACTGTTAGTCTGATGGGCTTCCATTTGTGGGTAACCTGACCTTTCTCTCTGGCTGCCCTTAACATTTTTTCCTTCATTTCAACTTTGGTGAACCTGACAATTATGTGTCTTGGAGTTGCTCTTCTCGAGGAGTATCTTTGTAGTGTTCTCTGTATTTCCTGAACTTGAATGTTGGCCTGCCTTGCTAAGTTGGGGAAATTCTGCTGGATAATATCCTGCGGAGTGTTTTCCAACTTGGTTCCATTCTCTCCGTCACGTTCAGGTACACCAATCAGATGTAGATTTGGTCTTTTCACACAGTCCCATATTTCTTGGAGGCTTTGTTCATTTCCTTTTACTCTTTTTTCTCTAAACTTATCCTCTCACTTCATTTCATTCATTTGATCTTTAATCACGGGTACCCTTTCTTCCAGTTGATCGAATGGGTTACTGAAGCTTGTGCGTTCATCATGTAGTTCTCATGCCATGTTTTTCAGCTCCATCAGGTCATTTAAAGACTTCTCTACACTGGTTATTCTAGTTAGCCATTCGTCTAATCTTTTTTCAAGGTTTTTAGCTTCTTTGCAATGGGTTTGAACTTCCTCCTTTAGCTCAGAGTTTGATTGACTGAAGACTTCTTCTCTCAACTCGTCAAAGTCATTCTCCGTCCAGCTTTGTTCTGTTGCTGGTGAGGAGCTGCGTTCTTTTGGAGGAGAAGAGGTGCTCTGATTTTTAGAATTTCCAGCTTTTCTGCTCTGTTTTTTCCCCATCTTTGTGGTTTTATCTACCTTTGGTCTTTGACGATGGTGATGTACAGATGGGGTTTTGGTGTGGATGTCCTTTCTGTTTGTTAGTTTTCCTCCTAACAGTCAGGACCCTCAGCTGCAGGTCTGTTGGAGTTTGCTGGAGGTCCACTCCAGACCCTGTTTGCCTGGGTATCAGCAGTGGAGGCTGCAGAACAGTGAATATTGCTGAACAGCAAATGTTGCTGCCTGATCATTCCTCTGGAAGCTTCGTCTCAGAGGGGTACCTGGCTGTGTGAGGTGTCAGTTTGCCCTTACTGGCAGGTGCCTCCCAGTTAGGCTACTCGGGGGTCAGGGACCCACTTGAGGAGGCAGTCTGTCCATTCTCAGATCTCAAACTCTGTGTTGGGAGAACCACTACTCTCTTCAAAGCTGTCATACGGGGACATTTAAATCTGCAGAGGTTTTTGCTGCCTTTTGTTCGGCTATGCCCTGCCCCCAGAGGTGGAGTCTACAGAGGCAGGCAGGCCTCCTTGAGCTGCAGTGGGCTCCACCCAGTTCGAGCTTTCAGGCTGCTTTGTTTACCTACTCAAGCCTCAGCAATGGCAGTCACCGCTCCCCCAGCCTCGCTGCTGCCTTGCAGTTCGATCTCAGACTGCTGTGCTAGCAATGAGTGAGGCTCAGTGGGCATGGGACCCTCCAAGCCTGGTGTGCCATTTGCTAAGACCCTTGGAAAAGTGCAGAGTTAGGGTGGGAGTGACCCAATTTTCCAGGTACCATCTGTCACAGCTTTGCTTGGCTATGCAAGGGCATTCCCTGACCCCTTGTGCTTCCCTGGTGAGGCAATGCCTCGCCCTCCTTTGGCTCTTGCTGAGTGCACTGCACCCACTGTCCTGCACCCACTGTCCAACACACCCCAGTGAGATGAACCCAGTACCTCAGTTGGAAATGCAGAAATCACCTGTCTTCTGTGTCGCTCATGCTGGGAGCTGTAGCTTTTCCTACGTTTTTTAGTTGTATACTCTTTAATGCTTCGTCATATGACAATAATTTTGGCATATTATTTTCTAAAGAGAGAATAGGAAGATAGTTCTGTCTTCTTTCTAGCACAGTTGATCAAAATTTGTTTTTTTATTTTTGATAGTTAGGATTCGTAAATCATGAGGCCCCACATACAGATGTACTTGCTTTCGTGATTATGGTACAGGTGTGTGCCCCAGCCTCTCAGGAATTCTGATAAACTCCAGCATGAGGAATTTATCAGAACATGGAATGTTTCCATGGGCATGTTCACAGTGCAATACAACCTCTGGCCCTGCACCTTTATGTCATGATGCCAAGTAAGTTGGCACAGTTGGTAGTAAGTGTACTCCCAGAGTCATTTCTACATTGAGACAGCTAGCAATAACTTAACTATACTCCAAATGAAATATAACAAGCCCAATTAACAGCTTTCCCAATTCAGCTTCCTATTAGCTAGATCCCTATTAGCTAAACACCCATGGACACTCGGGCACCACTGACATGAAGGGAAGCATGATGAAGGGAGGTTGAGATGGAAACAGACTAACTGCTTTAACAAACTCTGGTTAAAATATATTACTTTAGAAAGTTTTACAAAAACGTCATAAGAATCTTTGAATACATTGCCAGGTGCCTCTCCTGGAATCTTAGAAGGGGTCTCTGGAATGAGGATCCTTGACATTTAAAGCTTTATTGGCATAAAAATAAATTGATCACTGCTTAGATTATAAATTTATTTAGGATGGTGATGGAAATTACAGGTAATCCACCCTACTTACCCCTTAGAGCTTAAAAGAGAGTGCTGCATAGTAATTAAGGGCATAAATTGTGGAGCCAGTAGTTCTGGGTTCGAGTTCTGGCTATGCAATTTAGGAGTTCTGTGGTTCTAGGCAAACCCTCTAACTCTCAGCATTTTCATCTATAGAATGAGGATAATAATAGTGTTGACATGATGTGCATAAAGTGTAAAGCACATAACAGGCACTCAATATATGCTGGTTGTTTTTTATTTTTTGGAGGGGAGAAGAATTAGCTTCCAGCTTCTGGAGTGGCAGAGTGAAGGTAAAAGGGAGAGTGTCATGAAGGAGAGGATATTTGGTCTGGATCTTAAAGTTCCAATATGATCTAAATATTTGAAATGGGGGTGCATGTTACAGCAGAGATGTGTCCAGTTTGGCCGGAGTACAGGGTGCCAGAAAGTTTGACATGCATTTGACAAGATAATTTGGGGCCAAGGATGGTGGTGAATACTAGACTTTGTTTCCCATGGTTTAACATAATTAGATCTATGATTTTGAAACATGAATTTTTTTTATTATACTTTAAGTTCTAGGGTACATGTGCACAACGTGCCAGTTTGTTGCATATGTATACATGTGTTGTGTTGGTTTGCTGTACCCATTAACCCATCATTTATATTAGGTATTTCTCCTAATGCTATCCCTCCCCCAACCCCCCACCCCATGACAGGCTCCGGTGTGTGATGTTCTCTGCCCTGTGTCCAAGTGTTCTTATTGTTCAATTCCCACCTATGAGTGAGAACATGCGGTGTTTGGTTTTCTGTCCTTGCGATAGTTTGCTCAGAATGATGGTGAAATACGAATTTTAAGACATGGGAGAGGACTGATGAGGAGTGAGAACATGGAGTCAGGAATGGAGTCAGAAGACCCATTAGGAGGTTATCGAAACAGTCTAGGCAGGAGGTGATGAAGACTGGAACTAGGCAGTGTCAGAGACTCACACACACACACACACACACACACACACACACACACATACCACTCCACGTGCATGCAAACACACATCTAGAATAACAGACTGCACATTTATGGCATGGTTACCCTGTAGCTCTCTGAATTGTTTATCCTGATTTCTTTTTTTTTGTTTGTTTTTGTGTTTATCCTGATTTCTGCTGGGACTTGACAAATAGGAGATCAGCCTGGCAGAGCTGTCGACAGTGCCAGGCTGAAACTGTGCCCTTTTAGACATGCTGGGTTCTTGCGTGACAGAATCATGCTCCCTGGGTTACTTTCAGTGCTGGCTGCAGCTGGCTGACTTGTCTTCACATCTGAGTAGGCTCTTTCTGGGGGCCTGTGGGAGCTGCCAGCAAGTGCTGGCCTCCATCAGGCTGATGGGCAGTGCAATTTATTTTATGCTGAAATGACACCAGGGTGACAATGCCTCTTGCAGGAGACAATTTGGTTTCTGTAATTGCTAGCCTGGGGGCAGCGGGAGAGGTCCCTCTCTCAATTCAACATCTGCCAGATTAGCAGGGACACAGGGACAGGCTCCTTTGGAAACAAAGGTTCAGAGACCCCTCTCCTGTCCGCCTGTCCTGGAGCCTTTCAGCCCACAATCTTGTACAGTGGTTCTTCTGAGCCCGGCAGGAGGCAGAAATGAAGTGATTCGGGGCCCAAAGCATTAACCAGTCTGGATGTGGAATTTTGCTCAAAGGTTTTTACCTCATTTGAACCTAGCACTATTCTGGAAATTTCTGTCCAGTGATTCACGAGCCTGTTGCAAACCCAATAAATCATTGATGGTAATTCCTACATGTCCAGCTTCAAGATACAGAACATGGAGGCATAGATTGCTTCAGAACAGGCAAAATGGAAGTTAGAGTTCCTAGTTACAGATTATATTAGATTTTCATGAGACAATCTTCTCCTCCCCTATTTGTCTATATTTGCATCTTTATAGCAGTTGTATAGTGCTTAATATAGTTTTTGGCACATCAATTACTACTAATTTGTTGACTGACTGATTGTATTCTGAGATGAATAATAATTTGAACCAGGTAATTAATTTCTATTATTTTACTGTTAGAAGGAGGGAGAAGATCAGTATATGTCTTTATTCATTTATTCATTTCATAAATATTTACTGAGTGCTTACCAAGTCCTAGGCACTGTACTTGTGCTGAAGATAGAACATCAGATAGGCTACAGCTCCTGACTCAAGGAGTTACAGTCTTGTGGGAGATAGATAACTACATAACACATTACCACAGGGAAGTGCCTGGTGCAATGGGAACACATTCCAGGGGGGCACTTAACCCAGGCAAGGAATGCAGGAGGTGGTCAGGGAAGGCTCCTGATGTCTCACGAGGGATCTGAAGGAAGAGTGAGAGTCAGCCACGTGAAGAGTGGGTGGCAGGTGAAGGCAAGACCAATCTATGGTCAGGACATAAAAGAGTTTCTGGTCTAGGGAAAGAGTTGGACAAAGAGAAAGTAATGATTGCAATAATGTGTATGTACTGAGTGGGAGAAGGAATGGGGGCTTAGAGCTTTTACCAGTTAGGTTTCTTTAGAGGTAAACAATTGAATTGATTCCAGCTAGGTCAAGATGAAGGACATCATGTTTGTTCACAGTTTCAATGGGAAACCTGAATAACCAGGCAGTGCCAGGGTCACCACTACTGGTAAGTCCTCTTGGATTTTGTCTCTAAGACAATGAATGTTGTAAGCTCTGACTGTCTAGACTCTGTGTGACTGTACTCATGTCTTCTGCTTTCTAGGATGAAGAACCTGATTGGCCCAGATTGGGTCAGGTGTCTCTACCCTTTCACCAATCAGGCATGGGCAGGGAATAGGAGGGTGGTGGATATGGCCAATGAAAAATCTCTGTGAATCCTATAATCAGCCTCCTTTCCCCCCTTCCTTTTTCTTTTCTTTTTTTCAAGAGTGCAACTAGGAAGGGAGGACACTTCACCAAGAGTAGGTGCAGCTGGCAGGTAGGAAGTCAGAGAAGGTTTCCTAATGTCTGCACTGAATCTTTTTAGGTCTAGAGCAATCGCCTTTATTTGCAAGGCCCGTGGGTTTCTTTTTTTCCATGACAACCATGCCTATTAATGGATCTCACACAACCAGCTCTAGCACTACTGGACTTCAGTGGATTATCCAATGTCTCTGACAAACTCTGGAGATGGCAGAGGTCTGAGAATTTTCTAGGCTTGTAACTTGAGGGGGTTGAAGGGAGAGGGAGGAAGGTACGTGTGGAAGGGTGGGGCAGTGGAGAAACTCTCCAGACATCAGGAAGACAAAGAGAAATGTGCTATTACTTTTTGTAGTCTAATTTGGGTTTATCCGAATGAATAATTTCCTTAGGCAGCCAGGAGGAGCCTTACGCCCCCTGAGACCAAGACCACTCAGAATTCAGCCTGTTGTTCTGACAACTTTAAATAGGAATCAAACTTGGCTTTGGGGCCTTTGGGGTCCTTCACTGCTTCACTCTGTCTCCAGGCCCAGGAAAGAATTCCCAGGGTCTGAGGGCATGCTCTGCCATGTCTTTGCAGGTACATGAAAATGGCAAATGAGTCCGCAGCCACTCACCCCTCTTCACTTGCTCACCAGGCAAATGGCTTAATACTCCCTGGTCTGGAGAGTGAGGAATCTGACCTTGAATCAACATCTTTACTCACTCCACCTGGGAAGGGCATCCTCCAGCCTTTTTTTTTTTTTTTTTTTTTTTGAGACAGAGTTTCACTCTTTTTGCCCATGCTGGAGTGCAATGGTGTGATCTCGGCTCACTGCAACTTCTGCCTCCTGGGTTCAAGCGATTCTCCTGCCTCAGCCTCCCCAGTAGCTGGGATTACAGATGCGTGCCACCACAACCAGCTAATTTTGTATTTTTAGTAGAGATGGGGTTTCACCATGTTGGCCAGGCTGCTCTCAAACTCCTGACCTCAGGTGATCCACCCACCTTGCCTCCCAGAGTGCTGAGATTACAGGCGTGAGCCACCGTGCCCGACCCCTCCAGCCTCTTATTTATCCCCCGGGTGCTCTTGGCCAGTTGGGTGGGCAATTGCTCTCATCCTCTTAGAATCCTAGACTCATAGACAACCAAATCTAGAAGGCATCTCAGATACCTTTAGACTATCTTAACTTTACAGAAAAGGAAGATGCCCCCAGAGAGAGGATGAGACTTTCCCAAGGTTAAGCAGCTAATTGGTGACAGGACTGACACTAGAACCAAGAGCTCTTGAAGCCCAGTTGAGCCATTAGTTACGTTGACTCTCACACCTCTACTTTCTATTGGGAGTACTGAGTATGCTGGGATCCAGAGACAGCTTTCTCTCTTGTTGTCACCCCCTCAAAGGTCAGAGTTGGTTTCAAGACAGCCCCAGGGGGAAGGAACAACCCTTGCACCTCCCTCCCTTCTATGAAGCATTTTTCCTTGGATGAGGAGCTCTTGGTCTAGGAATCAGACCTAGGCTTTGCTGAGCAAAGGGAGCCACCTGATTCTAAGGAAGAGCTCCTTAGGCTTTTGTCACCAATTTAAGGATCTCCTGGCCCCAGGCCCTGACTGGCCCTGAGGACAAGTTTGCTCTTAGCTGAAGGCCCCTCATCGTGTCTGAATACAGAAGAGAAAAGAAGTGAACTAGTGGGGTTAGCCCAGGGGTCTCCAATCCCTGGGCCACAGACCCATGCCAGTCCATGGCCTGTTAGGAACTGGGACCAGCTAGGAGCCTGTTAGGAACCAGCAGGGGGTGAGCGATGGGCAAGCGAGCATCACTCTCTGAGCTCCACCTCCTGTCAGATCAGCTGTGACATTAGATTCTCATAGGAGCAGGAACCCTACTGTGAACTGCGCATGTGAGGGATCTAGGCTGTGCTCCTTATGAGAATCTAATGCCTGATGATCTAAGGTGGAACAGTTTTATCCTGAACCATCCTCCAGCTGGCCCCCGCTGTCTGTGGAAACATTGCCTTCCTCAAAACCAGTCACTTGGTGCCAAAAAGGATGGCGACTGCTGGGATAGCCCATTTGTCAGCTTGGAAGCTTGTTCTCTGGGCAATTTTGTAGGAACAGGGTGGTAACAGTAGTGGTCCAAGATGACCTGGAGATCCTGGTCATGCAGGGATGATGTGACCTGTTCCAGGTCAGCCCCTTTACCTGCTTCTGGACGCCAACAGGTGCTTCAGATGAGAGAGGAGCTGAACCTATCAAGCTCTTCCTTTCTTTTGAGGGAAGGCTTCTTCAGAACTTGAAATACCAACCTTACAACTCCAAGGGCAATGGTTGTGTCTCCTTCTTAGAGAGTGTTCTTTAGAGAGAGATGATTTTTTTTTCTTTTAGTAGTGGACAAGGTGGAGTGATCAAAGGAAATATTTACAGTCTCACATAGAAATAATTTGGAAACCTTTAAAAACTACTAGAAATTCTTATTTAATACAACCTCTTGAGTATTGGGCTTTCTAAAACTCCCCAGATATTTCTAATGTACAGCCAAGGTTGAAAAACCACTGGTCTTAACTAAGACCACACTGGAATGTTATTTTTATGACAGTAGGGACTTGGTCTCTTTTGTTCACTGCTATGTTCACAGCACTAATAAAGGTACCTGGCATATAGGAAGTCTTACTCAAAAAGCCTTTGTTGATGAGCGAATGAATGAATCCTTTGTGTATTACTGGGTGTATGCTCATCATTTCATCAACTCTTCCTGAGAAAGTGATGTTGGAAGGGCATAGAGAGACCATCTCTGCCTTGGACAGGGAAGGATGGAATGAGTCTTGTCTGGGCTCTGACCAATGTGCAGTTAAAATGATTTAAATAGGACAGGACAAAGCCTGCTGGCACATGGGAAGAGCTCTTGGTCCACAGTGCCTGTGAAGGAGGCCAGGTTCAGAACGTGATGACAACTTTTGTATTTAATTAACATGGCTACAGAGGGATCAGCAGCATAATTTAATGGAGGCTAAGATTACCCACTGGCTGGGGAAAGCTCAGCTCAAAGGAAGCATCTGGAGGCACTATTTATGTAATACAACATGGAATAAAGCCTTGTTGAGAAGTAGGCAGAAGATCGCCTTTCACTGCCTGGAGTTTTTGTGAGACATTTGAGACAACTAAAGTCTGAGAGGTATGGGGATGGTCTATTGTGCAGGCTGCAGCTGCACCTAAGAGTCCAAGGG